>NC_000016.10:75168560-75471591 GCF_000001405.40 Homo sapiens | reverse complement strand
GACCAGCCTGGGCAACTTGGCGAAACCCTGTCCCTACTAAAAAAAATACAAAAACGTAGCCAAGCGTGGTGGTATGTGCCTGAAATTCCAGCTACTTGGGAGGCTGAGGCATGAGAATTGCTTGAACCCAGGAGGTAGAGGTTGCAGTGAGCCAAGATCGCCCCACTGCACTCCAGCCTGGGTAATAGAGCGAGACTCTGTCTCAAACAAACAAAAAACGAAAGAACCAGAGCTAAAGTCTTGATGAAATGGAAAGGATTGGCCTACTATCCATTTTTCCAAGATGGCAATTCATTCCAGCCAATCGAGCATTTTCTCCTTTGGGAGTAAGACCAGAAAACCTGGCCTGTCCTGCAAGTCTTGTGTTATTCTGCTCCCAGTCCTCAAGAACTCCACTCATTCATTCAACACACATTATGGGTTGAGCACCAACCAGGCACTGGGCTATTATAGGAGCTGGAGATACAGCAGGACCAAAAACAGACAAAAAGCAAAAACCCCTGCCCTAGGCTGGGTGCAGTGGTTCACACCTCTAATCTCAGCCCTTAGTGAGGCCGAGGCAGGTGGATCACCTGAGGTCAGGAGTTCAAGACCAGCCTGACCCATATGGTGAAACCCAGTCTCTACTAAAAATATAAAAATTAGCTGGGCATCGTGGCATGCACCTGTAGTCCCAGCTACTCAGGAGGCTGAGGCAGGAGAATTGCTTGAACCCGGGAGGCGGAGGTTGAATTGAGCCGAGATGGCGCCAAAGGACTCCAACCTGGGCGACAGAGCGAGACTCCATCTCAAAAACAAACAAAACAAAACAAAACAAAACAAAAACCAGCCAGGCGCAGTGGCTCACGCCTGTAATCCCAGCACTTTGGGAGGCCGAGGCAGGCAGATCATGAGGTCAGGAGTTCGAGACCAGCCTGGCCAACATGGTGAAACCCCATCTCTACTAAAAATACAAAAATTAGCCAGGCGTGGTGGTGGTGGTGCACGCTTGTAATCCCAGCTAATCAGGAGGCTGAGGCAGGAGAATCGCTTAAACCTGGGAGGCGGAGGTTGCAGTGAGCTGAGATCGCGCCACTGCACTCCAGCCTGGGCGATAGAGTGTGACTCTCTCAAACAACAACAACAACAACCCTGCCCTTCAGGAACTTGCATTCTGATGGTGGGGAGATAGCTGATGAATAAGCTTAATAAATGGCTACATTATTTAGCATATTAGAAAGTGCCAAGGATTAAAGTAGAGAAGGATCGGGGGATGAGGAATATATGTGTGTAGAGGTGTGAGTTGTAATTTTTAATGGGGTGATCAGGGTAGGTCTCAGTGAGAAAGCGACATTTGAGGAAAGTCTTACAGGAGGTGAGGGAGTATGTTAAGGGCAATCATGGGTAGCCTGTCTGGGAGCAGGAAAGAGCTAACACAAAAGCCCTAAGGAGGGGAGGCATCTGGCTTGTTGAAAGAGCAGCAAGGGGCCAGGGGGTCTGGTGTGCTGGACCGCCTCCTTGGCTTCCTTAGACAGGGCCCAGGAAACCTCCATTTTCTGAGTCCTGCAAGGCTAAATGTCTTTTTTTAACCTGTCAATTCATAAATGAACTAAAGATCGAATTCTAAATTCAAAATAATGTTTCCTAATGTAATACATAATTGATTATGTAACCCTACAATAATTGATTTCTTCCACTTTTTTTTTTTTTTTTTTTTGAGACGGAGTCTCGCTCTGTTGCCCAGGCTGGAGTGCAGTGGCGCGATCTCTGCTCACTGCAAGCTCCACCTCCCGGGTTCACGCCATTCTCCTGCCTCAGCCTCTCCGGTAGCTGGGATTACAGGCGCCCACCACCACGCCCAGCTGATTTTTTTTTTTTTTTTTTTTTTTTGAGACAGAGTCTCATTTTGTTGCCCAGACTGGAGTGCAATGGCACGATCTCGGCTCCTGCAACCTCTGCCTCCCGGGTTCAAGTAATTCTCCTGTCTCAGCCTCCCAAGTAGCTGGGATTACAGGCGCATGCCACCAGGCCCGGCTAATTTTTGTATTTTTAGTAGAGATGGGGTTTCACCATGTTGGTCAGGCTGTTCTGGAACTCCTGACCTCGTGATCTGCCTGCCTCGGCCTCCCAAAGTGCTGGGATTACAGGTGTGACCTACCACACCTGGCCCTTTTTCTTTTTTTTTTTTTTTTTTTGAGACAGAGTCTTGCTCTGTCGCCCAGGTTGGAGTGCAATGGTGCGATCTCGGCTCACCGCAACCTCCACCTCCCAGGTTCAAGCAATTCTCCTGCCTCAGCCTCCTGAGTAGCTGGGATTACAGGCACATGCCACCATGCCCGGCTAATTTTTGTATTTTTAGTAAAGACGGGGTTTCACCATGTTGGTCAGGTTGGTCTCAAACTCCTGACCTCGTGATCCACCCGCCGCAGCCTCCCAAAGTGCTGGGATTACAGGCATGAGCCACCACGCCCAGCGGTTTCTTCCACTTCTAATAGACTCTGCTAGTCTGGGAAATGTACCAAAAAGACAGCATGGTTAAAAGGTCAGTATTTCCTGACCCTTTTTATACTTCCTATTTTTATTTTAGATAGGTTTCTTGGTTGATGCAAAACGCCAATTGTAGTGGTAGGGAACTGGCAGGAGGAAGCTTCCTAAACGGAGGTTTCAAGAGAGACTTCTGTTTCTTTTTTTTTTTTTTTTTTTTTTTGAGACGGAGTCTCGCTCTGTCGCCCAGGATTGAGTGCAGTGGCGCAATCTCAGCTCACTGCAAGCTCCACCTCCTGGGTTCACACCATTCTCCTGCCTCAGCCTCCCGAGTAGTTGAGACTACAGGCACCTGCCACCACGCCCGGCTAATTTTTTTGTATTTTCAGTAGAGACGGGGTTTCACCGTGTTAGCCAGGGATGGTCTCGATCTCCTGACCTCGTGATCCGCCCGTCTCTGCCTCCCAAAGTGCTGGGATTACAGGTGTGAGCCACCACGCCCGGCCTTTTTTCTTTTTGAGATGGAGTCTGGCTTTGTTGCCCACGCTGGAGTGCAGTGGCTCCCGGGTTCAAGCAATGCTCTTACCTCAGCCTCCTGAGTAACTGGGACTACAGTCACACACCACCATTCCCAGTTAATTTTTTCTATTTTAGTAGAGATGGGGTTTCACCATGTTGCTCAGGTTGGTCTGGAACTCCTGAGCTCAGACAATTTGCCTGCTTCAGCCTCCCAAAGTGCCAGAATTACAGGTGTGAGCCACCGCGCCCGGCTCAGGAGAAAATTCTAATAAACAGTCTTGCTAATGTTCTTGAATTAAGAGGAAAATATGGGTTGGGTGTGGTGGCTTATGCCTGTAATCCCAGCACTTTGGGAGGTCGAGGTGGGTGGATCACGAAGTCAGGGGTTCGAGACCAGCCTGGCCAAGATGGCAAAACCCTGTCTCTACTAAAAATACAAAAATTAGCAGAGCATGGTGGTGGGCACCTGTAATCCCAGCTACTCAGGAGGCTGAGGCAGGAGAATTGCTTGAACCTGGGAGGCGGAGGTTGCAATGAACTGAGATCGTGCCATTGATCTCCAGCCTGGGTGACTGAGCAAGATTCTGTCTCAAACAAACAAACAAACAAACAAAAATGGAAAATATGTATTTTGCACACAATACTTTTGAGTGTAAAATAGGTTAATGACCGGGTGCAGTGGCTTACATCTGTAATCCCAGAACTTTGGGAGGCCAAGGCGGGAGGATTGCTTGAGCCCACAAGTTTGAGACCAGCCTGGGCAACATAGTGAGACCCTGTCTCTTAAAAAAATTTAAAAACAAAAAAGCTTTAAAAAAAATCATTTTCTCTGCAAATACTGAAGGTGTTGGTACATTGTCATCCAGCCTTCTTCTTCATTTGGCTACTGAACCATTTGATTCTCATTTCTTTGTAGGTGACCTATAGATTCCCTCTGTTTTAGGAATTTCTTTTTTATTTCTTTCTTTTTTTTTGAGATGGAGTTTTGCCCTTGTTGCCCAGGCTGAAGTGCAATGGCAAGATCTCGGCTCACTGCAACCTCTTCCTCCCAGGTTCAAGTGATTCCCCCGCCTCAGCCTCTTGAGTAGCTGGGATTACAGGCACCCGCCACCACGCTCGGCTAATTTTTGTATTTTTAGTAGAGACAGTCTTCACCATGTTGGCCAGGTTGGCCTCCAACTCCTGACCTGGTGATCCACCCACCTTGGCCTCCCAAAGTGTTGGGATTTCAGGCGTGAGCCACTGTGCTTGGTAGAATTTCTTATTTCTATCTTTTTCTTCTTGTTCTATTTATTTTTCTTTTCCTTTCTTTATTATGATTAATTTGGTGGAGCAACACCATTTATTTCCAGGGCCAGCATTGGATATAGCACAATTATGGAAAAAGGCTGTCAGCCACTGTCACAAAAAAATCCTACAGAATCTGAAATGCCAACAAGAAGTCTAGCTGCGCCAGAAAATACCTGTGAATCACAGGTTTTTCCATTTCAACTTATATGACAAAAAGTTTCAGCTTTAATTATTTACTAAATTCCTGAGCCATCTTTAAATTCTTGTGGGGTTTTTTGTTTGTTTATTTGTGTGTTTGTTTTTTGAGACAGGGCCTTCTTCTGTTGCCCAGGCTGGAGTACAATGGAGCAATGATAGCTCACTGCAGCCTTGACCTCTGGGGCTCAAGGGATCCTCCCACCTCAGCCTCTGGAGTTAGCTGGGACTATAGGTGTGTGCCACTACACCCGACTAATTTTTGAATTTTTAGTAGAGACAAGGTTTACCTATGTTGCCCAGGCTGGTCTCAAACTCCTGGGCTCAAGCAATCCTGCAGCCTTGGCCTCCCAAAAGTGTTGGGTTTACAGGCATGAGCCACCTTGCTTGGCAGATCGGTGAATTGGTCACTTTTTAAAAAGATTTTAAAAGGTATGATTTATGTAGCATAAAATTCATTTATTTTAACTGTACAATTCAATGATTTTTAAAGAAGTTTTCAGGCTGGGCACGGTGGCTCACGCCTGTAATCCCAGCACTTTGGGAGGCCAAGGTAGATGGATCACCTGACGTCAGGAGTTTGAGACAAACCTGACCAATATGGTGAAATTCCATCTCTGCTAAAAATACAAAAATTACCTGGGCATGGTGGCACGGAGCTATAATCCCAGCTACTTGGGAGGCTGAGGCAGGAGAATTGCTTGAACCCGGGAGGCGAAGGTTGCAGTGAGCCGAGATTGCGCCACTACACTCCACTCCACTCCAGCCTGGACGACAGAAAAAGACTGCGTCTCAAAAAAAAAAAAAAAAAAAAAAAAAAAAAAAAAAAATTTACCAGTCAGGTGCAGTGGCTCACGCCTGTAATCCCAGCACTTTGGGAGGCCAAGGCAGGTGGATCGCTTGAGGTCAGGAACGAGACCAACATGGATAACATGGCAAAACCCTATCTCTACTCAAAATACAAAAATTAGCTGGGCCTGGTGGCACGCGCCTGGAATCCCAGCTACTGGGGAGGCTGAGGCAGGAGAATCGCTTGAACCAGGGAGGCGGAGGTTGCGGTGAGCTGAGATTTCGCCACTGCACTCCAGCCTGGGCAACAAAGTGAGACTCTGTCTCAAAACAAACCAACCAACCAAACAAAAACATTATTATTCGTCACAAGCCTCTTCATCACCTGGAACCTTGTGGACATTACTTATCCTTGGTAACTTCCCTTCCAGAACACTATTGTTAATGGCTGCTATGGTCTGAACGTGTTCCCCCAAATTCATGTCCTGAAACTTCGTGGGAATGCGATAGTACTGAGAGGAGGGGCCTTTAGGAGACGATTAAGTCAGAAGAGTGGAGCCCCCGTTATGGGATTAGGACCCTTATAAAAGGGATTTGGAGAGTGGGCTCCCTTTGTTACCGTGTGAGGACGCCCGGGCGGTGCTATCAGTGAGGAACGGGCCGTCCTTAGACATGGAACCTGCTGCGACCTTGATCTTGGACCTCCCAGCTTCCAGAACTGTGAGAAAATAAATTTCTGTTCTTAATAAATTGCCCACTCTCAGGTACTTTGTTACAGCAGTGCAAACAAACTGAACATTAGCTTATTCCTTTTTACGATTTCTCTGCCTTCATTTTAACAGGCTTTCTGAAGGGAGGTGAGACAAAAATGTGTGATCCACGAGGACAGGAAATCGAGACCATCCTGGCTAACACGATGAAATCCCGCCTCTACTAAAAATACAAAAAATTAGCCGGGCGTGGTGGCGGGCGCCTGTAGTCCCAGCTACTCGGGAGGCTGAGGCAGGAGAATGGTGTGAACCCGGGAGGCAGAGCTTGCAGTGAGCAGAGATCGCGCGGCCGCACTCCAGCCTGGGTCACAGAGGGAGACTCCGTCTCAAAAAAAAGAAAAAAGTGTGATCTAATTTTATTGCTCTGAACCGAATCTCTGTACATTTTATTTTATTTAAAACTAAGTCGAGCTCTATAGAGGCTACATAGCCTCCCTCCCATTCTGGTCCCACACCAGACTTTGCATGGGCTCTTTCTACTATCAGCTTTAAATAGAGAACGTTCTTGTTCTGTTCATGAAGGTTTCATAAATGCTGGAGTCCAGTCATAACTAGAACTTTACATATCCGTTCCATCACTGTATTTTTCCAGATCCCTGGTAACTCCATAGCGCGGCTCTGTTGGGGCGCATGCAATTCCCTACTTTCTCACAGGGGGCGCTGCAGAGAAGGGCAGAGCAGAGCGCGCGGTCCCAGAGCGCGCCGTCCAGGAGGGGGCGCGTCCGTGGGGCTGTGTCTCTGCGAGCCCTGCGCAACGTTGGGGGCGGGAACAACCCTGGCCCTGCGCCCGAGCGCTGCGGCGCCTTGTGATTGGAGGAGGCAACGGTCACTTGGCAGCGCCGTTGGGATTGGGGGAAGAGGAC
Source organism: Homo sapiens (assembly GCF_000001405.40). NCBI lineage: Eukaryota > Metazoa > Chordata > Mammalia > Primates > Hominidae > Homo > Homo sapiens. Next base: position 75,464,702 of record NC_000016.10, on the reverse strand, counting down.
CCCGGCTGGAGGTGACGCTGAGGCGGCGAGGGTGAGTCGGCGCCGGCCGCTACCGCACTTCGGGCGCTCGTCCCTCATTTCTCTGTGGTGAATGGCGACGGGATGGAGCGCGAGGGGAGCGGCGGCAGCGGCGGGTCGGCCGGGCTCCTGCAGCAGATCCTGAGCCTGAAGGTTGTGCCGCGGGTGGGCAACGGGACCCTGTGCCCCAACTCTACTTCCCTCTGCTCCTTCCCAGGTACGGCCCGCCCCGCGCCTGCGCACTGCGCGCCCCGCCGTCGCCGCTGCCGTGCTGTGGGCGCCCCGAGTCTGGGCGGGGTCCCGGGTGCGCAGCCTGCTGGCGGCGTGGGCGCTGTCCTCCGGGAGGGGGGCCGTGCTGCTCGCCCGGAGCCCCTTTCCCCATCACTTCTTCGGCGGTCCCTGAGGCGGAGCCCCGGAGTCCCGCTGGGCGTGAGATGCAGAGAGCGGCCGCAGGTGGGCCCGGGGCTGGAGGGCGCTCGGCCGCCACCCGAGCGGGTCTTGGCCTTGAGCTTCCGAGCGCCTCAGGTTCAGAGCTGCACCCCACGAGCCCGGGAGGCTGTGGTCCCCGCCCTGCCTGGGTTGCCCCACGGCGCCCGGCCTCCTTCGAGGGGTCTCGGAGCGGCCCGGCCGCGCTGAGGAGTCAGAGCTCGCGCTCCCCTTGCCCCGGGGCTGCAGCCCGGCCCCTCCGCGCAGGCGCTCGTTCGCTGATCGCGGGCGCCTGGGGCTAAATCCTCCCCCTCCGAGACCCGCTCCGCTTTCTAGGAATCTTTCCCAGACCTGGTGCCACCTGTTGCTGGGTCTCCCACTAAGCCTTCGAGATCTTTGGCACAGCTTCCTTTGAACTCTTCCTCCCCGCTGCGGCTTGAGCTGGGCCTGCTAGGAGGGTTGCTCAGAATTCTAATGCCAGGAAGAGCGCTCCGTGCCCTGAAAGCTGGAGGGAGGAGAGAGGACTTCACTTGGGAAGGAGGAGAAAAGCTTTGAGGGGAGGCACAGTTATTTGTGTGGTCCTTGAAAGGCAAGAAGACTAGAGCCCGTGGCCCTGGAAGGGGAGGTGGGGCTCCCAGCAGAGGGGACTGAGGTCTTCATAAACAATGAGGGACCAGAGCAGAGGGAAGGAGGACGAGATTCCAGACTCTAGTTCCAAACAAGGCACCTGTGATTTCTCATCCCCTGGGCAGCGACTGCCAGGCGCCGTTCAGCGGACACCTGGGACTTGCAGTGTTATGTGCCCAGGGATTTTCCCGGACGGGATTGTGAAGTAGCGGGTAAGGTCATCAGGCAGGTTGGGGTCAGATGCAGATGTTCGCTTGTGGTCATTCCTGAAATGAGAATCTGGCAGCTCACGTTATTTCAGAAGGTGCTAGGATCACTTTTGACAGTGATATCAAAAAATTGATGGTATTCTGGTGACCCTGTGTGATACATGAAATGTTCGTGCAATCTGGAGGCACTACTGGGACCAGATTAATCTTTGTTTCCTTAATTTTCCCCTTTCCTGAAAAATGTCAAGCCTGCCAAACAGTTGAGAGAACAGTATAACAAATACCCATGTACCCTTTACTTAGACTCAGTAATATTTTGATTCTTTGGCTTTCTGTTTCTCTTTCTCTCTCTCTGCTCTCTTTCTCTCTCTCTATATATATAACCACATGTATTACATACGTATCACACTTAGATGTAGGTCACATGTCCCATTTCAACTCGAGTCATTCAATAGGAAGTTGCAGAAGTCATAACACTTGCTTGATGCCTGATAATCTTAACATGTATCTTCTAAAAACCATTTTCTATCCATGAAACCATATCACATCCAAGAAACTGAACATCATAGAATAATGTTACCTAATGTGTGGGCCTTGTTTACATTTCCCCAATTGTCCACATAGATTTTTTTCCTTAAAAAAATATATATATTCCATGATCTAAGGTTCACACATTGCATTAAGTTGTCCGTCTCTTTAGTTTCATTTAGCTAAAACAGTTACTTCCTTGTTTGAATTTTTTAAGATGGACATTTTGGAAGAGTCCATGTGAATTGTTGTATAGACTGTTTTACAATCTAGGTTCATTAGATGGTCTTCATGATTAGATTTAGATTAAACATTTTTGGTCAGAACGCTACCTACCTAGGTGACGTCCACTCACCAGTACATCACATCAAGAGACACTGAATGTCAGCCTGGCTCAGTGGCTCACACCTGTAATCCCAGCACTTTGGGAGGCTGAGGCAGGCGTATCACCTGAAGTCAGGAGTTCAAGACCAGCCTGGCCAACATGGCAAAACCTTGTCTCTACTAAAAAGTCAGGCGTAGTGGTGTGTGCCTGTAATCCCAGCTACTGGGGAGGCTGAGGCACGAGAATCTCTTGAACCCAGGAGGCAGAGGTTGCAGTGAGCCAAGATTGCGCCACTGCACTTTAGCCTGGGTGACAGAGCGAGGCTTTGTCTCAACAAAAAAAGAGACATTGAATGTCAATTTGTATCTTCATTGATAATACTAAGTTTGATCATTTGGTGAAGATGGTGTCTATGAAAACTCTACTGTAAGGGTATCTGCATCCTCTCTTTACTACCAAGTTTGATCATTTGGTGAAGATGATGTCTATCAGAACTCTCTACTGTAAGGGTTCCTGCATCCTCTGTTAATTAAACGTCATATGTAGGGTCATAAGTTGGAACTGAATAGTCTGTTGAGTCTCTGGCTTTTAGTTCCCTTTCATTAAGAAAAGATTGAGATAAGTGGATTTGGGATAGGTTTAATACATCACAGTAGGTAATCTGTAGCCATGTGAATTGTTTTACTTTCAGAACTTTTTTCTGAAAATATTAAACTTCAGTATGTTCTTGAGTTTATGATTACTGTTATGGGTATGTAACTTGTGATGTCGATTACCAGAGATCGTTTATTCAGTAAGTATACATTTGGCCAAGTGCCAACTCTGGTCTGGTGTTATGAGCAGGTATGAGGCATAGCCCTTGACCCCAAGTAGATCAGAATTTGGTAGTAAACACATAACCTCCCTGCTGTGTCTCATCTTTGGCAGGAATAATGGGTGTAATAAATACATGAAGTTATATCCTATTTGAGACACCAAAATCTGCTTAACAGGAGTTGCATTCATTGTCCTGAATCTGTTGTATTGATATTTTGGCCCCACAGAAAAGGTTACTTGCAGTGTATGCCAACTCATTATGGCAGAATCATTGTTCTGAAGTATTCTGACATATTTATGTATACCAGGAAGTACTGAATTGATTTTTTCTTTATTACCTGTATTTGCAGTTTAGCCATTTACCTACGGAGGGTTAGGTAGACATCTAAATGACTAAATTGGCCGGTTGCCGTGGCTCACGCCTGTAATCCCAGCACTTTGGGAGGCCGAAGCGGGCGGATCATCTAAGGTCAGGAGTTCAAGACTAGCCTGGCCAACGTGGTGACACCCCATCTCTACTAAAAATACAAAAATTTGCGGGGCGTGGTGGTGCATGCCTGTAATTCCAGCTACTCGGGAGGCTGAGGCAGGAGAATCGCTTGAACCTGGGAGGGGGAGGTTGCAGTGAGCTGACATCATGCCACTGCACTCCAGCCTGGGCCACAGAGCGAGACTGTCTCAAAAATAAATAAATGAGTATAAGTAAATGGCTAAACTGCAAATGCAGTTTAAAATTTTTTCCTTTATTGTTGTCATTTTTAACAAACCTCAAAACCAAGAAACTGAGATCTTTATCTTGTATCAAGAATGACATTCATCTTCAGAAGATACAGATTTCACTAAATCAGTGTCAAATTAGATCTAGTGATAATTAAAAACCCAGTAATGTTTTTGTGTCATCCTTGCAGGAATCAAGACTGGTCACACTTGGACCAGTCATTTATTCATTCACTCAAAAAATATTTGCTCAGTGTTGATTGTGTGCCTGTTGTTTTCTAGGCACCAAGTCAAGATGCCATAGTAACAAAGCAAAGCCCCTTCCCACGTGGAACTTTCATTCCAATGGGGAGAGAGAAAAACAAAACAGCTGGTGGTGAGGGGCCTGGGAAGGGGCAGGGCCTGTGTGGTGGGGGTGGATTGCTGTTTGCTGTAAAGTGATGGGGAGGCCCTGGATGGTGATGATATTGGAGTCAAAATCTGAAGAAAGTGAGTAATGAGCCAACAGCTACTTGGGGAAGAGCATGTGTTCTAGGCCAGGGAGCAGCAGATTCAGAGGCCCTGAAACAGGAGCTTGCAGAAGAAACACTGAGGAGCCCAGGGTGCCTGGAGGGACTGTGTCGGCAACGCACAGAGGAGGAGGGGAGGGTAGATCCTGGAGGGCTCTACTGGGGAATTTTGAACAGAGATGGGATGATTCTGACTTTTTAAAAAAGTGTACAATCCAGTGGTTTTTAGTATATTTACAGAGTTATACAACTATCACAATTAATTTGAGAATATTTGCATCATCCTGAGAAGAAACGTTCTTTGTACAAAGAAGAAACTTAAGAAACTTACCGGCTTTGCATGGAGAGTAGATGGAAGGCCCCATCAGGACAGACAAGGTCTGGTCAGGCTAGGATGCAGAGACCACTGAGGTGAGGCAGGCCAGGGGCACACCCAGGAACCAGGGAGGAGCAGGCAGGCAGTATCCAGAGAGAGGTGGTTGACTACAGTTGGTAGTTCAGTGGGCACATCATCTTGTTAGGGAGGAGTAGAGAGGACAGTTGGACCTCCAGGCCAGGAGGTGGGGTTTGGCAAGAGAGGGTGCAGGGCTGCAGGCTGATGGGTGATTAGTATCAAGATAGCCCAACTTCAGCATGGAGTTGCAGGACTACGTAAGACTTTTTTTTTTTTTGAGATGGAGTTTCGCTCTGTCCCCCAGGCTGGAGTGCAATGGTGTGATCTTGGCTCACTGCAACCTCTGCCTCGCAGGATCAAGTGATTCTCCTGCCTCAGCCTCCTGAGTAGCTGGGATTAGAGGCAGACACCACCAAACCCGGCTAAATTTTGTAGTTTTAGTAGAGATGGGGTTTCACTGTGTTGGCCAGGCTGGTCTTGAACTCCTGACCTCAGGTGATCCTCCTACCTCGGCCTCCTAAAGTGCTGGGATTACAGGTGTCAGCCACCACGCCCTGCCAAGACTACATAAGAGTGTTAATCCCCAGGAGGACTCATGTGGTCTGCTTAGAACCCCAGCTTCAGAGGAACTGGCTGTGTTGACCCAGTTGTTCACTGAAACACAAGATGAGAGTGGGGCCAGCTGGAAGGAGGGCTGAGTACTGAGCCTCATGCTGCCCACTTGGCTCAGGTTGTTTGCATTGCTGCCATTTGGGGCCAGGTTGGTCATGAGGCCTTGGTTGGGAGTTAGGTGACTCTGCTGTGGAGGTTAGAGGCCAGGGAGCCAGCCATTATAGACCGCTTTTGTTAATACAGAATCCACTAGAGGATTCTGCTCTCTGTGTCTGTTCTTTCACTGCAGTATCTCTCTGAATATGTATCTTAAAGATATGTCTGTCTAGGCTGGGCACAGTGGCTCATGCCTGTAATCCCAGCACTTTGGGAGGCCAAGGCGGGTGGATCACCTGAGGTCAGGAGTTCGAGACCAGCCTGGCCAATATGGTGAAACCCCATCTCTACTAAAAATACAAAAATTACCTGGGCGTGGTGGCATGCACCTGTAGTCCTAGCTACTTGGGAGGCTGAGGCAGAATAATTGCTTGAACCCAGGAGGCAGAGGTTGCAGTGAGTCGAGATCACGCCGCTGCACTCCAGCCTGGGCAACAGAGTGAGACTGTCTCAAAAAAAAGAAAAAAAAAGATATGTCTCTGTAAAAATATATCCTCAAGGAAATCCTCAAATATCTTTTAGGGTAGGGATCTTAGTCTTTTTACTGATATGTCAGCATATAGAATGAGATCAATGTATATTTATTTGATTGATCAGTGATTAACTTTTTAGTGTTTTTATGACTGCTATTGCTACTGTAATTAATTCCACAAATTTAGCAGCTTAAAGCCATACAGATTTTATTGTCTTACAGTTATGAAGGTCAGAAGTCCAAATTGGGTGTGTGTGGGCTAAAACCAAGGTTTAGCAGGGCTGTGTTCCTTCTGGAGCTTGTAATAAGAACTTTGCTTGCCTTTTCCAGCATTTAGAGGCCACGTACATTCCCTGATGCTTGGCCTGCTCTTCTTCTTCATAGCCAGCGGCATAACATCTTCAAATCTCTCTGACTCTTATCTCCTACCTTGGTCTTACAAAGACCCTGTGATTACATTAGACCTAACTGGAAAATCCAAGACAATCTCCTTTTGGAAGATCCTTACTTTAGTCACCACAATGTCCCTTTTCCCATGTGGGTTAATCTGTTCACAGGTTTTGGAGATGGAGATGCGAACACCTTTGGGAGCCCATTCTACCACAATGCTTAATCTCATTTTCCAATATCATATTGTATTACAGATTAATTACCTGATTTACCTTCACCATAGGGAGATGATGTGCCTTTAGCTGCCAAAGTAAACAAAGCCGAAGTAATATACTTGCTTTAAAGCAGTGAACAAATAAATACTGTAAGATATGTAGACAAAGATTTGAGAGAGTTTTGAGCCAGCGAAATGAAAAGTACTGTATGACAATCGATAAATAGCTATTAAATAGATGGCAAATTAAGGTGCAGTAGATTAAAGGGAAATCACTTAGTTTTTTAAAAAGCGTTTTAGATTCAGGTTTGCCTTTGCTATTTAGAGTCCTGTAATAACCTCATGTGAAAGTGTTTTATAAGCTGTACTCCTCTACTCATCTATAATAAACCTTTTTTTCCTACTTGAAATGACTTTAGTGATGCTATATAAAATACATAGTGAAGGAGCTAATGGATGTGGCTCAGGGTTGTAGGGGGTGCGGTGTGCCTCCTCCCTTTCTCAGAACCTCAGAGAGGTGTTGGCCTGCTGTGTATGCCGGACGCTGTTTACAAATTGGCCTTTAAGCTTTTTGGAAAATTGAGATGTGGGTTGGTGACTTAGCAGGCCTCCTGGGGCAGGGGCTGTGCTCCTAGGGAAGTGGGGATGGGTGACATTTTTGTCTCAGCATGGGCCGCCATAACAAAATACCACAGACTAGCTGTCTTAAATAACAGACATTATCTCCTCAGTTCTGGAGGCTGGAAGGCTGGGATTAGGGTGCCAGGATGGTTGGGTTCTGGTGAAGACCCTCTTCCTGACTTGCAGATGGCTGCCTTCTCACCATGTCTTCACATGGCAGAGAGAGAGAGGTATCAAGAGATTGAGAATCTCTTCCTCTCCTAAGACCACAGTCCTGTAGGGTTTAACACAGGAATAGTAGGGGCACATAATTCAGCCCTTAGCACTTGGATGGCATACCTGTGTTCCAACCTGCTTTCCTGGAAATTACCAGCTTCGTGTGTTTCTGGGATATTAAGGCTTTGCCTCCCAGTTCAAGGCCTCAGTGGTTCTGTGGCAGCTGGTAGGAAGCCAGGCTCCAGCAGTGCCTTGAGTTACTGCAGAAAGCAGAGCTTCTCTCTAAAACTCTGGCAGCTCCAGCAGAAGCCCTGGATAGCAGGGACCCAGGGCTGATCTCAGGTCAGTATGGGGCAGACAGCAGCCAGGTGAAGATTGTTCTGAGTTCTTGGAGGCAGGTTTGCATCCCATTTGTCCACTTTGGACCAGTGAATTCCTGATGCCATCATAGAATTTTCTGTAGACTAGGTGTTGGGGTAGTCAGGATCAGATTGATTTGGGAGTGGCACGTGAGGACTCGGGATAGAAGATGGTCTTTCTGCTTTGGAAGAGAAGCATGGTGCTGTGTGGGGGCTTGGGGATGAGCTGGCGGTGGGTGGTGGACAGGGGGCCTCAGCTGGGAGGCCAGGCCACTCTTGACTGATCCAGGGGCCACAGTAGCTGCCCAGGCAGGAGAGATTTGTGTGGGCACCAGAGCTCTGGCAGGTGCACATTTGTTAGGGAGGAGCAGTATCCAGATGCAGGCACTGCTCCCTCTGGAGTTGCTGCCAGCCAGGGAGGGTGCGTCTCTGGGCAGCGAAAGGCAGGAATAGCTCCTGGCCTAATGGCGGCTAGAAGAGAAACTGCAGGAGGATATGGGTTTGTTGTGGAAGAGGTGGGGGCTGAAACCCTGAGGACCAAGAATCCTGCCCTCAATTTCTGATTGACACTATTGACTAAGGCTGACTTTTTTCATTGGTGGAGGAAGACTCCTGAGTCGCCAGGATTACAGGCTTGCGCCACCCCACCTAGCTAATTTTTATATTTTTTGGTCGAGACGGTTTCGCCGTGTTGGCCTGGCTGTTCTGGAACTCCTAACCTCAGATGATCCACCCGCCTCAGCCTCCAAAGTGCTGGTATTACAGATGTGACCCACTGTGCCCGGCCTCATTTGTTATTTTTAATAAGCATTGAGACCTAATTGGGGCATCCTTGATGTTTTCACCGAGAACCATTTATCCAAAACAAGACCTGAGCACTCTCACTGGAAGTGTTCAGAATATGCTCTGAATTGAAGCTTTATTAACTCAAAATGGGCAAAGAATTTGAGCAGTCATCTGTGACAATGTCAAGGGTGGGTTAAGGGGATTTGGCTCCACCCCTATCTCCAATAGCCCCTTAAATCCAGCTTCTCAACAAGATTAAGAAGCCTGTGTAAAGGGAATAAAAATACCTTCATAAAACTGTGGTTTTCATTGATCTGGGGGAAAAAACACACACACTAACAGTGTGCTTACAGTGCTAATACAGCTTCAGTAAAGCTTCTGGTCCTCCTCTCCTCCCCCTTTCTAATCCCCTCAAGCGGATTGATGCCCCTGACTGGTCTCTTTTAAATTGTTTATCCCAATAAGCTCATTCTTCCTGAGCAGTTCTTGTGAAAACAAAAGCTTTGTTTTTTCTTACCTTGTTTTTCTTTTTAAAGTCTAGCTCTCTTGCCCTCGGCTCATTGCGACCTCTGCCTCCTGGGTTCAAGCGATTCTCGGGCTTCAGCCTCCTGAGTAGCTGGGATTACAGGCATTTGCCACCACGCCCGGCTAATTTTTACGTATTTTTAGGAGAGACAGTGTTTCACCATGTTGGCTAGGCTGGTCTTCAACTCCTGGCTTCAAGTGGTGGGATTACAGGCACGAGCACCATGCCTGGCCTATCTAATAATTATTTATTAAATAAACATGCTCAGTACATAGAAGCATTTCCACATGAGTGTTTATTGTGTTTGTTTTCTCAAAAACAGGATCTTATTCTACATGCAACTGGCTTTTGTTACTTCACAATGTGGCTTGGGCATCTTGCCCCTTCAGTATATATACATCTATTGCATTTTTTTTTTTTTTTTTGAGACAGTGTCTCGCTCTGTCACCCAGGCTGGAGTGCAGTGGCGTGATCTCGGCTCACTGCAAGCTCCGCCTCCCGAGTTCACACTATTCTCCTGCCTCAGCCTCCCAAGTAGCTGGGACTACAGGTGCCCGCTGCCTTGCCCAGCTAATTCTTTGTATTTTTAGTAGAGACGGGGTTTTACCGTGTTAGCCAGGATGGTCTCAATCTTCTGACCTCGTGATCTGCCTGCCTCAGCCTCCCAGAGTGCTGGGATTACAGGCGTGAGCCACTGTGCCCAGCCCATCTATTGCATATTTTAATGGGACTTTGTAGTATTACGTGGGTGCACAGAATGTGTTTTCCAAATTCTGCAGTGATAGCCATGCAGGTGACTTCTAGTTTTTGATATTATGGACAATGCTGTTGGGACCTTCTTGTTACCTCTGTCCTTGCCTACCTATGCTTTTCTGTGGGGTGTATCCCCGGAAGTAAAATTGTTGCAGCAAGGGCCATGCACATTTGACTTCCAAATTACCCTGCAAAAAGGTGGTTTTCCAGTTTGTATTCCAACTAGGAGTGTCAGGTGGGGCCTGTGGAATAATGTCATGACAACCGTTACTGCTCAAAACCTATACTGGCACTTTAGATCTTTTGTGAAGTCCTTAGTCTGGTGTCAAATTCCCCAAAGGGTTTCCCTCATCTGTCTTTATAGCTTTAACTGTCATTGCTCTTTTATTTTTTTGAGACGGAGTGTCATTCTGTCTCCCAGGCTGGAGTGCAGTGGTGTGATCTGAGCTCACTGCAACCTCTGCCTCCTGGGTTCAAGCGATTCTCCTGCCTCAGCCTCCCAAGTAGCTGGGACTACAGGTGCCTGCCACCATGCCCGGCTAATTTTGTGTGTGTGTGTATGTGTGTGTATTTTTAGAGAGACAGGGTTTCACTATGTTGGCCAGGCTGGTCTTGAACTCCTGACCTCGTGATTAGCCCACCTCGACCTCCCAAAGTGGTGGGATTACAGGTGTGAGCTACCACGCCCGGCCATCATGGCTCTTATAAAGCCTCTGTGCTTTGGTAAAGCCCGTGGTTTTTAATCAGGGTAGTTTTGCCCCCTTGGGGACATTTGACAATGTCTGGAAATATTTTTGGTTGACACAACTGGGAATAGAGTGCTGCAGGCCAGAGGTGCCTCTCCATATCCTGCAGTGCACAGTGCAGCCCCCACAATGAAAAGTTATCTGGTCCAAATGTCAATAGGGCGGAGGGCGGTGGTCAAGAAACCCTGCTGAGCTAAGCTCTTCACTGATCTCAAAAATCACTTGCTACTTACCTGCCTCTAGCCAAGGATGGACAGTGGGTTTTATCTAATGTGTCACCGCCAGTCCCTCCCTGTGGGTAGCTGGAGAGCTACCTTGAGGATTCTAAGGCCTTGCCTTGGGTTCACTGGGGGGAAATGCTACATGGGCCATTTAACAAATTGTAAAGTCACATTCCAGCAGGATGGTTTTGTTTTCTTTATATGGGTGCCTCATGCATAGTTTTTCATACATAGTTGATGATTATATGTATCTTAATGTTGCCTGAGTTACAGACACCTTAAGAGTGATTAGAGTTCTGTAGGAGCCAGCTCTCCTAACCTGCACTGTTGTTTACCTGCCATTTGTCTTCAAGCCAAACATTTATATTTTCTGGTATTTATTTCATATCCTAAAGAGCTTTGAAATCCTAATAGGAGGTGATGGCTTGATATTTACTGCATTGTCTTTCAAATGATTGTGGAATGAATATAATTGTATAGCTGTCCATTTTAGAAGACTGAGTGATCAAAAGGTCAGGAAAGATCAACAGGCATTGATTGCATAGTACCGTATCAATTGGCTCTTTGGCTTGTGCCTCTTATGGGGGAATTATTTTTGTTTGGGTTTTTTGGTTTTTGGGGGAGTTTTTTGAGACCGTCTCACCCTGTTGCCCAGGCAGGAGTGCAGTAGCATGATCTTGACTTACTGCAACCTCTGCCTCCCAGGCTCAAGCAATCCTCCCACCTCAGCCTCTCGAGTAGCTAGGACTACAGGTATGCAATACCATGCCAGGCTAATTTTTGTATTTTTTGTAGAGACAGGGTTTCGCTGTATTGCCCAAGCTAGTCTCAAACTCCTGGGCTCAAGCGACCTGCCCACCTTGGCCACCTGAAGTGTTGGGATTACAGTCGTGAGCTGCCGTGCCCAGTTATGGTCGGGGACATTATTTAGGTCAATTTTGAAATCTAGATGAACCTTTTTTTTCAGTTTGAGGGTACAGAGATTGGTCAGCTTTTTCTGTGAAGGGCCAGATAGTAAATATGTTAGGCTTTATGGGTCATGTGGTCTGTGTCACTGTTATCAGCTTTGCCCTTGAAGCTGGAAGGCAGCCATAAACAATACTTAAATGAAAGGGCATGGGTTGAATAAGTATGTGTGTGCAAAACTCTTGTAAATGGTTTCAGATAAGTGTGTATGTATAAAAGTATTATGAATGGGTTCAGATAAGTGTGTAAAAAACAGGTGGTGGGTCTGTAGGCAGTAATTTGTTGAACACACTAAAACCGTCAATATTTGGATATTTGACTGATGAACCCTACTTTGCAAGTAAATGATGTTGAAGGCCGGGTGCGGTGGCCTCACACCTGTAATCCCTGCCCTTTAGGAGGCCAAGTTGGGCGGATTGTTTGAGCCGAGGCATTCAAGACCAGCCTGGGCAACACGGTGAGACCCCATCTCTAAAGAAAATACAGGCCAAGCGCAGTGGCTCATGCCTGTTATCCTAGCACTTTGGGAGGCCAAGGCGGGCAGATCACCTGAGGTTGGGAGTTTGAGACCAGCCTGGCGAAACTCCCACTGCACTCCATCCTGGGCAACAGAGTAGTGAGACCCTGTCTCATAAAAAAAGAAAATTAAAAAAAAAAGAATTTTGCCAGGCGTGGTAGCACACATCTGTAGTTCCAGCCACTCCGGAGGCTGAGGCGGGAGAACACCCAGACCTAGGAGGTCAAGGCTGCAGTGAGCCATGATGGTGCCATTGCACTGCAGCCTGGGTGACGGAGTGAGACCCCGTCTTTAAAAATAAAAATTTTTGACTGGGCGCGGTGGCTCACGCCTGTAATCCCAGCACTTGGGAGGCCGAGGCGGGCGGATCATGAGGTCAGGAGATCGAGACCATCCTGGTTAACATGGTGAAACCCCGTCTCTACTAAAAATACAAAAAATTAGCCAGGCGCGGTGGCGGGTGCCTGTAGTCCCAGCTACTCGGGAGGCTGAGGCAGGAGAATCGTGTGAACCCAGGAGGCAGAGCTTGCAGTGAGCCGAGATCACGCCACTGTACTCCAGCCTGGGTGACAGAGCGAGACTCCGTCTCAAAAAAAAATTAAAAATAATAAAAATTTTTCAAAAAAAAGGAAAAAAGAAACGGTGTTGAAAATGAAATGACGGGTATGATGAGTACCCTCTGCAATGATTGTCCTGGGAAGGGCAGTGATTCACAACTTTTCTTTGTCTTCCCTCATAGAGATGTGGTATGGTGTATTCCTGTGGGCACTGGTGTCTTCTCTCTTCTTTCATGTCCCTGCTGGATTACTGGCCCTCTTCACCCTCAGACATCACAAATATGGTAGGTTCATGTCTGTAAGCATCCTGTTGATGGGCATCGTGGGACCAATTACTGCTGGAATCTTGACAAGTATGTTAGACATTAAAATACCAGTCAAAAATGTTTAATATGACTAGTCAATTTCAGGACCTATTCTAGAAAACATATCTGAGTAGGATGAAGGAAAGAGTGCCTTTTAACTGCAAGTCCAGACAGGGTCTCCCTATGTCACCAAGGCCGGAGTGCAGTGGTTGCAATATTGGCTCACTGCAGCCTCCACCTCTTGGGCTCAAGTAATCCTCCTCCATCAGCCTCCCAAGAAGCTTGGACTACAGGGGTGTGCCACCATGCCCCGCTAATTTTTTTTGTATTTTTTGTAGAGACAGGGTTTCGTCATGTTGCCCGGGTCTCGAACTCCTGAGCTCAAGCAATCTGCCCACCTTGGCCTCCCAAAATGCTGGGATTACAGGCGTGAGCCACTGTGCCTGGCCCAGTTTTTTTAATGTATTGATTTTTTTTTTCCACCCCCAAGGTCCTATTACTTGGCTAACCTCTTTGACTTCTTGAGTCAGATTTCATCTCAGTGGCTTCAGGGAAGTCATGTTAAACTTTGTGAGATATATCTCGTGAGAGAGGCCACCAGCAAGAGGAAAATTTATCTTTTTGGAAGCTACTTCTCCTCTCTGATCAGCTATCACTTGAGCATTGGCCCTGCAAGATGGTTGGTGAATTACTTCCACTCATGTGGGTGTGGTTGCTGTAAAGATAGAAGACAAATTTTGATGACAAGAATTCTTTGCCAGGTGTAGTGGCTCATGACTGTAATCCCAGCACTTTGGGAGGCAGAGGTGGGAGGCTTGCTGAAGCCTAGGAAATTGAGACTAGCCTCAGCAACATAGCAAGACCCCATCTCTACAAATAAAAATAAAAAATTTAGCTGAGTGTGGTGGTGTGTACCTGTGGTTCCAACTACGTGGGAGGCTGAAATGGGAGGATTGCTGGAGCCAGGAGGTCCAGGCTGGGCTGCAGTGAGTCGTGATCACACCACAGCACTCCAGCCTGGGCCACAGAGCAAGACCCGGGGGAAAAAAAAAGAATTCTTGCTTAGAAAAGTACCCGATTAGTGCTCTAGTTATTTTTTTCCCCTTAGGACTTTCTGAATAAGAATTGGAGTAACATGATGTTATGAATTATTTTCAGGCTTGTTTTTGGGGCGTTTGGTTTGTTATGGCTTTTGCTTATGGGATAAGAAACAGTTACAGAAATGAGAACAATAAGTTTAAATCATTTCAAAGCTCATGCATAAATATAAATGTGTATTTTATATAAACTGAAAATTCTAAGTAATTAAAATGTAAAATCCTCCATTTTCTCATCCCTAAATAATAGCCACAGTTTACATCTTGGTGTGTATTTCTTTTTTTAGGTATAGATGTAAACATAAATACATTTTTATAATATAGAAATGTAATATTCCTACTGATTTGTAACTTTTTTTCACTGTGAATTGAAACCTTAGCATCAAGCAGAAATCGCCCTCTATGTCTTTGACTTGAGGTGTTTTTTTTTTTTTTTTTTGAGAGAAAGTGGCCTAGTTTCTCTGTGTTCTAACTGTATCACCTACTGCTGCTTTGGAGACCCTCTGCCCCAGGATGACTGGCTGCTAGGGCCTGTCTTAGTTTGTTCCTCAGTAAAATAGGGGTAATACTACCCAACCTCATACCCTTGCATGATTGAGCTAATGTGTATATGATGTAATACCTGACACATAGTAATTGTCGAATAAATGTTGTATTCATTTCTGTCTTTAAGGCTCTATGAATAGTCTGTTCCCTTTCCATTTGCTGCTCTCTTGGATATACTTTTTCCTTTCTTCGCTTCATTATCCCAATCCCACTTTAGGGCCCAGTTCAAGTTCCTTAAGCTTCTTTCTATCCAACCCAGTCTTTCTTGTGTACCTAAATTTTGGAGGGGCCCAATGAAACATGTCTTTCAGATGTTAGTAACAAAATGTACGCATTGCCAGTGGAGCTGGGCATTTTAAATCACTAAATGTTCAAGGCAGCCAACCTTTGGTTAATATTGTTCTTTCTTCTTGTTAAAATATGTTAATATACCTTCACATCACATTTGTGAAATGTGCCAGGCATGGTGGCTTATGCCTGTAATCCCAGCACTTTGGGAAGCCAGCTTGGGAGGATTGCTTAAGTCCAAGAGTTCAAAACCAGCCTTGGCAACATAGTGAGACCCTGTCTCTACAAAAAATAAATAAATAAAATAGCCAGGTGTGGTGGCGTGTGCCTGTAGTCCCAGCTGCTCGGGAGGATCACTTGAGCCCAGGAGGTTGAGGCTGCAGGGAGCCATGATCATGCCACCGCATTCCAGCCTAGGTGAAAGAGTGAGACACTGTCTCAAAAAAAAAAAAAATTGTAAACGTGATTGAGACACTGTATGTTATTTTGCATTATTGCAAATCTGTTTCTGTCTTGTGTCCCCAGCTAGATTCCAAGTACCTTGAGAATAGCGATCATACCTTATAAAACACAGAAGTGTTCTGCAGATGAAAATTGGAGTGAATGAACACACTATGACAAAGGAGAATTTTGTTGGAGCATTTTGTGGGGAGGGTCATCTGGGAAATCTGGATCTATTCTTTTCTTTTTAAAATTTTTATTATTTATTTATTTATTTTTATTTGAGAACAGGGTCTTGTTCTGTCACCCAGGCTGGAGTGCAGTGGCATAGTCACAGCTCACTGCAGCCTTGACCTCCCTAGCTCAAGTGATCCCCCTACCTCAGCCACCCAAGCAACTAGGATTACAGGCACGTTCACTACACCCAGCTAATTTTTGTATTTTTTGTAAAGACAAGGTTTGGTCATGTTACCCAGGATGGTCTCAAACTCCTGGGCTCAAGCGATCCTCCTGCCTCGGCCTTCCAAAATGATGGGATTATAGGCTTGAGCCACTGTACTTGGCCGGTTCTTTTTTTTTTTGAGACAGGATCTTGTTCTGTTGCCCAGGCTTGAGTGCAGTGTCGCGATGTGAGCTCACAACAACCTCCACCTCCTGGGTTCAAGCAGCTCTCCTGCCTCAGCCTCCCGAGTAGTAGGGATTACAGGCACGTGCCACCACACTTGGCTGATTTTTTGTATTTTTAGTAGAGATGGGGTTTCACCATGTTGCCCAGGCTGGTCTCAAACTCCTGAGCTCAGATGATCCACCCATCTCGGCCTCCCAAAGTGCTGGGATTACAGGCGTGAGCCACCGTGCCCGGCCGGATCTATTCTTTTCAAACGAATGAAATGTTAACTTTCTTGGTACACTTCCTTGGTATAATGCTGAACTCGTATAGTAACTCAAATGGGTATCTGCATAGATACAGGGGTTTTCGTTTTGTTTTTCCAATTTGCAGGAAATTATAGTGACTAGCGTAATAAAAACAATCAATGACTTGGGAGACAAAGGAATCCCTGAGTATCTCTCCTCTCATGCCCTGTGAATGAATAACAACTTTATGGCTTAGAGTCCTCCTGTCTTCCCTTTTCACCCCTCTAGTCCCTCCTCCGTCCATTTCTTGAAGGGAACTATGAGTGTGATAGAAGGTGGAGTGGGGATTCCCTGTGGCCTGAAACATTTCTTGCTTAGTCTAACTCAAAAGATCCTTTTTCATTTGTTACCAAAAATGTATTAGGTCCCTGTTGAAGGCTAGGCATGGGGTAACTGGTAGGGGAATACAGATATTTTTGAGTTCATAATCTGGTCATGTGGGAATTGCTATCTTTGTGATTTTGATTATTTCTTCCAGATTATTTTATTCAATAAATCTAGGAGACTCTGGGTTTTAAGGAGTCAGCATCTAAAAGTGATCTTGCAAGCCATGCAATGAATACTCAAAGTGTAGAGTAGTCCACAGAAAGAATAGGGAAAACCTAACATTTCTGTAAGATTTAAATTTCAGTATAAAATCTGGAACATTCTACTCGCAGTAGTATTTTAAATGTTGTATTTTCGTGAGTTTGTTAACCTTCGTTTTTTGTTTTTGTTTAACATTCTTGCATTTTAAATCAGGTGCAGCTATTGCTGGAGTTTACCGAGCAGCAGGGAAGGAAATGATACCATTTGAAGCCCTCACACTGGGCACTGGACAGACATTTTGCGTCTTGGTGGTCTCCTTTTTACGGATTTTAGCTACTCTATAGCATACATCCTTATGCTGAGATGTTGAACTTAAACTTTATGGAATCCTCCAAAAGAATACATTATGGAGTGTAGTGTTTTCTTAGTTCTTCAAAGGGAAGCAACTTGGATGAACAGGAACATGAAGGACAACACATCTCAGCCTTTTCTTCATTTTGAAGCTCCTAGAATTGAAGACTTATGTGGACTCCTATTGTTCTCAACCAAAACAAGTCTTTTGGCTTTCTTTTTTGTAGATATTTGATTTAAGCAGTTTTCATGTGTACCTTTACCCAAGCCAAGTCAACAGTGTCTCTGGGGTGGCATCCTTTGCACTGAAATTTACAGTATTCTGTGAGATGTCGCATATTTTGAAGAAACCGTGGAAGATACTGGTTTATTTCAAATGAGCAGAGTATGTTGTATTAAAATCTTATCTAATCTTGATTAAAATTTGGCAAACTCTTTTCTTTGCTACATCTTAGTGACAATAAATGCCAAATAGGTTTTGGTTGAGTATAGTTTTGAAAACAAATTTGGTGAAATAAAGCAGGAAAAAAAATTTAAGTATAACTCAAGTAGTGGCTTTGGTTCCACTGTTTATAAATAAAAAGTAGATAACAATGAATAATGTGACATTTTCTGGACAACTGTCTTGACTTCTGATTAAGATATTTTAAGAGATGTGAATTTGTTATTTTGTATGTTTTATCAAAATAAGCTAGCTAATTTAGACTTTTTAGATTTTCTGTACCACCTTTCCCTATCACTTTTAATTCTCTTAATTTTATTTCATTTAATTGGAAACATACATACCCTATTAAATGGCTTGAGTTGGAAATTTTAAGCCAGATTTGTTTGGACATTGAGGCACACATAAGATACTTTAGGCATTCTGTCATAGTTTTTCTTAGTGACTTTGGTATACTAATGACCCTTGAGAAACTATAGAAGTGCATCTGAAACTAGAGTTAGTGGTTATTGATTTTTTAGCTTAATGTGTTTACCTAGTGGTAACTCTTCAGCCCACTTTTACAGTATTGGGTATCAACTCCCAGAAAGTGCCTAAAGTTTAATGTTCAGATATGTACCCACTCTCCCCTTTACATTTTTATTCAAAAGAATTTATATCTTTAAAGAGATTTAAATATCAAGAGTTTTTTTAAAACTTAATTTTAGCTATTTAAATTTTTATTCTACTGCCTAACTTTCTTTTTCATTAAAAGGCCTGAAAACTGTGACTCTTTGAGAGGGAAAGAATCGCAGAAATTAAGTATTTAATGTGATCCTTTCCACCTAAACTGTTTTGTATGGAATACAATCAGTGTGGTGGTAGTGGTGGTGGTTATCTGCAAAATAGTTTCTGGTGATTAAATCTGACTTTTTTTTTTTTTTTTCTTTTAAATGAGACGGAGCCTCACTGTGTTGCCCAGGCTGGAGTGCAGTGGTGCAATCTCAGCTCACTCCAACCTCTGCCACCCGGGTTCAAGCGATTCTCCTGCCTCAGTTTCCTGAGTAGCTGGGATTACAGGCACCTGCCACCGTGCCCGGCTAATTTTTGTATTTTTAGTAGAGATAGGTTTCACCATCTTGCCCAGGCTGGTCTTGAACTCCTGACCTTGTGATCCACCCGCCTCGGCCTCCCAAAGTGCTGGGATTACAGGCGTGAGCCACCGCGCCTGGCCATAAATCTGACATCTTTAAAGGAAAGTTTTCATTGTGAGATTAAGGCTTAACAGCCCATGAGGTCATATACACATGAACGTATCTATTCCATTTAAAGCAATACACACTCTGGCTTCTGATTAAAAATAGCCAGGAGGAGAGTCTCTGAATCTACTGTGATTCTGGAGTCTGCCCAATTTGGAAAAAAAAAAAAAAGAAAAAAGTCAGGAGGACCAATTTGCCAGGGAAACTCATAGAAAAGAATTACAAAGAGATCACAAAAACTGGACATATTCTTTTGACTAATTAGACCACTTATGGCTGGGCGCAGTGGCTCACACCTATAATCCCAGCACTTTGGGAGGTCGATGTGGGAGGATTGCTTGAGCCCAAGAGTTCAAGACTGGCCTGGGCAACATAGTGAGACCTTGTCTCTACTACAAAATAAAAAAAAATTAGCTGGGCGTGGCCTCAGCTACCCAAGAGGCTAAAGTGGGAGGATCACTTGTGCCTGGGAGGTTCAGGCTGCTGTGAGCCGAGACCACGCCACTGAACTCCAGCTTAGGCCACAGGGCAAGACCCTGTCTTAAAATAATATTACTAATTTTGGTAATTAACTTATCAAAACTATAGTGACATATACACGGGCAGAAACTTATAAGTAGAGTTGTAATGCAGCCAAATATTCTTACAAATTCCCTAACAAGAAGCTCAAATCTTTCTCACAGGCAAATTGTAAAAATTCTAGTTTTTTGTTTAAAGAGCTGTGATTTTCAAAAGTATCCCTTCAGTTTAAGAAATCTGGGGAATTGGTAACTTTTCTTATGGGAAATGATTGCCATCATCTCTACTGAAGGATGCCTCTTACTGAAAAATGTCTTTTGAAGGAGTTCTTGCCTAAAGCATTCTTTGGATGTAATTTCATACACTAAACATATAGACCAGTAGTTAGTGGGCCCCTCCTCTTAAACAGTAACTTTTGAAGTACTGATACATGATTAAAATGTTAGATATTTTTCACTGGAGCTAAGACTTAAAATTAGGGCATTTTGAAAGGTGTATTTGTTTCTGTTTCTTGTTTGATATATTTTGGTTATCTACTCTTTTAAAAAACTAAACGTATAAAAGGTATCTTCAAATTACTGAGTGTTTCATCCATCCCAGTAGGTGAAGTATTCTCCAGTGAATAAATCTATATATATATATAGATTTTAAATAGCTTGAGCGGTGTAGCTTGAAATGTTTTCAGGGAAAGACTATTTGAATCATAAGGAATAGCTTTGATTTTCTTTTTTATGTCTCAAATATAGAATTATTTGGGGGTGGTCACTCAGATGGAAGAATATTGGCAATTGTGTTGAACATTTTACCTTATATAGTTTTGAGAATTTTTGCCAAAAACTGATTTCTTAGAAATATCCTCCCCCAGCTGTGCTTTGGTTTTTTGGTTTTTTTGTTTTGAGACGGAGTCTTGCTCTGTCGCCCAGGCTGGAGTGCAGTGGCATGATCTCGGCTCACTGCAAGCTCTGCCTCCCGGGTTCACGCCATTCTCCTGCCTCAGCCTCCCGAGTAGCTGGGACTACGGACGTCCACCACCATGCCCAGCTAATTTTTTGTATTTTTAGTAGAGACGGGGTTTCACCGTGTTAGCCAGGATGGTCTCAATCTCCTGACCCGCCTCCACCTCCCAAAGTGCTGGGATTACAGGCATGAGCCACCACACCCGGCCTCTGCTTTGTTTTTTAAAAAAAAAGAAATGCAAGAGAGGGAGGGAGGCAGCCTCCTGACCATAAAAGCTGATTTCTTGATTTTTTTTTCTTTTTTTTTTGAAATGGAGTCTTGCTCTGTCTCCAAGGCTGGAGTGCAGTGGCATGGTCTCAGCTCACTGCAGCCTCCGTTTCCTGGGTTCAAGTGATTGTCCTGCCTTGGCCGCTGAGTAGCTAGGATTACTGGCACCCGCCACAAGGCCCAGCTAATTTTTGTATTTTTAGTAGAGACAGGGTTTGATTATGTTGGACAGGCTGGTCTCAAACTCCTGACTTCAAGTGATCCACCCGCCTCGGCCTCCCAACGTGATGGGACTATAGACATGAGCCATCATGCTTGGCCTTCTTGATTCTTGAATACGGGGTTTTGAGGTGAAAGCATTTCATGAAAACTTAAGTTCATACACAAGAGCATCATGAATATTCTAAAAGAGGTATCTGTGCTTTTTTTGTGACCACAAAATATTACTTCTTATGAAATGTTTACACTAGGTGAGGAAAAGTTCATTAATTACCTTTAAACCGTTCCTTATTTTTTTTAAGATTTTAAATTGTATTTTGGCTTTTGCCTCCAGTATCCTTTCTGGTTGCTCTGGTTTGAATTAAGTTCCTATTATGCTGCAGCACATATCAACCTTCCCTAAGTAACCATTTCCTGGAATGTGAAGCATCGGTGCCATTAGCAGACCATATGCAGAAATGTCGTGTACTTGCATTTCTTTTTTGTGCACTCTATAAGGCTGGTTGTGACTCAGATCAGCTTAACTTTTTATATTATGTTATTTCACTAACTGCTACAGTCAAAATGATCAAATCTTTGTACAATAGAAAATTATTTAAATTTTATTTTTCTACTGACATTTCTAATTCTAGTGTAAATGTTTATCAATAAAAAATTACTTTCAATTCTGAGTTGGAATTATATTTCTTTTTGGTGGCTAATGAGTTTAATCTTTTGTAATAAAATTGACTTCAGTTTTCATTTTTTAAATAACTTAATATCTAGCATGTGTAACTTTTTTTATGTTCTACTTCTTACTAATTTATGATAAAATTCTTGTTCAAAGTTGTGATTAAACCGTACTTAACATGTGAACTTGAAATTCTTATTAACTCTACTTGCTGGGCCATATATTCCCATCAAGAAACTTTTGTTTGATTCTGTGCAGGAATAGGTGAGTATTGATACAGTGTGTGAAAATGTATTATTTTAATAGTAAGTCCACATGAAGAGAAGCTTCGTCGTGTTTGGTTAATTTAATACCCTTGGTGACATCATAAATCTCACTGTTCTGCCATTTTTAACAAATGGGACTAAGTTGGGTAGTTTACCTCATGGTCACAAGATTGCTGCAGTTCCAGCCATTGCAGACACATACAGAGAATGTCTGGCAGGAGATTGCCCATTCATTCCTTCTAATTTTCTAAAGTTGAGGTTTAACATGCAGTAAAGTGTACAAATCTTAAAATGTATAGCTTAATGAATTTTACATATATATATATATATATATATATATACTTAATGTGACTAATAGATCAAGAGACAGAATGTTTCTAGCACCCCGGAAAGATACGTACACAGTTCAGACAGAAGACCCCAAGACTGTATATGTATCTGGGAGTAAAGGTGCTGAGATCGGCAGGGAGGACACCCTAAATTATTACCGAGAAAACAGAACAGTGAACCAGGAATCTTTAGGGAGTTGGAGGGATTTGTGCTGTGGCCAAGTGGAGAGCCCTGTCCGAAGGAGTCAGCTATTGCTTGGCTCCAGCCTGTTTCTGCTTTATTCGATGATTAACCCAATCTTGCCAGATACTTATTTTCAAGAGAAGCTGGAAATCTAGGTTACTGTTTGAAATCTCTCCATTTTTAAGTGTTAGCAACTAATTTAAACTTGCGTAAAACACTTTTATTATTTATTTATTTATTTAGAGACACAGTCTCGCTCTGTTGCTCAGGCTGGAGTATAGTGGCGCGATCTTGGCTCACTGCAATCTTCACCTCCCAAGTTCAAGTGATTCTCCTGCCTCAGCCTCCCAAGTAGCTGGGATTACAGATGTGCGCCCCCAAACCTGGCTAATTTTTGTATTTTTAGTAGAGACGAGGTTTCACGGTGTTGGCCAGGATGGTCTCGAACTCCTGACCTCAAATGGTCCGCCCACCTTGGCTTCCCAAAGTGCTGGAATTACAGCCGCGAGCCACCTGTAATTGTGCGCCTTGCCGTAAAACACTTTTAAGTCATTACAATACATGATTTTAAGCTGGATTTGGCCTGCTCACCACCAATTTTTTTTCCATCTCAACTATTAGAAAGTAATTCCCACTCTGATTACCCTTAAAGCGGTCAGGAACTCTAGTTGTAAATCTGAACAATCACATGGAGTGCTAGGAGAAATGGGTGCTGGGGAGTGTCTGCCAGAGAACGCAGTGGCTCCTGTTCCCCAGACTCACCCCCAGTGATAGGGCAAAAGGGTACATCCTGATTTGTGGCTGTAGGACACCATTTATGCTGTCCAAGGTAAATGACGCCAAGAATGGTCAACTTCCAAATACTGGGTTCAAATTTTACATCTATTTTTCTATTACTCTCCCATAAGAAAAGTGTGCTTAGGCCGGGTGCAGTGGCTCATGCCTGTAATCCCAGCACTTCGGGAGCCCGAGGCGGGCAGATCACCTGAGGTCAGGAGTTCCAGATCAGCCTGACCAACATGGAGAAACCCTGTCTATACTAAAAATACAAAATTAGCCACACGTGGTGGTGTATGCCTGTAATCCCAGCTACTTGGGAGGCTGAGGCAGGAGAATCGCTTGAACCCAGGAAGCAGAGGTTGCAGTGAGCCGAGATCACGCTATTGCGCTCCAGCCTGGGCAACAAGAGCGAAACTCCATCTCAAAAAAAAAAAAAAAATGTGCTTAAATGGATCATAAACCTAAACGCAAGAACTACAACTCTTAGAAAAAAATAAGCGTAAATTTTATGATCTTGGCTTAGGTAAAGCTTTCTTAGATACAATTCCAAAAGCACAAGGGAAAATAAACAAAAAATAGATAAATTGGACTTCATCAAAATTAAAAACGACTTTGAAGGACACCTTCAAGAAAGTATGAATAGCCAGACACGGTGGCTCATGCCTGTAATCCCAGCAATTTGGGAGGCCCGGGTGGGAGGACTGGTTTAGGTCATGAGTTTGAGATCAGCCTGGGTAACACAGCAAGACCCTATCTTTACAAAATATGTGTATTTTTAAAAGTTAGCTGGGTGTGGTTGTGTGCACCTGAAGTTCTAGTTACTCAGGAGGCTGAGGTGGGAGGATTGCTTGAACCCAGGAGTTGGAGGCTACAGTGGGGCTATGCACCACTGCACTCCAGCCTGGGCAATAGAGCAGGATGCTGTCTTTCAAAAAAAGTGGAAACCTCACAAAATATGAGGAAATATGTTCAAGTCACAAAGGACTGGACCAGCCTGGTGGTGGACCAACTGGACCAACATGGTGAAACCCCGTCTTTACAAAAGGTATAAAAGTTAGCTAGGCGTGGCCAGGCGCGGTGGCTCACACCTGTAATCCCAGCACTTTGGGAGGCTGAGGCGGGCGGATCACAAGGTCAGGAGATCGAGACTAGCCTGGCCAACATGGTGAAACCCTGTCTCTACTAATAATACAAACATTAGCCGGGTGTGGTGGTGCATACCTGTAATCCCAGCTACTCAGGAGGCTGAGGCAGGAGAATCGCTTGAACCTGGGAGGTGGAGGTTGTGGTGAGCCAAGATCATGCCATTGCACTCCAGCCTGGGCAACAACAGCAAGACTCAGTCTCAAAAAAAAAATAATAATAATGATAATAATAATTAGCTAGGCATGATGGTGCGCCCCTGTAGTCCCAGCTACTCAGGAGGCTGAGGTGGGACGATTGCCTGAGACCAGGGAGGTTGAGGCTGCAGTGAGCCGTGATGGCACTACTACAGCGTGAGCAACAGTGAGAACCCATTTCAAAACAAACAAAAAAACTTAAACATCAACAAAAAGAACCCAATTTTAAAATGGGCAAAGGCCAGACGCAGTGGCTCACGCCTGTAATCCCAGCACTTTGGGAGGCCGAGGTGGGCAGATCACGAGGTCAGGAGATCGAGACCATCGTGGGTAACACAGTGAAACCCCGTCTCTACTAAAAATACAAAAAAATTAGCCGGTTGTGGTGGCGGGCGCCTGTACTCGGGAGGCTGAGGCAGGAGAATGGCGTGAACCCGGGAGGTGGAGCTTGCAGTGAGCCGAGATCACACCACTGCACTCCAGCCTGGGCGACAAAACGAGACTCTGTCTTAAAAATAAAATAAAATAATAAAATAAAAAATAAGTAAAATAAAATAATAAAATAAAATAAAATGGGCAAAACAGGCACAGTGGCTCACACCTGTAATCCCAGCACTTTGGGAGGCTGAGGTGGGTGGATCACTTGAGGTCAGGAGTTCGAGACCAGCCTGACCAAAATGATGAAACCCCATCTCTACTAAAAATACAAAAATTAGCCATGCCTGGTGGCTCACACCTGTGGTCCCAGCTACTCGGGAGGCTGAGGCAGGTGAATCGCTGGAACCCGGGAGGCAGAGCTTGCAATGAGCTGAGATCACGCCACTGCACTCCAGCCTGGGCAGCAGAGCAAGACTCCATCTCAAAAAAATAAAATAAAAAGGGCAAAACATCTCAAAAGATATTTCTCCAACGAACATATACAATGGCCAATTAGGACATGAAAAGATGCTTAACTCCATTAGTCATCAGGAAAATGCAAATCAAAACTACAGTGAGATGCCACTTCACACCAACTAGGAAGGCTAGAATAAAAGAGGGTATTGGAGGCCGGGCGCGGTGGCTCACGCCTGTAATCCCAGCACCCTGGGAGGCCGAGGCGGGCGGATCACCTGAGGTCAGAAGTTCAAGACCAGCCTGGCCATGGTGAAACCCCGTCTCTACTAAAAATACAAAAAATTAGCCGGGCGTGGTGGTGTGTGCCTGTAATCCCATCTACTCGGGAGGCTGAGGCAGGAGAATCGCTTGAACCCGGGAGGCGGAAGTTGCAGTGAGCCAAGATGACGCCATTGCACTCCAGCCTGGGCAACAAGAGTGAAACTCTGTCTCAAAAAAAAAAAAAAAAAAAAAGAGGGTATTGGCAAGGGGATAAAGAAATTGTAACCATCACATGCTGCTGGTGAGAATATAACATGGTACAACTGCTTTGGAAAACACTTTGGCAGTTCTTCAAAAGGTTTTGTTTTTTGCTTTGAGACGGAGTCTTGCTATGTTGCCCAGGCTGGAGTGCAGTGGCGCAATCTCGGCTTACTGCAGCCTCTGCCTCCTGGGTTCCAGCAATTCTCCTGCCTCAGCCTCCTGGGTAGCTGGGATTACAGGCGCACACCACCACACCTGGCTAATTTTTGTATTTTTAGTAGACATGGGGTTTCACCATGTTGGCCAGGCTGGTCTCAAACTCCTGACCTCAGGTGATCTGCCTGCCTCGGCCTCCCAAAGTGCTGGGATTACAGGCGTGAGCCACCGCGCCTGGCCTCCAAAGTTTTTTTTTTAAAGTTATTATATGATCACGCAATCCCACTTAGGATATACCTAAGAGAAATGAACTTTGAAAATGTGAAATGTGAAATGTGAAAGAAGCCAGACCCCAAAGACCACATGTTGTCTGATTCCATTTATATGAAATAAATGTTCAGAATAAGCAAATCTATAGAAGTTGGTCTTTGAGGAGAAACAAAGAATGAGCATGAATGGGGAATGAGAAAGGGTTTATTTTGGGGGCAATAAAAATGTTCTAAATGGATTTCGTGATGATTGTGCAAGTCTGAATATACCAAAAACTATTGAATTGTGCATTTTTAAATTTTATTTTATTGAGACGGAGTCTTACTCTGTCACCCAGGCTAGAGTGCAATGGCAAGATCTCGGCTCACTGCAACCTCTGCCTCCTGGGTTCAAGCAATTCTCCCACCTCAGCCTCCTGAGTACCTGGGATTACAGGCACATGCTATCATGCCCAGCTAATTTTTGTATTTTTGTAGAGATGGGGTTTCACTATGTTAGCCAGGCTGGTCTTGAACTCCTGACCTCAGGTAGTCCACCTCCCTCAGCCTCCTAAAGTGCTGGGATTACAGGCGTGAGCCACTACGCCTGGCCTGAGTTGTGCACTTAAATGGGTACATTTTATGGTGTGTGAATTGTGTCTCAATAAGGCTTTTTTTTTTTTTTTTTTTTGAGACGGAGTCTCCCTCTGCCACCCAGGCCGGAGTGCAGTGGCGCGATCTCGGCTCACTGCAAGCTCCGCCTCCCAGGTTCATGCCATTCTCCGGCCTCAGCCTCCCGAGTAGCTGGGACTACAGGCGCCTGCCACCACGCCCGGCTAATTTTTTATATTTTTTAGTACAGACGGGGTTTCACCGTGTTAGCCAGGATGGTCTCGATCTCCTGACCTTGTGATCCGCCTGCCTCAGCCTCCCAATCAATAAGGCTATTTTTAAAAGTTTGCTGGTATAGAGCCATTGCAATGTCTTATTAATCACATGCATGTCTCATCTATTCCTTGATTCACAAAAGATTTATTTCTTGATTTCCTGGATTTACAGACCCAGTCTAGTCCAGAGTGTCAATGAGGAGCAATTTCAGCTGACAAAAACTCATATTTGTATACAAGATAAACAAATAGTTGCCGGGCACGGTGGCTCACGCCTGTAATCCCAACATTTTGGGAGGTCGAGGCAGGCGGATTGCCTGAGGTCAAGAGTTTGAGACCAGTCTAGCTAACATGGTGAAACCCCGTCTCTACTAAAAATACAAAAAAAAAAAATAGCCGGGCGTGGTGGCGTGCGCCTGTAATCCCAGCTACTTGGGAGGCTGAGGCAGGGGAATTGCTTGAACCAGGGAGGTGGGGGTTGCATTGAGCCGAGATCGCGCCACTGCACTCCAGCCTGGGCGACAGAGAGAGACTCCATCTCAAAAACAAACAAAACCAAATAGTGTGGTAGTCATTGGTGTCTCTTCTGAATTTGCTTCTGATTGTTACCTCATAAATAGATCATTAAAATGTTTTAATCTGAAGAAATGGTAAAGATTATATATGGTTGTACTTCCATATGGTTTAACTTGAAGGGTTCCTGTGGATGATGGCTGCATTCCTGAATAGTCAATTCTTTGTATTCACAGTAGTTATGGCTATAAAGTTGTCGAGAACATTGAATTAGCAAAAACCGAACCATGGGTCCTGGGAGAAATACAGGGTTAGGTTCCTGTGAACCTCTGGTCAACACTTTTGTCAACTGATCGGTATGTAACTTTGTTTTATGTGTGTTTCTGTTCAAAGACACCTTATTTAATATGTATTTCTTAAAAATAATCTGCAGTATTTACAATAAAATTTCAATGACAGTAGTTTGGTGTAATGTACTCTAGTGTACTGAGATTGCACTACTTTTTTTTTTTGAGTCAGTCTTGCCCTTTTGTCTAGGCTGGAGTGCAATGGCATGGTCTTGGCTCACTGCCACCTCCGACCCCCAGGTTCAAACGATTTTCCTGTTTCAGCCTCCTGAGTAGCTGGGATTACAGGCGCCCACCACCACACCCAGCTAATTTTTCTATTTTTAGTAGAGACAGGGTTTCACCATGTTGGCCAGGATGGTCTTGAACTCCTGACCTTGTGATCCGCCCACCTCAGCCTCCCAAAGTGCTGGGATTACAAGTGTGAGCCACCGCGTCCAGCCTGTACAACCTTTTCATTGGCACACACAGAGTACACACATATAGTTCCCATATACAGTCAACAGTATAACATACTGTACAGTTCCCACAGTAAACACATACACTACTTTGCACACATACTGTATACCCTACAGTACAGCAATACAAATAAAGGGAAAAAGTTCAAAGATGGAGCATCCTAAGTTTTATAAAAATATCAACTAAAATCTTACGGTTGATGGAGCTGCACAATGTGGTTAAACCTCTCGACCTTGGCTTGCCCCACAGAAACCAGGGGAGGGGTGAGTGAAATTTATTCTGCAGAAGAGGAAGAGGGTGGCAGGTCAACCTCTGGCATTTCTACCTTAGGAGTCTGGCTCTTGACACTTGTTGAAGGAGTGGGCAATCTTCCCTCCCAAACTGGCTTGAGAAATTGCATTAGCCTTGCCTGCCTGGCTTTTCTGCCTGAAATCTTTAAGCATCTCGGTATAAGGGGCAAACGCAGTGGAGGCCAGCCATTTAAATTTGAGGCTTCGATCAAGCGTAGGGTCACACTCTTCCATGTCGCTAAAAATTTTTTCCAAGGCAGAACTCCATTCTGATATTTTGGCGCTGTGAGAGGGACAATTCTGGAAGTCTTGGGCCGACTTTCATGGCCATCAACTCCAATGCCTTCTTTTGCCATCTCATCCAGGTCTTCGTTGGTTGGTTCCACTGCCTTCTCTGCCAAAATGTACTCCACATCTCCTTCCTTCACGTCATCAAAGCCCTCTCCACTTACCTGCTGTGCCATATGCATTATGTCTCTGACAGTGTTCTTTATATTTTCTGTAACACCTTCAAACCCTTCAAAATTCTCCACGCAGTCTGGCCAAACATTTTCCCAACAGTTATTGGTAGTAGCCTGACCAATGCTCTCCCAGGCTGTACTGACATAATCAATAACGTTGCATGTAGTGACCGACTTCCAATAGTCCAGCATGGTGGTTTCCTTGTTGGTCCTGAGAGCCTCACAGGCCTTCATATAAAGCTCCCTTGTGTAGTGTGCCTTGAATGCTTTTATTATGCCCCGATTGAGGGGTTGGATGAGAGACTTAGTGTTTGGGGGCATAAAAAGAACTCCTATGTTGGCGTGTGCATTTTCGAGTTCTTTGCAGCAATGGATTGTAGCATTATCCAAAATTAACAAAACCTTGAAGGTGCCCGGCGCGGTGGCTCACGCCTGTAATCCCAACACTTTGGGAGGCCGAGGCAGGCGGATCATGAGGTCAGGAGATCAAGACCATCCTGGCTAACACGGTGAAACCCCGTCTCTACTGAAAATACAAAAAATTATCCAGGCGTGGTAGTGGACGCCTGTAGTCCCAGCTACTCGGGAGGCTGAGGCAGGAGAATGACGTGAACCCGGGAGGCGGAGCTTGCAGTGAGCCGAGATTGCGCCACTGCACTCCAGCCTGGGCGACAGAGCGAGACTCCGTTTCAAAACCAAACCAAAACAAAACAAACCCAAACAAACAAAAAACAAAACAAAACAAAACAAAAAACCCTTGAAGGCAAGGTTTCTGCCCTGGAGACAGTGTTCAGCTTCTGGGATGAAGCAGTTGTGGAACCAATCAGACATCATCCACACTTTTTTGTTCCACCTCCAATAGACTGGCAGATGGTTCACGTATTTCCCGTTAAGTGCTTGTGGATTTTGGGTTCTTTACACCATTAGGAGTTTGCACTTTAGTCGCTCTTGGCATTGGCGCACAATAACAAGGGTGCATGATCCTGGCATGATTTAAAGCCAGGGGCTTTGGAGGCCGTTTGCATTATATAGGTTCGTTTGCCAACATCCTTGTAAAATAAGCCAGTCTCATCCGCATTGAAAACCTGCTCTTTCACATAACCCTTTTCCTGTATAACACTTAGCAAGTATTTTTAAAATTCTTCCGCAGCCTCCTGATCTGCAGAGCTCGCCTCACCTGCAAGTTTAACATTTTTCACCCCGTATCGCCTTTTGAAACGCGCGAGCCGGCCAGCACTCGCCGAGAAGGGCTTAGCATTTCTTTGACTCTGGGTAACGTGACCACAGATATCTTTGGCTTTCAGCCTCACCACAATGCTGTCCACTATGTTTTTTTTAATCGATTGACATCTCATGAATCCACAAATTTAGCCGCTTTTCCATCTTTTCCATCTTTGTCATAGCTTCATCACGCACGATGGAGGTCACTTCAGCACTATCCGGAGCGGCCTCACGGACAGATCGGTGAATTTCCTTTTCCTTTTTCTTGATGTACCGGATTGTCGACTCGTTAACATTGAGCTCATGGCCAACAGCACTGTAACTCATGCCTGATTGGAGCTTATCCAACACGCGGACTTTCTCCGTAAGGCACATCACGGTCTTCTTTCGCTTAGGAACACTGGGCAGAGCTTAAGCACTACGCTTGGGGGCCATTTTAGAAAGCAAAACCACCCACAAAAAGCAGAAAAAAAAGTGTCAGTAAACAGACTGCGGAAAGGACTCTTTGTTTACAGCACAGGAGCTGCGACTAGAAGGCGGCGCTTCTCCCAGTTCAAACTTCAGCTGGGAACCTTACCTCCGCCAACTCCAAATTTTCACCCTCTGCGCATGCCCGGGAAGAACCCCAGACAGTACCGTGATGATTGATTTTAGGGTTACAAATACATTTTAGCAAGTAAGTGAATTTGGCATTACGAATTAATGATTAATGAAGGTCACCTGTATTTCCATAGATATGTAATTTTATTTAAGCAGGTTTATTATATTAAGGCGGCGAGGCAGCGCCGAAGACTACAAGTTCCAGCATGCACCGCGTCCGGGCGGGTTCGGGCTCCCAGCGAGGGCTTCAGGGACGCCAGCCCGGAGGCATCGGCCGGAAGTGTCGTAGGGCAACCACGTAGTACTCTCTGCGCATGTGCAAAGCGCTGTCGGGGGCCGCCCTAGCTGCCGTCGCCGCCGCCGGGGCTCTATGGTCTCTCCCTAGAGCTTTGCCGTTGGAGGCGGCTGCTGCGGTCTTGTGAGTTTGACCAGCGTCGAGCGGCAGCAACATGGAGGAATTCGACTCCGAAGACTTCTCTACGTCGGAGGAGGACGAGGACTACGTGCCGTCGGGTGAGCGATTCCGCCTGAGGCGAGAAGCGAATTGCCCCGCCCCACGCCTCACGTGAGGCGCGCTCTGCCCCCGCGGGCGTCTGCCCTGTGGCCCAGGTGGTCCAGGGGGGCTCCTGTTCTCGAGCGTCCGCTCCCTCAGGCCCCTCATCCTCGGCCGCTCCGGCCCGAGGCGTGTGCGCGTGGCGGTTCTGTGCTCCCCTCCCGTTGGGCAGCTCCGGCCGCCGCCCCCTCTTGCAGCGCGGGAACCGGCACATGGACACGGCCCCTTGTCGCTAGGGACGCTCGTCGGTCAGCCCCGAACGACACCGCTGCTTCAGAAGTCGGGGCGGCAGTCCGAGCCTTGGAGGTTTTTTTCAGCCCTGGCCCGAGAGAGCTGCTGGCCACCACCCCGTCCAAGATAGAGCTGTCCGCTCTCCGCCTGGTTGTTAGAAAGTTCTGATAGAAAGTTCCCCCTTTGATGCTTTTTGCCTCATTGTGACGTCCACCCATCCTCTCCTCTCAGAACTTTCTTTCCTTAGGGATCTCAACCCGAACGGGGTGAGAATGAATCTTACTGAAGAAATCTTTCTGTTCCCCCTTCTTGGTCTTCCCCAGACAAACCGTCTCGTTGAAAGTATCTTCACCCATTCACATCTTCAGTTGAAAGACTAGACAAACAAGAAACAAACAGACTAACAAAACACAACCCAGGAGTCGTCCCTATTCTCTTTGTTTTACTTTGTTCTGTTCTGTTTTATTTAAAGACAGGGTCTTGCTGTTGTCTAGGCTGGAGTGCAGTGATGCGATCTTGGCTCACTGCAACCTCAGACTCCTGGGCTCAAGCGATCCTCCCGTCTCAGCCTCTGGAGTAGCTGGGACTGCAGGTGCAGGCTGCCACGCCCGCTAATTTTTTAAATTTTTTTTTTTTTTTTTTTTTTTAGAAATGGCATCTTGCTATGTTGCCCAGGCTGGTCTCGAACTCGTGGGCTCAAGTGATCCTCCCACCTCAGCCACCCAAAGTGCTGGGATTACAGGCATGAGCCACCGCGCCCCGGCTAGTGAAGTATTTCTAAAAGGCACGTTGAAAACTAGCCATTCCATTCCTGGCGCGGTGGCTCATGCTTGTAATCCCAACACTTTGGGAGGCTGAGGTGGGTGGATCACAAGGTCTGGAGATCGAGACCATCCTGGACAACATGGTAAAACCCCGTCTGTACTAAAAACACAAAAATTAGCTGGGCATGGTGGCACGCGCCTGTAGTCCCAGCTCCTCAGGAGGCTGGAGCAGGAGAATCGCTTGAACTCGGGAGGTGGAGGTTGCAGTGAGCCGAGATCACACCACTGCACTCCAGCCTGGGTGACAGAGCGAGACTCCGTCTCAAAAAAAAAAAAAAAAAAGTTAGCCAGTCCCATCACCCTCATCCCTATTTTATTTAATATTCCTCAGGAGAAACTTCTTTCCACCTTTTGAATTTGGTATTATATTTCTGTTGTCTATTGATTTAACCCATGTATAGTAGGTATCATTTTTAGTAGCCCCTGACCTCCTTCCCCTCATCCCAAACACACACACAAACACTTCCACCTTCGGGGCCTCCCCAACTCCGTAGTCTGCCGTTGAACCTGTGTCCAGTTTTAGTTAGATCAGTATTCAGTGTTTTTTTTTCTTTCGAGACAGTGTCTCGCTCTGTGGCTCAGGCTGGAGTGCAGTGGCACAGTCTCTGCTTAATGCGGCCTCTGCCTTCCCGGTTCAAGCAGTTCTGCCTCAGCCTCCTAAGTAGGTGGGATTACAGGCGCCCGCCAGCACACCCGATCGATTTTCTTTTCTTTTCTTTTTTTTTTTTTTTTTTTTTTTGAGACAAGAGTTTTGCTCTGTCTCCCAGGCTGGAGTGCAGTAGCGGGATCTCGTCTCACTGCAAGCTCTGCCTCCCGGGTTCACGCCATTCTCTTGCCTCAGCCTCCTGAGTAGCTGGGACTACAGGTCCCCGCCAGCACACCCGAATGATTTTTTTGTATTTTTAGTAGAGACGAAGTTACACCATGTTGGCCAGGCTTGTTTCAAACTCCTGACCTCAAATGGTCTGCCCGCCTCGGCCTCCCTGAGTGCTGGGATTACAGGCGTGAGCCACCGTGCCAGGCCCAGTGTTTTTTTTTTCTAATGACAGTGTGAATAAACATCATGTTGACAGCTGAACCGTATGTTATACAGATTACTTTTCCTGCACTTCTTGTTTTCTCTGGTGCTAATAATTGCCATTTTTTGTTGCTACTTAGCTGTCTATGTACTTAACTGCTGTAAACCAAAAATAAAATTCTAAGGCGCCCCCAACCATCTGAATGGACTTCCTCCTTAGCCAGGGCTCTTTAACATTTAACCTGAGAGACTGTTTTGGGCCATGATGGGAAGTGGGGGCTGAACCTGCCTCATTGTATGTCTCTGACATTAACATCGATGCAGACTTTAAGTCTGATAATAAACATTTTGCAACCTATTCTCTCTGAAGCCTGTCTGCTAAAAGCTTCATCTGTATGATAAAACTGTGTTCTCAGCCGAGCAGTGGCTCGAGCCTATAATCCTATCACTTAGGGAGGCAGAGGCTGGTGGATCATTTGAGGTCAGGAGTTCAAGACCAGCCTGGCCAACGTGGTGTAACCCCATCTCTACTGAAAATATGAAAATTAGCCAAGTGTGGTGACGGGCGCCTGTAATCCTATCTACTGGGGAGGCTGAGGCACGAGATCTCTTGAACCCAAGAGGTGGGGGTTGCAGTGAGTGAAGATCATGCTTCTGCACTCCAGCCTGGGTAACAGAGCAAGACTCCATTTAAAAAAAAAAAGTGGCCAGGTGCGGTGGCTCACACCTTTAATCCCAGCACTTTGGGAGGCTGTGGTGGGCGGATTGCCTGAGGTCAGGAGTTGGAGACCAGTCTGGCCAACATAGTGAAACCCTGTCTGTACTAAAGATATAAAAAAATAGCTGGGTGTGGTGGCGTGTGCCTGTAATCCCAGCTACTCCGGAGGCTGGGGCAGGGGAATTGCTTGAACCAGGGGCGTGGGGTTGCAGTGAGCTGAGGTTGCGCCACTGCACTCCAGCCTGGGCAACAGAGTGAGACTCCATCTCGAAAAAACAAACAAACAAACAAAAAAAACCTCTGGTCTCCACAACCTCTATCTTAACCCAGACATTCCTTTCTGTTTAGGCAAACTCAACCTGTTGCCAACAAGAAAATTTTTAAATTTACCTGTAGCCTGGAAGCACTCCCACCCCGAGTTGTCCTGTCTTAATGGACCAAACCAGTATATTTCTCAAATGTATTTGATTGATGTCTCATGCCTCCCTAAAATATATAAAACCAAGCTGCACCCCAACCACCTTGGGCGCGTGCTCTCAGGACCTCTTGAGGGCTGCATCATGGGCTGTGGTTACTCATATGTGGCACAGAATAATTCTCTTCAAATACTTGACAAGAGTTTGACTCTTTTCGTCGACACTGCTAATTTGACTCTAAACTTTTAGAATTGTATAAATCATCTCCCAAAATATTTACATTCATTAGATTTTCACTTTAATCTTCTGAAACAGTCTTTGCCTTCTGGCCTCCACTTTGTCTTGGTTACCTTCTATGAGTACTCCAGTGTATTTACTTATTTATTTAGAGATAGAGTCTTGCTCTTGTCGCCCAGGCTGGAGTGCAGTAGCGTGATCTTGGCTCACTGCAACCTCCACCTCCCGGGTTTGAGCGATTCTCTTGCCTCAGCCTCCCAAGTAGCTTGGATACAGGTGCCCACCACCACACCCAGCTAATTTTTGTATTTTTAGTAGAGACGGGGTTTCACCATGTTGGCCAGGCTGATATTGAACTCCTGACCTCAGGTGATCCGCCCTCCTCAGCCTCCCAAACTGCTGGGATTACAGGCGTGAGCCACCACGCCTGGTCAGGAACATTCTTATGAGACCTTGAATGCCTAAAAGTAACCATGCCCCTCAGGCGTAATTGATTGTCTGTTTGAATTCTAGGTTGGAAATAATTTTCCATCAGAATTTTAAAGTGTTACTTCATTACTTTCTAGATTCCCATGTTGCTATTAATAAATATTTTGTTACTGATTTCTGCTCAATGTATAAGATCTGTTTGTCTCCGGAAGCTGGTAGAATATTCTCTTTGTTCCCATTTTCTTTTTTCTTTTTTTTCGAGACAGACTCTGTCTCTCTTGTCCAGGCTAGAGTGCAGTGGTGGCATCTAGGCTCCCTGCAACCTCCACTTCCCGGGTTTAAGCAACTCTCCCACCTCAGCCTCCGGAGTGGCTGGGACTACAGGTTCATGCCACCACGCCTGGCTAATTTTTGTATTTTTATAGTAGAGACGGGATTTCACCATGTTGGCCAGCCTGGTCTCGAACTCCTGACCTCATGATCTGCCTGCCTCGGCCTCCCAAAGTGCTGGGATTACAGGCGTGAGCCTCTACGCCTGGCCTGTTCCCATTTTCTAATATGTCACCATGATATATCTTGGTATGAGTGTTTTCAGCCATTTTGCTGAGCCTTCTGAGAACTTTTTTTTCCTATAATTTTTTTTCCTTTTCCTTTTCCTTTCTTTCCTCTCTCACTCTTTCTTTTCCTTTCCTTCCTTTCTTTTTTTTCTTTCTCTCCCTCTCCGCCCTTCTTTTTCTCTCTCTCTATTTATTTATTTTTGAGATGGAGTATAGCTCTGTCACCCAGGCTGGAGTGCAGTGGCGCAATCTCGGCTCACTGCAACTTCCGCCTTCCGGGTTCAAGCGATTCCCCTGCCTCAGCCTCTCGAGTAGCTGGGATACAGGCGCGTGCCACCACACCTGGCTAATTTTGTTTTTGTATTTTAATAGAGACGGGGCTTCACCTTGTTGGTCAAGATGGTCTCGATCTCCTGACCTTGTGATCCACTTGCTTCGGCCTCCCAAAGTGCTGGGATTACAGGTGTGAGCCACTGAGCCCAGCCAACTTTGAATATTTTTATAGCATTATGTTCTTCTTTTGTAAATGCAGTATCAGCATTTAACATACAATTTTTAACTTACATACAATAAAATTTACTGTTTTCAATGTACTGTTCTCTGATTTTTGTTAAATGCCTAGCGTTGTGTAACCTCCACCAAAATGAACAGTTTCAAGCCGTCAACCCTCTTAAAAAAAAAAAAAAACAAATTTCCCCTGCTACTCTTTGTAGTCAAACAACTCTCCCTCACCCCCGGCCCCAGCCATTAGCAACCTCTGGTCTGTTTTCCATCTTTATAGTTTTGCCTTTTTCAGAATATAATCTAAATGGAACCATAACAGTAGGCAGCTTTTTGTATCTGGCTTCTTCCGCTTAGCATAATGCATTTGAGATTCACCTGTGTTGTTGCACATGTCAGTAATTAGCTCCTTCTGTTGTTGGGTGGTAGTCCATTATATGGATATACCACAGTTTATTCTGCATTTGAAAGACACTGGGTTGTTTCCAATTTTTTATGATTACAAATAAAGCTGTTTATAAATATTTACACACAGCTTTTTCTGTGAACATGGGTTTTCATTTCACTTGAGTCAATATCTAGGAGTGGGATTACTGGGTTTTGTAGTATGTGTATGTTTAACTTTACAAGAAGCTGCTAAATTTTTTTGTGGCTTGATTGCTGTTGGTAACAAGTTTGAGAGTTCAAGTTGCTCTTCATCCTCAACAACACTTGGGGTGGTCAGATTTTTTTGTTTTTGTTTTTGTTTTAAATATTAGCTAATTTGGGGCCGAGCGCGGTGGCTCATGCCTGTATTCCCACCACTTTGGGAGGCCAAGGCAGGCAGATCACAAGGTCAGGAGTCCAAGACCAGCCTGGCCAATATGTTGAAACCCTGTCTCTACTAAAAAATACAAAGAATTAGCCGGGCATGGTGGTGCATGCCTGTAGTCCCAGCTACTTGGGAGGATGAGGAAGGAGAATCGCTTGAACCCAGGAGGTGGAGGTTGCAGTGAGCCGGAATTGTGCCACTGCACTCCAGCCTGGGCAAGAGAGCGAGACACTGTCTCGAAAAAAAAAGAAAAAAAATTAGCTAATTTCTCCTTTAGTTTGCATTTCCCTAAGGATGTTGATGCTCTTTTCATGTTCCTGTTTGCCATCATTTTATCTTCTTTGGTGTGTCTTTTGAATTCTTTGTCCATTTAAAACATTGGGTTGTTTTCAGTTTTGGAATTATATATTCTGGATATAGTCCTTTGTCAGATATTTGTTTTGTTTTTTTTTTTTTGAGACAGTCTCGCTGTCCCCCAGGCTGGAGTACAGTGGCATAATCTTGGCTCACCACAACCTCCACCTCCCGGGTTCAAGCGATTCTCCTGCCTCAGCCTCCCAAGTAGGTGGGATTACAAGCACTCGCCACCACACCCAGCTAATTTTTGTATTTTCAGTAGAGATGGGGTTTCACCATGTTTGCCAGGCTGGTCTCCAACTCCCAACCTCAAGTGATCCACCCACCTTGGCCTCCCAAAGTGCTGGGAGTACAGGCCTGAGTCACCACCCCCGGCTCCTTTGTCACATACTTGTTTTGCAGTGTTTTGTCTCTGTGCTTGTCTTTTCATTCTCTTAATAGTGTTTGCACAGCAATTTTTTTTGGTGTTTTTTTGAAACAGAGTCTTGCTCTGTTGCCCAGGCTGGAATGCAGTGGCACGATTTCACCTCACTGCAACCTTTACTTCCTGGGCTCAAACAATTTTCCTGCCTCAGCCTCTGTAGTAACTGGGACTACAGGCATGAGACACCATGCCTGGCCTGCAGAGTAAAATTTTTAAACTTGGATAAAATCCAGTTTGTCAAATTTTTCTATTATGGGTTGTGCTTTTGGAATCATATCTAAGAACTCTTTTTTGCCTAACTCGGGATTACAAAGATAGTGTATTTTCCTATGTAAAAGTTACATAGTTTTACTTTGTTGTTGTTTTTGTTTTTTTGAGATAGAGTTTCGCTCTTGTTGCCCAGGCTGGAGTGCAATGTCATGATCTTGGCTCACTGCAACCTCCGCCTCCTGAGTTCAAGGGATTCTCCTGCCTCAGCCTCCTGAGTAGCTGGGATTGCAGGCATGTGCCACCACGCCTGGCTAATTTTGTATTTTTAGTAGAGACAGGGTTTCTCCATGTTGGTCAGGCTGGTCTTGAACTCCCAACCTCAGGTGATCCGCCCACCTCGGCCTCCCAAAGTGTTGGGATTATAGGCATAAGCCACAGTGCCTGGCCTTTACTTTTTTTTTTTTTTTTTTTTTTTTTTTTGAGACAGAGTGTTGCTCTGTTGCCCAGGCTTGAGTGCAGTGGCATGATCTCAGCTCGCTGCAACCTCCGCCTCCCAGGTTCAAGCGATTCTCCTGCCTCAGCTTCCCGAGTAGTTGGGATTATAGGCGCCTGCCACCACGCCTGGCTAATTTTTGTATTTTTAGTGGAGATGGGGTTTCACCATGTTGGCCAGGCTGGTCTTGAACTCCTGACCTCTCAGGTAATCCGCCCACCCCGGCCTCCCAAAGTGCTGGGATTACAGGAGTGAGCCACCGTGCCCGGCCAGCATTTACTTTTTTAAAAAATCAGTTATCATTATTTATTTTCAGTTAATTTTTGCATAAGATATGAGTTATGGATTCTTTTTTTTTTTTTCTTTTGCATCTGGATGTCCAGTATTTTCATTATTTGTTGAAAAGATTATTCTTTCTCCATCGAATTCCCTTTGTATTTCTGTAAAGTGAACTGGCCATACTTGTATAGGTTTATTTCTGGGCCTCTGTTTCCACAGTTTCATTTACTGTTTTTGATTTAAGTGTTGAAATCAGGTAGAGAGAGTACTCCAACTTTATTCTTTTTCAAAATAGTTTTGGCTGCTCTTGTTCCTTTGCCTTTCCATATAGTTTTTTTTTTTTTTTTTTTTTTGAGGGGGATGGAGTGTCACTCTGTTGCCCAGGCTGGAGTGCAGTGGCGCGATCTCTGCTCACTGCAACCTCTACCTCCCAGGTTCAAGTGATTCTCCTTCCTCAGCCTCCTGTGTAGCTGGTACTACAGACGTGTGCCACCAGGCCTGGCCACCATATGCATTGTAAAATCACTTTGTTCATCTCTCGAAAAAGTATCCTACTTTGATTTTGTTTGGAATTGCATTGAATCTGTAGACCGTTTTGGGAAGAATTGACAATTTAACGATCTTATATTTTAGTCTATGAATACAGTCTGTATCTTTTTTTTTTAGGTGTAAAAAGTTTTTATTTCTAATTGTTTGTAACTAGTATATGGAAATACAATACAGGTTCTGCATACTAACCTTGTATTCTACAACCTTGCTAAACTCATTTACCAGTTCTGGAGGTTTTTGTAGATTCTGTGGGATTTTCCACACAGACAGTGATGTCAAATGTGAATAGAAACAGTTTTATTTCTTCCTTTCCAATATGTTTACCTTTTATATTTATTTT
The DNA here is from genome assembly GCF_000001405.40 of Homo sapiens. NCBI lineage: Eukaryota > Metazoa > Chordata > Mammalia > Primates > Hominidae > Homo > Homo sapiens. Next base: position 75,424,854 of record NC_000016.10, on the reverse strand, counting down.
GCTTGCCTTGTTGTACTTTATACTTCCAGTATGATGTTGAATGCTAGTGGTGAGAGGGGACATCTTTGCCTTTTTCCCAATCTTTTTTTTTTTTTTTTTGAGACGGAGTCTCCCTCTGTTGCCCAGGCTGGAGTGTGCAGTGGCACGATCTTGGGTCACTGTGACCTCTGCCTCCTGGGTTCACGCCATTCTTCTGCCTCAGCCTCCCGAGTAGTTGGGACTACAGGCGCCCGCCACCACGCCCGCTAAGTTTTTGTATTTTTAGTAGAGACTGGGTTTCACCGTGTTAGCCAGAATGGTCTTGATCTCCTGACCTCGTGATCCGCCCGCCTCAGCCTCCCAAAGTGCTGGGATTATAGGCGTGAGCCACCGCGTCTGGCAGCCTTTTTCCCAATCTTAAGGGGGAAAAGAAACTAGTGTTTTACCACTTGATGTGGTGTTAGCTATAGGTTTTTCACAGATGCCGTGTGTGTCTGTCTGCCTGCCGTTTAAACCCTTTAGCATTGAGTAACTTATTACCAACTCAGTCACCTAACACTGTACGTGCTAATTGTGTTCTGCATTTTACTGATGAAAAAACTGAGGCACAAAGTCTAAGCAAATGGCTGAAATTCATCCAGTTAGATAGTAACTTAGCTGGAATGTTAACCTTGGCAGTCTGCATATATTGTCCCTCAGAGATTCCTTTTATCATGTTAGATAAGTTCCCCTCTGTTCCTAATTTTCAGAGAGGTGAATTTTGTCAAATGCTTTTTCTCCATCTATTGATTTAATTACATGTGGTTTTTCTTTTTTTTTGTCTGTTAATATGGTGGATTACAGTGTTTGATTTTCAAATTTCTGACAGACTTATTTCTGGGAGACAGCTCACTTGGTCAGGATATATTTATACATTGCTGAATTTGGTTTGCTAATATAGTCAGCCTTCTGTATCTGTGGTTTCCACAGCCATGGATTCAACCAACTGCAGATAGAAAATATTTGGAAAAAGGCTGGGTGCAGTTGCTCACGCCTGTAATCCCAGCACTTTGGGAGGCCAAGGAGTGCAGATCACTTGAAGCCAGGAGTTAAAGACCAACCTGGGAGGCCGAGGTGGGCGGATCTCAAGGTCAGGAGATCGAGACCATCCTGGCTAACGTGGTGAAACCCCGTCTCAACTAAAAATACAAAAAATTAGCCGGGCGAGGTGGCGGGTGCCTGTAGTCCCAGCTGCTCGGGAGGCTGAAGCAGGAGAATGGCGTGAACCCAAGAGGCGGAGGTTGCAGTGAGCGGAGATCGCACCACTGCTCTCCAGCCTGGGCGACAGAGTGAGACTCCGTCTCAAAAAACAAAAAAAAACCAACCTCGCCAACGTGGTGAAACCCAGTCTCTACTAAAAATACAAAAATTAGTCCCAGCTACTGGGCTGAGGCACGAGAATCGCTTGATTACCCAGACTGGAGTGCAGTGGCGCAATCAGCTCACTGCAGCCTAAAACTCCTGGGCTCAAGTGATCCTCCCACCTCAGCCTCCCAGGTACCTGGGACTACAGATGCACACCATCATGCCCATCTAATTTTTTTTTTTTTTTTTTTGAGACGGAGTCTTGCTCTGTCACCCAGGCTGGCGTGCAGTGGCACCATCTCGGTTCACTGCCAGCCCTGCCTCCCGGGTTCACGCCATTCTCCTGCCTCAGCCTCCCGAGTAGCTGGGACTACAGGCACCCACCACAAGGCCCGGCTAATTTTTTTGTATTTTTAGTAGAGATGGGGTTTCACCGTGTTAGCCAGGATGGTCTCGATCTCCTGACCTTGTGATCCGCCCACCTCGGCCTCCCAAAGTGCTGGGATTACAGGCGTGAGCCACTGCGCCCGGCCTAATTTTTTATTTTTTGTAGAGATGAGGTCTCTCACCATGTTGCCCAAGCTGGTCTCAAACACCTGGCTTTGAGCAATCTTCCTGCCTTAGCCTCCCAAAGTGCTGGCATTACAGGTGTGAGAAAACCTGGATTTGTTTGTTTGTTTTTAAAAGAAACAGGGTTTTGCTCCGTCACCCAGGCTGGAGTGCAGTGGCAAGATCACAGCTCAGTGACACGTTGAACTCCTGGCCTCAAGCGATCCTTCTGCCTTAACCTCTAAAAACGTGTTTTTTTTTTGATCACAGTTTTAAGACTCTCTAAGAGGCTGGATGTGGTGGCTCTGACCTGTAATCCCAGCACTTTGGGAGGCTGAAGTGGGTGGATCACTTGAGGCCAGGAGTTCAAGACTAGTCTGACGAACATGGTGAAACCCCGTCTCTACCAAAAATGCAAAAATCAGCTGGGAGTGGTGGTGCATACCTGTAGTCTCAGGTATTCGTGAGGCTGAGGCAGGAGAATCACTTGAACCCGGGAGGATCGTAGTGAGCCAAGATCATGCCACTGCACTCTAGCTTGGGCAACAGAGCGAGACTCTGTCTCAAAAAAAAAAAAAAAAAAAAAGAGGCCATACGCAGTGGCTCACGCCTGTAATCCCAGCACTTTGGGAGGTCGAGGCAGGTGGATCACGAGGTCAAGAGATCGAGACCATCCTGGCAACACGGTGAAACCCTGTCTCTACTAAAAATACAAAAAATTAGCCGGGTGTGGTGGCAAGCGCCTGTAATCCCAGCTACTTGGGAGGCTGAGGCAGGAGAATAGCTTGAACACGGGAGGCAGAGGTTGCGGTGAGCCGAGATCGCACCATTGCACTCCAGCCTGGGCAAAAAGAGCGAAACTCCGTCTCAAAAAAAAGAGAGAGAGAGAGAAAGTATTTGGGAAAACAAATGGGTGGTTATGTCTGTACTGAATGTGTACAAACTTTTTTCCTTGTCATTATTTCCTAAACAATACAGTATAACAACTATTCATATAGCACTTATATTGGGTGTTGTAAGTAATCTAGAGATGACTTAAAGTATGCAAGAGGATGTACATAGTTTATATGTAAATATGACATCATTTTATATCAGGGACTTGAACATCTGTGGGTTTTGGTGTGGGGTGGGGGAGATCTTGGAACCACTTCCCCAGAAATATGGAGGGACAGCCGTATTTTGTCGAGGATTTTTGCATCTGTGTTTATGAGGGATATCGATCTGTAGTTTTTTGGTAATTTCCTTGTGTGATTTTAGTATCAGATAATGCAGGCCTCATAAAATGAGGAAATACAGGCTTTGTTTCTTCCAGGGTGATTTTTTATTCACCTTGTATGCTTGTTTAGGGTTTTATTATGTAAGAGGCTTTCTCGGATTTATACTGATTCTTAGTTGGTTTGGCTCATATTTATGCTTGGGGCACTAGAAAGGTTATTGGAAGCTCTGAGTCTTTGGACAAGATTTGTTCCTTTTGTGCCTACATTGTCTACAGGGATGTTATTCTGATTCTTACTATCTTTTTTTCCCTCATAGTAACTGCATGGAATTTGATATTGAGGTTTTGGGGGGTTTTGTATGTATAATTTAAAATTTTCTTATCTCTTACTGATGAAGGACTTTTCCATAGTTTAGCTAAAGATGGAGTCCTTGTCCCACAGCCATGATAATTTAGGCTCACAGACAATTTGAAGCTTGAGTAAATCAGGGTTTTATTGGGTGAAAAGGGAAAAAAGGGGGAACAGGGACTCTGCAAGGCCAGAGTTCCTGCTGCTGTGCTTCCTGCCTTGCAGCTTTGAATCCCAGGTTGCACACAGGAAGAAGAGGGGCCGGGCTCCTCCCCGCTGCAAACAGCAGGAACCTCTGTGGCTCCACCCCAGTGCGCATGCCTCCTAGTCTGCTGGCTGGCCGGAGATTCTCCAGGGACCCCCTCCCACATGGCTGTCTCATTATTAATGAGATTAAGCATCTTTTTACATGTTTAAGATCCAGAGTCATGTGCATCTACTTGTCTGAACTGTCTACAACATTTGCCTGTTTTTATGATGAAAACAGGCAAAAGTTTTCAAAAGTAGTGCAGAGCTTTATAGAAAATTAGAAAATGCAGACAGTTAAATTAAAAATCACTTAAAAATAAAAAAAATAGTTGAACTACCTAGAGACTATCATGTCAATCCTTTAGTGAAAACTCACTCTGATTTTTTTCTACACCTAGGTATAGATATTTGTATTTTTTCCTCAGCCTGCAATTGTATTTACTCACATCGCTTTTCAACCTACTCTTTTTAGTGGATGATTTCTACCCATTTATTTTAGTAAATGTTTTATCTTATATATAGATCATACTCAAATTTTCCAAAATGGTTATAGCTTGTGTGTCCAAATCACAGTTGAGTTCAATACTACACATATTATCCAGTTGTTCCATCCTTGAGTCTCTTTTAATCTAGCACACTCCCCTTTCTATAATGGCATAGATAGCTGAAAAGATCAAAGCCATACATCCTGCAGCATGTCTCACCTCTTGGATTTGTCTGGTTATTCCCTCATGGCGTTGTTTTAGTTCCTTTGTTCCTTCAGTTCTCTGTAAATCAGAAGTTAGATCTAAATGCTTGATGGGTTCCAATGAAATACTTTGGCCAGAATGCATTATCAATGGACATCTGATGTTTGAATAGCATCAGAAGACACAATATCTGGTTGATAACTATAGTGGTGACTATTAAATCAGGGTGATAACAGTCTGATCCCTCTCTTGTATACTTGTTTTTTCCTTTGGAACTTTTAGAACTGGAAAAGTATTCCCTGTGGCAGTATACTTAATGGTTAAAACTTAAATTGCTTTTTAATTTTTTTTTTTTTTTTTTTTTTTTTGAGATGAAGGTCTCACTGTGTTGTTCAGTCTGGACTCAAATTCCTGGGCTCAAGAGAGCTTCTGAGGTAGCTGAGACTACCTGTTACCTGAAAGGGGATCCAGACCCAGACCCCAAGAGAGGGTTCTTGGATCTCGAACAAGAAAGAATTCGAGGGAAATCCATACAGAAAAGTAAAAACAAGTTTATTAAGAAAGTAGAGGAATAAAGAATGTCTACTCCATAGACAGAGCAGACCCAAGGGCTGCTGGTTGCCCATTTTTATGGTTATTTCTTGATTATATGCTAAACAAGGGGTGGATTATTCATGCCTCCCCTTTTCAGACCATTTAGAGTAACTTCCTGATGTTGCCATGGCATTTGTAAGCTGTCATGGCGCTGGTTTTGGTGGGTTTTAGCCAGCTTCTTTACGGCAGACTGTTTTATCAGCAAGGTCTTTATGACCTGTATCTTCTGCCAACCTTCTAGCTTATCGTGTGACTTAGAATGCCTTAACCTCCTGGGAATGCATCCCAGCAGGTTTCAGCCTTGTTTTACCCAGTCGCTATTCAGGATGGAGTTGCTCTGGTTCAGATGCCTCTGGCACACCCAGCTTCTTAAATTGCTTTTTGGCATTACTTAATAACCCTTGCCTAAACTACTACTGTCATTAGAGTTTGAGAAGTGATGTCTTTCTAATTCTGTGGTTCTTCTGTATTTATTGGTTGACATTTTTCTGTAAAGTATAGCTTTCCTTTATCAATTGGAACAATATAAATATTTAATTCTTTTCCCTCAATTTTCAAAATAGGTAGTAATTTTAAATAGCAGTCTAAAATGGTACAAATTTTTTTTTCTGTCTTTTTAATATCATGAGGGGCTCACAGATTTTTATTCAGTGTGTTTTCATTTTCTAACAATTACCTGTTTTAATGTTCAGGTCTTCACTGCTTTGGCCAGTAGGAGCTCTTTCAGGCTGGATCTTGTATCCTTTTAATTTGATCTTTTTTTATTATTATTTATTTTTTATGAGTCGGCGTCCTGCTTACTGTAGCCTTCAATTCCTGGGCTCAAGTGATCCTCCTGCCTCAGCCTCCCCAGTAGATGGAACTACAGGTGCGTGCCACCATGCCTGACTAATTTTTTAAAAATCTTTTATAGAAACAGGCTCTTGCTCTGTTGCCCAGGCTGGTCTCGAACTCATGGGCTCAAGCATTCCCCCCCATACTCACCCACCTTGGCCTCCTAAGGTGGTAGGATTACAGGCATGAGCCACTGCACCTGGCCTTGATCTGTTATTTTTAAATAGCTTCCTGACTTCCTGGCACAGAAAAATGTCCTGGTTTTACCTTGTGCTTTCTTTGCCTCAGACCTGAAATGAGTTTTTTTTTTTTTTTTTTTAGGGAGCCTTTTTGTGGTAAATGGTCTCAACTTTGAACTTTAGAGATGCTTGATGTTACCAGAATGATGTAGTTTATATGCCGTTTGTGTAGTGGACAAAACTAGGAAATACTTAAAAAGGGTTAGCCGGGCGCGTTGGCTCACGCCTGTAATCCCAGCACTTTGGGAGGCCGAGGTCGGCGGATCACAAGGTCAGGAGTTCGAGACCATCTTGGCTAACATGGTGAAACCCCATCTCTACTAAAAATACAAAAAAAATTAGCCAGGCATAGGTGGTGCACGCCTGTAGTCCCACCTACACGGGAGGCTGAGGCAGGAGAATGGCGTAAAACCCGGGAGGCGGAGCTTGCAGTGAGCCGAGATCGTGCCACTGCACTCTAGCCTGGGCGACAGAGCGAGACTGCGTCTCAAAAAAAAAAAAAAAAAGGGTTAGAGTTCATATTGATATTCTTAATTCTTTTTTTTTTTTTTTTTTTTTTTGAGACAGAGTTTCACTCTTGTTGCCCAGGCTGGAGTGCAGTGGTGTATCTCAGCTCATCGCAACCTCCGCCCCCCAGGTTCAAGCAATTCTCCTGCCTCAGCTCCCTGAGTAGCTGGTATTACAGGCATGCATCACCACACCCAGCTAATTTTGTATTTTTAGTAGAGATGGGGTTTCACTGTGTTGGCCAGACTGGTCTCGAACTCCTGGCCTCAGGTGATACACCCACCTCAGCCTCCCAAAGTGCTGGGATTACAGACATGAGCCACCGCTCCCAGCCAATTTCTTTGATTTTATAATTGTGTCATTTCTCTTATTCTGAAGATCTAGATTCCTAACGTGATTAATTACTTGCTTTAACCTATGATATAAAGGAAATAGTTTCAAAATACCAGCATTGATGTTACTACACAGAGTAGAACTTTTTTTTTTTTGTCTTTGGAATGCATCTTGATGAAGATGTATAGTCAGAATACTGTTTTTAAAGTCCTGGGAATAGATCTTTTGTTTATGTGGTTATGTTATCATTTTGGTATACAGTTATGTTTATTTATTCAAACTTTTGAATTTAAGAGATTTTCAAAGTTCTGTAGAGAGATAAACACAGTGAACTCTTGCTTCTACTCTGTTTTATCCTGACCCTTATAAGGAGCTGTTTTCATTAGTTTCTTGTTTATCCTTCTAGTGTCGCTTTTTCCATATACAAACAAATATAAGCATATTCTTAATTCTTCCTTTTTCCTCATCCAGAGCTGGCATATTTCATACACTGTTCTTTTGCTTTTCCTCTCCTTTTTTTTCTGTTTAACTTAAGAGTATATCTTGGAGGTAAATACATAGAAATTTTACACATTGCATTGTAATGACTGTGGTATTCCATTATTTAGATGGACCATAGCATTTTCAGCCAGTCACTTACTGTGAGACAACTTGAGTTGTTTCTAATTTTTTGTTATTACAAACAGTACTGAGTGAATAAACTATTATATATTCTGGGATAGAAGTGGGACTGCTGGATAAAAAGGTAAATACATTTGTGTTTCTTTGTATTTTGGGGTGGTATTTGTTTTTGTTTTTGTTTTTGAGACAGGGTCTCACTGTCACCCAGGCTGGAATGCAGTAGCGTGTTCATGGCTCACTTCAGCCTTGACCTCCTGGGTTCAAGTGATCCTCCCCTTAGCCTCCCAAGCAGCTGGGACCATAGGCATTCTCCACCATGCCTGGCTAATGTTTAAAAATTTTTTTTAGATATGGGGTCTCACTAGGTTCAGGAGGAAGTAAAATTACATTTCTATGTTCAGATTGCTGTCTTAAGCAGGAACTCACTGCTCTCTTCATGAAACACTGTCACTTAGCCCTTGGTGTTTGGGATGTCAAACAGAATTCCATTTTGGATATTGATTGTTTCCACCTCAGCCTCAAATGCTTATTCTCCAGATTTTCACACAGCTGGCTCCTTCTCATCGCCTTTAAAAAATTTTTTAATTTATGTATTTATTTTTTTGAGACAGGGTCTTGCTCTGTTACCCAGGCTGGAGTGCAGTGGTGTGATCTTGGCTCACTCTAGCTTTGACCTCCCAGGCTCAAGTGATCTTTCTGCCTCAGCTTAGACTAGAGGTGTGTACCACCAAGCCCAGCTAATTTTTGTATTTTTTTGTAGAGACAGGGTTTCACAGTTGCCCAGGCTGGTCTTCAACTCCTGGGCTCAGGCGAACCACCTGCCTCGGCCTCCCAAAGGGCTGAGATTATAGGCGTGAGCCACTGGTTTACCTTTTTTTTTTTTTTTTAAATCTCTTTTATCATTGTTTTAGTTTTTACGAGCTTTTTTGTTTGTTTCATTTTTCTGAATTATTTTAAAAGTCTTATTTTTATTCCATGGATGCCACAGTTTCTCTTACCTCTTTCAGGATATTAATTACAAATCCTTTTTCCTTAAGTTTTTAATCTGTCCCCCTCCCCATCCCCTCTTTCTGCACTAATTTTGTTTCCTCTGAATTCCTTTCTGTTTGTCTTGAATCTTGCCTTTCATATTGGAGGCTTTTCTCAAGTGTTTGGTGGTCCTTGGTACATTATAAGTGAAGTATTTAAAAGCTGATTGGAGGCCGTGTGCGGTGGCTCCTGTCTGTAATCGCAGCACTTTGGGAGGCCAAGGCGGCTGGATCACCTGAGGTCAGAATTCAAAACCAGCCTGGCCAACATGATAAAACCCCATCTCTACTAAAAGTATAAAAATCAGCTGGGTGTGGTGGCACACTTCTGTAATGTCAGCTACTCAGGAGGCCAAGGCAGGAGAATCGCTTGAACTTGGGAGGCAGAGGTTGTAGTGAGCCAAGATCGCGCCACTGCACTCCAGCCTGGGTGACAGAGCAAGACTCCGTCTCAATAAATAAATAAAGCTGATTGGATGCACAGGAGTATCACAACAGTACTGTTTGTAATGACTCCAAATTGGAAACAACCTAGTTGTGCATCAGCAGTAGAATGAATAAACGGATTATGGTATAGTCATACAATGACACACTATTTACTGTTCAGGAGTGAGAATGAATAAACTACAGCTACACTGCAACAATGTGGGTGACTCTCACAAACATAATGTTGAATAAAAGAAGCCAGACACAGAAGAGTACACACTGCAGGCTTCTGTTGAAAGTTGAAAAGCAGGCAAAACTAACCCGTGACTTTAGAAGTCAGGATATTGGTTCCCTTTAGGGGTAGGGCAGTTGTTAGTGACTGGAAGGGAGCACAGGGGGCCTTCTGGGATGCTGCTAATGTTCAGTTCCTCGAGCTGGGGCCCTGGTTATGCAAGTGTGTTCACTGTGTGTCATTCCATTGAACTGTATATTAGATTTGTGTGCTTTTTGGTATGTACACTTCAATTGAAAGTTTATATGAAGTAAAAGAGGAAAAAGGTAGTGGAATCTCTGTGTGGGCAGGGTTGGTTTATTGACTGGTACCCACAGCATGTGGTCAGACATCCAAGCAACACTCTTTTGTTGGGGACCCTTGAATGTCAGTGTCTGACAATGGGACATGGGTGTGTTTGTTCTTTCTGCTATGTTTAACTGGAAGTCTTTAGGTTTCCTTTTAAACTTCTTTTATTGAGAAGACAAAGTGTTTTTTAAATTAGATTTGAAAGATACCCAAGATGAGGTAGTGCATCAGTTTCTTCTTTGAGAAACACATTAGTAGAATTGAAATTTCTGTTCATTCACTCATTCATTTAGTGAATACTTAAAAGTCACAATGAACAGGGTTTATGTCCTCTTGGAGTATACAGCACAGCAGAAATTACCAACATTAAATATAAGTGGGATGAGTTTTGGAGGGGAAATAGAGACTGCCATGGAAGCCTACGATAGAAGAACGTAGGGTAGTCTTCAGGGGCAGAGAAGACTTCCCCAAGGAAATGATGTTTTCGTTAGGTGAAGAGTAGGGGAAAATTCACTTTTTCTTAATGAAAATGTCTCGGTGTGAAAGCTTGTATTAATGAAAATGTCTCATCTTGATGTGAAAACCTTTATTCCTGTCTGATCACCCTGTTATGTGATTTCAGGTGGAGAGTATAGTGAAGATGATGTAAATGAATTAGTGAAGGAAGATGAAGTGGATGGTGAAGAGCAGACACAGAAAACCCAAGGGAAAAAAAGAAAGGCCCAGAGCATTCCAGCCAGGTGATGCTGCCTTCAAGGCCCTTAGAAGTTAGGGGCTATTGTCACAACCATCCTGATTGCTAAGATTGGTCTCATGATAGATTTAATGAAGCCAGAGTTTCTAACCCTTTTCTCTTTGAGGGAAACATTTGCTGTTATTTTAGGATTAACTTCTTGGTCTCTGGAAAGCTTTAAACATTTTGAGCTTTAATGTAAAGAAAATGTTAATAGGTAATATGTACATATGGTTAGAACAGAAAATTCAGTCCCTGAAAAGATGTTTACCCTGTTCCTAGACCTTGTTGCTTTGCCTCTGAAGAACTATGCTACCAGAGATAGTCTGTGCATGCAAATGCATATATGTCTATATTTTCTTCATTTTTTTTTTAGAAAAAAAATATAAATAGTAGCATACTCACTTTCTCATTTTCATTTCTCTTTATTTCACATCTTGGAGATAGTACCATGGCAGTATCTCCTCCTTTTCATAGTATTACGTTATGTGAATAGGCCTTACTTTATTTAGGCTTTCCTGTATCGAGGGATGTTTAGATTGTATCTAGTCTTTACTACAACAAAGAAGAGTGCAGTGAATATTCTTTGTATACATGTATACAAAGTATACATAAATATATAAATGTATATAATGTATACATGTATAAATATATCTGTAAATGTAACATTTAGAAGTGGAATTGTTTGATCTAAGGTTATATATGCAATTAAATTTTAAAAATACAGATATTAGCCCATTGCCTGGCATAGGCCTGGTATGGGCTTCTTTTCCCATGAAAATTATGAAAATTCTGACAGGTTATTTAACTTAGATAAGGGCATCTTCCATAGAAGTCTTTTACCTCACTTGGGTGTTTCTGTCTTCCTGGGCATTGAAGCAAAAAGCAGATTATCATTTATGAAAAAGAAAAAAGAATGTAGATATTAGATTGATTCACCTAAAGTCAAAATAGTCTAAGAAGCAATATACTCTTATAAGTCTTGGGCCCAGTTTTTTTGTCCTTGAATTTTTTTTTTTTTTTTTTTTTTTTGAGACAGAGTCTCGCCCTGTTGCCTAGGCTGGAGTGCAGTGGCGTGATCTCTGCTCAATGCAACCTCCGCCTCCTGGGTTCAGTTCCCTGCCTCAGCCTCCGAGTGGCTGGATTATAGGCACCCACCAACATGCCCGGCTAATTTTCTCATCTTGTTGTGATGAAAGTTTATATGAAGTAAAAGAGAAAAAAGGTAGTGGAATCTCTGTGTGGGCCTTGGCCTCCCAGAGTGCTGGGATTACAGGTGTGAGCCACTGCGCCTGGCCTGTCCTTGAATTTTTCTATGTTCCAGCTCTCAGTTCTTCCGAAAGTGGGAAGAAACATGGATTTTTTTCTTTTTCCTTGAGAACTCTTGGAAGAAATAGTGCAAATAAAGTTGAGGCTCTTCTAAATAGAACTTGTTCTACAAATGGAGTAGCTTTAAAAAGTCAACAATGTCTGGCACATATAATATGTTCTTAGAATATTCTTTCTGGATAGATTAATTCTGTGATTAGGTGATTTGGATGTTTTCTTTGTGAAAACAGCTGGTCCTGATTTAGAAGGAGAACGCTATACTTTGATTTTAAGTGATTGGAGAAAAGTTAGCACTAAGAGCTCAGTTTTTTTTTTTTTCAATTCTTTTTTTTTCTTCTATAAAATTTCAGCTTAACTCTTCTACTCACTTCAGTATATTAACCAGTAGTCCCAGAATTTAAAGTGTTCTTGGGTTTATAAGATTACCTTTGGGATTGGGAGAGGGATAACTGAAATCGTTTTGTGCTGTCTTTCCTTTTTCCTGTGACTGCTGGTGATTAGGAAGAGAAGACAAGGTGGCCTCTCATTAGAAGAAGAGGAAGAGGAGGATGCCAATTCAGAATCTGAGGGAAGCAGTAGTGAGGAGGAAGATGACGCTGCAGAGCAGGAAAAAGGCATTGGATCAGAGGATGCCAGGAAAAAGAAGGAGGACGAACTCTGGGCCAGCTTCCTCAATGATGTGGGACCAAAATCAAAAGTGCCCCCAAGTACACAAGTTAAGGTAAGTTGAGACATTAGTGAGGTGAATGCCTCTCCAGAAATACCCTACATTACTGAGATTTGAAGCCTACGGAAATCGACCAGATGCCTTTTGATAACAATTGTACTAAGTGAAAAGCAAAGCATTTCCTGTGGTAGGAGAATAAGCTTCTCTAATCATGTAAGTTTCCAATAGGCCTTTAACTGGTTAGAGATGAAACATTTAAGAGTAGCTATAGGCTGACTGCAGTGCCACACACCAACAATCCCTGCACTTTGGGAGGCTGAGGCAGGTGGATCATTTGAGGTCAGGAGTTCGAGACCAGCCTGGCCAACATGGCGAAATCCTGTCTCTACTAAAAATACAAAAATTAGCTGGGTGTGGTGGCGGTTGCCTGTAATCCCAGCTACTTTGGACGCTGAAGCAAGGAGAATCGCTTTAACCTGGGAGGTGGGGAGGTTGCAGTGAGCCAAGATTGTGTTACTGCACTCCAGCTTGGGCTACAGAGTGAGACGCTATCTCAAAGAAAAAAAAATAAAAAGTATCTGTAAACAATATGGTTCATCTTTTGGTGAAACATTACATTTCTTGTTTTTTTTATAGAAAGGAGAGGAGACTGAAGAGACAAGTTCAAGTAAATTGTTGGTAAAAGCAGAAGAGCTAGAGAAACCTAAAGAAACAGAAAAAGTTAAAATCACCAAGGTGTTTGATTTTGCTGGTGAAGAAGTAAGGTAAGAGAACCTTCAAAAACTTTGAAACTAGCATTTTCAAAAATGAGCGTCTCTCTCTAACTGGTGTTAGCCATCTATCCTCTTTTCAATCCATCATAATATTTTGGGAGAGTTATACTTGAACTCAAGGAAAACTGGCTCTATAAATTACCAGGGAGTATGAGAAAGGTCCTTTCACATATAGCAGTGTAGTTTTTGAGCTTTACGAAGTGCTCAGCTGAACAGAAGCAAGGGAATATGAGTTAAGTATTTTGTTCCACTTGATCATTGCCATGTTTTGTGACTTTTGGTAAGTCATGTCTCCCTTTATTACTCTCCTTGACTGCAATATGAGCCCCATTGAAGTCTCAGAAATCAGATAATAATTGAAAATACAAGGAGAGAAATTTGGTTTCAATATTATTTTCTTTTTCTGAGACGGAGTCTTGCTCTGTAGCCCAGGATGGAATGCAGTGGCGTGATCTCGGCTCCCTGCAACCTCTGCCTCCCGGGTCCCAGTTCAAGCAATTCTCCTACTTCAGCCTCCCGAGTAGCTGGGATTACAGGCACACGCCACCATACCCAGCTAATTCTTTTGTAGTTTTTTTGTTTTGTTTTTGTTTTTTTTTAGATGGAGTCTCGCTCCCGTTGTGCAGGCTGGAGTACAGGGTGCGATCTCGGCTCATTGCGACCTCCACCTCCCAGGTTCAAGTGATTCTCCTTCCTCAGCCTCCCAAGTAGATGGGATTGCAAGCCTGTGCAACCATGCCCTGTTATTTTTGTGTTTTTAGTAGAGATGGGGTTTCGCCATGTTGGCCAGGCTGGTCTTGAACTCCTGACCTCAGGTGATCCACCCGCCTTGGCCTCCCAAAGTGCTAGGATTACAGGCATGAGCTGCCACTCCTGGCCTTTTTTTTTCTTTTTTTTTTTTTTTTTTGAGACAGAGTCTTGCTCTGTCGCCCAGGCTGGAGTGCAGTGGCACAGTCTCGGCTCACTGCAAGCTCCACCTCCTGGGTTCACGCCATTCTCCTGTCTCAGCCTCCCGAGTAGCTGGGACTACAGGTGCTCACCACCATGCCCGGCTAATTTTTTAATATTTTTAGTAGAGACGGGGTTTCACCATGTTAGCCGGGATGGTCTCGATCTCCTGACCTCGTGATCCGCCCGCCTCGGCCTCCCAAAGTGCTGGGATTACAGGTGTGATCCACCGTGCCTGGACTTTTTTTTTGTAGTTTTAGTAGAGACAGGGTTTCACCATGTTGGCCAGACTGGTCTTGAACTCCTGACCTCGTGATCCGCCTGCCTTGGCCTCACAAAGTGCTGAGATTACAGGCATGAGCCACTGTCCCCGGCCTCAATATTATTTTCTTAGCTTAATAATATTTTTCTGATTGATTAATAAGGTTTATTTACCATAGGTTAAGTAAGGGCTTAATGCCTTGAGCAAGTTAGTCTCCTGGCTGTTAGGTAAGAGCCACATCCCTGTAATTTCCCTTCCCCCATTTATTTCAATTTTATTATGTGAAAATAGCAGATTTGTGATTTAGAGCTGCATGAGAACAGAGGAAGTGCCAATCAATAATTTTATAGGCAGTTACATTGATTTTCATTGGCAGTAATTAATTAGACCTGTAGGCTCTCTGAAAATACAATTTTCCCTAAAATTGTTATTCTTAAAAATAATGTTTTCAACAATTATTTATCTAGTGAAGCTATATTTAGGGAAAAGAATTGACACTATCAGTTTTTTTGTTTTGGGTTTTTTTTTTTTTTTTTTTTTTTTTTTTTTTGAGAAAGGGTCTTGCTGTGTTGCCTAGGCTGGTCTTGAACACCTGGGCTCAAGTGATCCTCCAGCCTTGGCCTCCTAAGTAACTGGGACTTCAGGGATGTACTACTCTGCCTGGCCATTATCACTTTTACAAATGGTATGGAACAAAACTTTTTATTATTAAAATTTTCTCTCTAACTTCTTCTTCTGAAAAATGTCACACTTATAGAAATGTTGCAAGAATAGTATTACAACAAACACCTACATACCTATGATCCAGATTCACCACTGGTTAATGTATTGCCTCTCTCTCACCATCTATATCTGGGTTTTTCTTTTGTTTTGGCTGAACCATTTGAGAATTACTTGTAGACATTGTGACACATCAGCCTTTAATACTTTAGCACGTGTCTCCTACGACCAAGGGCATTCTCCATTGTAGCACGATATAACTCTCATATTCAGTAAAGTTAATGTTAGAGCAGATTACTATCTATAGTGAAGGACCCCAACTTAAAATTTTCAATCTATAGCAGACCAGTACTTTTCTAAAAACACAATAAAAAGGAATTACTAGAAAAACAAATATAAAAGATAACTAAATTTTTACTAAGATTCGACAGATACCCTACTGCCTCTCTTTGTGGCGGCGGGGCTCAGGCTGCAGCACCACAGCACTGTGTGTGTGTATAACTGGGGCCACCTGCCCCTTCCAAGTGTGGGCCTTTTAACCTCTATCGACAGGTGTGGGGGAAAAAAAGATTTAATAGACATAACATTACATTTCAATGCATGTGGTCAAAATGAACCGCAGACAGGAAAAAGAAAAGAATTTTGTAATTATACAGGCTGTTCATTGGAAGTGTTAATATACAGGGAATCACTGTTACCTTTTATTCTGTTATTAAAACAAAAAACTGGCCTGGCACGGTGGCTCATGCCTGTAATCCCAGCACTCTGGGAGGCGAAGGTGGGTGGATTGCTTGAGGTTAGGAGTTCGAGACCAGCCTGAACAACATGATGAAACCCCGTCTCTACTAAAAATAAAAAAAATTAGCCAGGTGTGGTGGTGCACGTCTGTAATCCTAGCTACTTGGGAGGCTGAAGCAGGAGAATCACTTGAATCCAGTAGGCAGAGGTTGCAGTGAGCCGAGATCGTACCACTGCACTCCAGCCTGGGCAACAGAGCGAGACTCTGTCTCAAAACAAAAAAACAAAAAGCTGAGTAAAATATCAATTCTCAGTATTAAATGTCAGACACACACTTTGAATCAACACTATTTTTTTTTATTATTATTATTTTGAGACAGGGTCTTGATCTGTTGCCGAGGCTAGAGTACAGTGGCATGATCTCGGCTCTCTGCAACCTCCGCCTTCTGGTTCAAGTGATTCTCCTGCCTCAGGCTCCCGAGTGGCTGGGATTACAGGTGCCTGCCAGCGTGCCAGCTAATTTTTGTATTTTTAGTAGATATGGGATTTCACCATTTTGGCCAGGCTGGTCTTGAAATCTTGACCTTATGATCCACCCTCCTCAGCCTCCCAAAGTGCTGCAATTACAGTGTGAGCCACTGCACCTGGCCCACTGTTTATATTAATATTTGAAGTTTTTATTGTGGTGAAAGAGCTTGTTTCTTTCTTCTTAATCTAAGTTGTATTGATGACTGTACTCCTCCTGGGGGATCATTTGTAGGTAAATTATTTCTTTGTTGGTTTTCTCCTTCCTGCCTTCTGACCACCCTTCCATCCTTCACACAGATTTTTTTTTTAACATGGGATCTGCCAGGGTGTAACACAGAGATATTTTCATGGGATCAGAAGTATACATTTTAAAAAAGTTTCATTTAGTTCAGGGTTTTCATTTTTTGCCTTTATCTGCAATGAATCTGGATAAAAGATGTACTGTGCGTGCGTTCTTTCTCTCTCCTCCTTCCCTCCCTCCCTCCCTCTCTCCCTTCCTTCCTTCCTTCCTTTTTTGAGACAGAGTCTCTCTTTGTCACCCAGGCTGTGGTGCAGTGACACAATCTCAGCTCACTACAGCCTCAACCTCCAGGACTCAAGTCATTCTCCCACCTCAGCCTGCCGAGTGCGTGGGACTATAGGCATACACCACGCTTGGCTAATTTTTGTATTTTTTGTAGAGATGGGTTTCACCATTTTGCCTAGGCTGGTCTCGAACTTCTGGGCTGAGGTGATCCTCCTGCCTTCACCTCCCAAAGTGCTTGGATTGCAGGTGTGAGCCACCGCACCCTGCCTGTGATACTGTGTTTTCAAAGTTTGTATTAAATGCTTCATTATAGCCATTTTCAATGATTTATCCCGTCAAGTTATAATTACAGTTATTTTTTAGTGAAAGGAAAAAGGAATTCTGGAAGCCCAAATTTCCTATACATGAATTCTTTTTTTTCTTTTTTTTTTTTTTTTTTGAGACAGGGTCTTGCTCTGTCATTCACGCTAGCCTCAACCAACCTACGAGGCTCAGTTGATTTCCCCCGACCTCAGCCTCCTGAGTAACTGGAGCTACAGGCATATGCCACCTTGCCCATCTAACTTTTAAAATTTTTTTGTAGCAATGTCATCTCACTGTGTTGCCCAGGCTGCTCTTGAACCTCCTGGACTCAAGTGATCCTGCTGCCTTGGCCCACCAAAGTGCTGGGATTACAAGTATGAGCCACCACACCCAGCCATGTGTGAATATTTTTTTAATAGAAAATACAATTCAAAACATTCTATGAAATGTGTTAATTTGTAGAAACACTATTTTTCTAGGTTTCTAACTTGCATTTTTACCCTTATAATTTATTTGCTACTGAAAAACATGTTAAATTGCTTTCTTGCCTGGAAGTACTAGGATTATTTTTTGTTTTTGAGAGACAGGAGCTAACTCACTCTGTCACTCGGGTTGGAGTGTGGTTGTGCAATCATTGATTACTGTAACCTTGAACTCATGGGCTCAAGTGATCCTCCCACGTCAGCCTCCCACCACAGCCTCCCAAGTGAACATCACCACACCTAGCTAATTATTTTATTTCATTTATTTGTTTGCTTGTTTATTTGTTTATTTGAGATGGAGTCTCTGTCACCCAAGCTGGAGTACAGTGGCGTGATCTCAGCTCACTGCAACCTCCGCCTCCCAGGTTCAGGCGATTCTCCTGCCTCAGTCTCTCGAGTAGTTGGGATTACAGGCATCTGCCACCACGCCTGGCTAATTTTTGTATTTTTAGTAGAGATGGTCACCATGTTGACCAGGCTGATTTCAAACTCCTGACCTCAAGTGATGCTCCCGCCTCGGCCTCCCAAAGTGCTGGGATTACAGGCATGAGTTACCATGCCTGGCCTATTTGTTTATTTTTATTTATTTTATTTATTTTTATTTTTTGAGTTGGAGTCTCGCTCTATCAACCCAGCCTGGAGTGCAGTGGCGCAATCTCGGCTCATCACAACCTATGCCTCCGGGGTTCAGACCATTCTCCTGCCTCAGCCTCCCGAGTAGCTGGGATTACAGGTGCGTGCCACCACGCCCAGCTATTTTTTATATTTTGAGTAGAGATGGGGTTTCACCATGTTGGCTGGGCTGATATTGAACTTGTGACCTCATGACCCACCCACCTTGGCCTCCCAAAGTGCTGGGATTACAGGTATGAGCCACCGCACCCTGCCTATTTGTTTGTTTATTTTTAATATTTTATTTATTTAATTTTTTTGAGACAGGGTCTCACTCTGTTGCCCAGGCTGGAGTGTAGTGGCTCCCTCATGGCCCACTACAGCCATGATCTCCCAGGCTGAAGAAATCCTTTCACCTCAGCCTCCCTGATACCTGGGAATATAGGCATTGGTCACCCATGCCTAGCTAATTCGTTTTTATTTTTTTAGAGACGAGGTCTCCCTATGTTGCTTAGGCTGGTCTTGAACTCCTGGGCTCAAGTGATCCTCCTGCCTTAGCCTCCCAAAGTGTTGGGATTACAGGTATGAGCCACTGCACCTGGCCTATTTTATTTTTTTGTAGAGATGGGGTCTTGCTGTGTTGCCCAAGGTGGTCCTGACCTCTTGTCCTCAAGTGATCCTCCTGCTTTGGCCTCCCAAAGTGCTGGGATTACAGGTGTGAGCCACCATGTCTGACCATCTACATAAATTTTTTTTTTCTTTTTTCTTTTTTTTTTTGGAGACGGGGTTTTGCTCTGTCACCCAGGCTGGAGTGCAGTGGCGCAGTCTTGGCTCACTGCAGTCCCTGCCTCCTGGGCTCAGGCAGTCCTCTCACCTCAGCCTCCTTAGCAGCTAGGACTGCAGGTGCATACCACCACGCCTGGCTCATTTGTTTTTTTTTTTTTTTTGAGATGGAGTCTCACTCTGTCACCCAGGCTGGAGTGCAATGACACAATCTCAGCTCACTGCAACTTTACCTCCTTGGTTCAAGCAGTTCTCCTGCCTCAGCTTCCTGAGTAGCTGGACTACAGGCACGCACCACCATGCCTGGCTAAATTTTTTTTGTATTTTTAGTAGAGACGAGGTTTCACCTTGTTGGTCAGGCTGGTCTGGAACTCCTGACCTCATATGATCTGCCCGCCTCAGCCTCCCAAAGTGCTAGGATTACAGGCATGAGCCACCACACCAGGCCTCTTGTGTTTTTTGTATAGATGGGTTTATCCAGCCTGGTGTCAAACTCCTGGGCTCAAGCATCTGCCTGCTTGGCCTCCCAAAGTGTTGGGATTACAGACATGAGTCATCATGCCTGGCACCTGTATAAATTTTAAAAATTACAATTGAGTAACAATTAAAATGATTGTAAAAATAAGTTATAAAAATAAATGCTTACATTTTATTACATTTTTGGGCTTTAGTTGACAAGATAATTCTGAAGTATCACACACATTGTAATGTCCTACTGCGTGTGACTGATAATTCATATCACATGTGACTCACCTTGCAAATCTGGCCTAACTGAATTTATACTCTGTTTAATGGAAGGGCCCACTGCTCATGTCTTGAGTATTGTGACATTGTCAAATTGCTGAACAAGTTTCTAAATACTCACAATTTCTGTGCCCATCTCATCTTGGACCAATAACAGGTAGTTTTGCAGTCAAAACTTGAATAGCACTATATACAAATGATTCCATTCAGTTTTTCCCCAGTTATCCCAATAATGTACTTTATAGCTGTATTTCTTGTTCAATCTAAAATCCAGTCTAGAAGTCCAGCGCGCTATCCGTTGTGCTATGGAGCCACCTCTAAGATCCAATCTAAGATGAAAACCATAATTGGTCTTTTGTTGTTGCTGTTGATTTTGCATTTGGTCTTTTTAAACTCCTTGTACTTAGAACTGTTTTTCATGCCTTTTCTGTATTTCACAGCATTGGTTTTAAGCTTTTTTTTTTTTAAGAGTCCAGGCCATTTGTATTGCATAATGTCCCTCAATTTGGATTGCTGCATTGTTTATGATGAGCTTCACATTAATTATGTTAGACAAAAATACTACATTGATGGTGCTTCTCATCCATCAAGAGACTCAGCATTGATGGGGATAAGTTAGGCCACCAGTATCTTAAGACAGTACCTTTGCGGCCGGGCGCGGTGGCTCATGCCTGTATTCCCAGCACTTTGGGAGGCCGAGGCAGGCGGATCATGGGGTCAGGAGATCGAGACCATCCTGGCTAACACGGTGAAACCCGTTCTCTACTAAAAATACAAAAAATTAGCTGGGTGCAGTGGCGGGTGCCTGTAGGAGGCTGAGGCAGGACAATGGCGTGAACCCGGGAGGCGGAGCTTGCAGTGAGCCGAGATCGTGCCACTGCACTCCAGCCTGGGCAACAGAGCAAGACTCCGTCTCAAAAAAAAAAAAAGAAAAATGACAGTACCTTCCAGAATTCTTCATTGTAAGGCAACCTTTTCCTTGGTAATTAGTTGTTTTCGGGTTCCATAAATAATAATAATAATTACTATTATTATTTTGAGACACGGTCTTACTCTGTTGCCCAGGCTGGAGTGCAGTGGTGCGATCTCAGCTCACTGCAACCTCCGCCTCCTGGGTTCAAGCGATTCTCCTGCCTTAGCCTCCCGAGTAGCTGGGATTACAGGCACCTGCCACTGCACCCGGCCAAGTTTTTTATTTTTAGTAAAGACAGGGTTTCATCATGTTGGCCAGGCTGGTCTCCAACTCCTGACCTCAAATGATACGCCCACTTCGGCCTCCCAAAGTGCTGGGATTACAGGTGTGAGCCACCATGCCTGGCCCCATAAATAATTATTGATGATATGAATTAGTAATATATTTTACTGCCTGAAATTATTCTGGAAGCTGTTGAGTTGTACATCCAGTAGGGGACCAGCAGAACGCTGACAGTATAAACTTTTAATAGTTTGAAAGTCCTATAAAAATAATATAGAAAGTATGTTAATGTACCGTTAGGAATATAGGTTTAAAAGTTTTTTGAAGTCTTTTTTGGCTTGAATTATTTTCTATGTGTTATGCAGACTAAGAAAGATTTATTTATAACTTCACTAGTGGCCCTCACATAGAGTGTACAAAAAGCTGGTAAATAACTGTTGCTGTAAGAAGTCATTAGGCCAGGCGCAGTGGCACATGCCTGTAATCCCGGCACTTTGGGAGGCTGAGGCAGGAGGACTGCTTGAGTACTGGAGTTGAAGACCAGCCTGGGCAACATGGAGAAACTCCATTTCTACAAAAAATATAAAAATTAGCCAGTCATTGTGGTGTGTGTCTGTAGTCCCAGCTACTCAGGAGGCTGAAGTAGGAGTGTCCCTTGAGACCAGGAGGCAGAGGTTGCTGTGTGCTGAGATCGTGCCACTGAACTCCAGCCTGGGTGACAGAGTGAGACCCTGTCTCAAAAAAAGTCATAAATTTTCGGTCAAATTAAGTGTTGTGGACTTGTTAGTAAATACTATTATAGTTGTGTGCTGCAAATTTCCTATTTCATTTTTGAAAACAAGTGGATGGTAATTTTAAATGTCCTTGATGGGTATTCAGGGCGTCTGCTGTTTTCTCAATTTGTCAGAAGAGGGCAGCACCATGTCTATAAAAAACAAAACAAAGAAATGAGTATGGAAGCCCTTTTTTCATATGAATTACATACTGTCACATACATTTTATATTTCAAAATGATACATGCTTATTACTTTAAAAATCATGTTACAGAGATATATAATATATATAACATGAAAAGTGAAAGTTCTGTAACTCCCTTCCCCTAAAGAAAACAAAAACCCTGTTAATAGTGGGCATGTTGACAGGATTTTTTTAAACTTAATTTATTTATACTTAAATTTAGGCATTATAAGGAATTCTCATAAGGGGACTTACGAGATCTGAATTTTCATTGATAACAGATACAAATTTGTTGTATGGATTTGAGCATATCTTTTAATTTCTTCATGTCATTATTCTCCTTTTTCTCTCTGTATCAAGTTAAGAGCATTACTACATCTTCAAGAAATGTGAGAAGAGCTGGTGATGACAGGAAGGAATTTGTAGGTCTAAGTGTAAGGTAGTGTTAGCACAAAGTTAGTCTTCAGTTTTCTAACTGTATTTTAATGTTAAATTTTGGGCTTTGATCATTTCATTTTGTTTTTGTCCCTACTTGAAAAATGTTTAGCTTATTAACCTAGGGGAATGGGGGAATATAGTATTTTGTATTCTGCCCTATCACATAACCAGCTGAGCCAGTTAGCTCAGACTTTCCTAAATGATTCACCTTTTGGAAAAAGCCAGTCATGGAAAGTTTCTGCCCAATTAAAGACTTTCAGGAAGTTCTGAGCAAGTGAAAATAAAGTTAAAATGGAATTTCTGTTGAGAACACTTGAATTAACTATTACTAATAATAGGCCTTTTCCTGTCAGAGTTCCCTCTTGTGCGTTAGAGGTGGTCTATAATTTAACTGTTCTCCTGCTTGAAGATATTTTGATACTTGAATCCCTTATTGCTTGTTAAAAGTGGAGTTGTTCTAGGCATACTGTCAATGAAGAGTAATCTGTAATATTACTTGGTGTCAATTACTAAAGTTCCTGAGATAAATATACCAGTGTTTCCTAGTGAATATAGATAGGACTTTGGCACTAAGAAATTTTGAGAGATACTCCCACAGTTTATACTTTTTCCATGCTGCTTTTATGCCACTTACTATATATCATGTATTACAATGACTTGCTTTCATGGTTGGCTGTTCTGCTGAACTGTGAGCTCCTTAAGAGCAAAGGCCATGCCATATTTTTTTTTATATGTTCAACATCTAACAGTGCTTGGATCTAGGTTGCTTTTCAGCAAATGTTGACCTAATTGTCTCAGGTGACTCTTTCCAGGCTTGTCATTTCCATGAAGGTAGTAAAAAACAAAACCAAACATGCATTACCTAGAGGCTACTTTTCCTTAAGCTATCACTTAGGCCATTTGATTTCATCTTCTCTATCACCAGCATTCTGAAACTTCACAGTGATTTGCCTTGATGTGAATCTTTTTTTTATTTTTCTGAGACGGAGTCGCACCTTGTCGCCCAGACTGGAGTGTAGTGGCGCTATCTCAGCTCACTGAAACCTCTGCCTCCTGGGTTCAAACGAATCTCCTGGCTCAGTCTCCCAAGCAGCTGGGATTACAGGCACCTGCTACCACGCCCAGCTAATTTTTTTTTTTTTTTTTTTTTTGAGACGGAGTCTTAACTTTGTTGCCCAGGGTGGAGTGCAGTGGTGCAATCTTGGCTCACTGCAAGCTCCATCTCCCTGGTTCACGCCATTCTCCTGCCTCAGCCTCCCGAGTAGCAGGGACTACAGGCGCTCGCCACCAAGCCTGGCTAATATTTTGTATTTTTAGTAGAGACGGGGTTTCACTGTATTAGCCAGCATGGTCTTGATTTCCTGACCTCATGATCCACCCACCTCGGCCTCCCAAAGTGCTGGGATTACATGCGTGAGCCACTGCGCCCAGCCAATTTTTGTATTTCTTAATAGAGACAGGGTTTCACCATGTTGCCAGGCTGGTCTGGAACTCCTGACCTCACTATCTGCCCACCTCGGCCTCCCAAAGTGCTGGGATTACAGGTGTGAGCCACTGTGTCAAGCTGGATGCTTTTAAATTAGCTGCATCCAGTGTTCTGTGGCTCTTTTTTATGGAAGCCTATCCTTCACTTCTAGGACATTTTCTGTTATTGTTGACAACTTCCCCCTATTTTCTGTTTTTATGAGATTCATATTAGTAGAATTGATATGACAGGCCAGGGCAGTCTAGGCTGAGGTAACAAACTCAGCAACTCAGTAGCATAATACAGTACATTATTTCTTACTGGTATAAAGTCCAATATGAGTTTCGTAGCACTCCATCTTGTAACTCAGTTGTACAGAACACCTAGGCTTCAGGGTTGCTCTGGCAAAGGAAGAATGAATACATAGATTTTCATATAATTCCTCTTTTCTCAGAATGGACTTCAGCCATGCCTTTTGAGTCTGGAACTTCCGTGGTTTTCATTTCTCCAGAGTAATGGGTTCTGCTGGATTGGGGATGGGGTAGAGCAGTAGCCTGTGGTATGAGGTGCTGCTGAAGGGGATCTGGGGCCTAGCTGCTCCTGATGGATAATTCCAACTGGTTTTAGCCCTATTCCTTTCCTCTACCTCGAAAGGTTCCTGGTGTCTCAATTTAATGAGCCTTTCTAGGGTACTTTAGTACACATTGGCTTGCCTGTTTTTGGCCATTCCACATGGCTGTAGGCTTAGGAGATCAGAGAAAACAAAAACCAAAGCCAGTTATTACTTGTCTACTTGCTTTCTACCTTCTTTTTTGTTTTGTTTTGTTTTTTGTTTTGAGACAGGGTCTCACTCTGTTGCCTAGGCTGTATAGTTCCACGATAATAGCTCACTGTAACCTTGAACTCCTGGCTTCAAGCGATCCTTCTGCTTCAGCCTCCCAAGCATCTAGGACTACAGGTGCACGCCATGATGCCTGGCTGATTTTTTTTTTCCTTTTTTTTTTTTTTTTTTTGAGATGGAGTTTTGCTCTTGTTGCCCAGGCTGGAGTGCAATGGCACGATCTCGGCTCACCGCAACCTCCACCTCCTGGGTTCAAGCGATTCTGCTGCCTCAGCCTCCCAAGCAGCTGGGATTACAGGCATGTGCCACCACCACTGGCTAATTTTGTATTTTTGATAGAGATGGGGTTTCTCCATGTTGATCAGGCTGGTCTCGAACTCCCAACCTCAGGTGATCCGCCTGCCTTGGCCTCCCAAAATGCTGGGGTTACAGGCGTGAGCCACCACGCCCAGCCGATTTTAAAAAATTTTTTGTAGAGTTAGGGTCTTGCCATGTTGCCCAGGGCTCAAGTAATCCTCCCGCCCTTGGCCTCCCAAAGTGCTGGAATTACAGGCCCGAGCTACTGCACCTGGCTGCTTTCTACTGTCAGAAAATTTGGGCTGGGCGCAGTGGCTCATGCCTGTAATCCCAGCACTGGGAGGCCAAGGCAGGAGGACCACTTGAGCCCAGGAGTTTGAATCCAGCCCAGGCAACATGGTGAGACTCTGTCTTTAAAACAAAAAAAAAGAAGAAGAAAATTCTGTTGGCATCCCTTTTCTGTTATACTTCTTCTCATTATCCTTGTGTAGTTTCATCTTTTTAAATTTATTTGCCACTATTTAGTAGGGTTTTGGCAGGACTGGAATAAAGCATGTGTTCAGATTACTATATGTAAGTGGCAGTTTCTACTTGTTCTTCATTAGCTGGTCTGCCCCAGATTCTACCCAGAGCAAGGAAATTTAAAGGTACCCTTTCTAGTTTAGTACTCCAGAACCCTGCATTAAGCCTGAGATTTGGATGTGGGTTTATTTTGGTTATTTTTACAACAGTGTAAGAAAGCACCTCAAAATTTAGTGGCTTTAAAAAATAATTGTTTTATTATAATTTCTCTTGGTTCCAGGGGTGGCTGGGCTCAGCTAGGCAGTTCTTACTCAGGGTCTCTTGTACAGTTGTAATCAGACAGTGGCTAAGTGTGGAACCACTTCACAGGTTTTCTTTTTTTTTTTTTTTTTTTTTTTGAGACGGAGTCTCGCTCTGTCTCCCAGGCTGAAGTGCAGTGGCATGATTTCGGCTCACTGCAAGCTCCACCTCCCGGGTTCCCACTATTCTCCTGCCTCAGCCTCCCGAGTAGCTGGGACTACAGGCGCCCGCCACCATGCCTGGCTAATTTTTTTTGTATTTTTTAGTAGAGACGGGGTTTCACCGTGTTAGCCAGGGTGGTCTCAATCTCCTGACCTCGTGATCTGCCCGCCTCAGCCTCCCAAAGTGCTGGGATTACAGGCATGACCACCACGCCCAGCCTTCACAGGTTTTCTTACTCCCACGTCTGATGCCAGAGCTGGGAAGGCTCAAACACCCAGGGGTTGGTACAGGCTTCTCAGACGTCTGTTTCTGTGTGATCTTCCCATATGATCTCTCCAACATAGTGGCTGCAGAGTAGCCAGACTTCTTTTGTGGTAACTTGGAGTTTCAAAGGTGCATTCTTGAGAGAGACAGACACAGGGACAGACAGACAGACAGAGCATGCCAGGTGGAAGCATGCCAGGTGGAAGCTGTATTATCTTTTATTTGCTAGCCTGTGGAAGTCATGTTGTGCCACTTCCACAGAACTCTTTGAGTTGAGACAGCCATGAAGGCCCATTCACTTTCAAGGGGTGATGACACAGACTCCCCCTCTAACTGGGGTAGTATCAGGGTTCTGGAAGAGCATGTGGGGATGGGAAATTTGTGGCAACCATCTTTGGAATATCCTGTCTGCTATAGGGTTCTCTATAGCATTGCTGCTTAATCTCAGGATAGCCTTGAATAAGTAACGCAACCTTATATTTCAGTTTTCTTACTCACAAAATGTAAATGTGTCAGTCAGCTCTTGCTACAGTAGTGCTGTGTAGCACACCATTCCAAAACTCAGTGATGTACAATGATAAGCATTTACTTGTTGCCTTTTGCCTCTGAGTATCTGAGATTGAGTGATTTAGACTCGGCTCAGCTAAGCTCCAAGCTGCTTGTTTGTTGGGTTCAGGTCTACAGCATGTGTCTTTCTGCCATCTTGGACCAGCAGCCAGTTGAGGTGTATTCTCCTTATGACTCAAGGGATGAATTCAAGGGGCAAGAGAAACAGCACAAACATGTTTAAGCTTCTGTTCCTCTCAGATCAGCTAATACTTCATTGGCCTTTGTAGCAAGTCGTGTATCCAAGCTCAGCATCAGTGGAGTAGGGAAGGATTTGTTTTGTTTTGTTCTTTTATTTTTATTTATTTATTTATTTTTTGAGACGGAGTCTCGCTGTCGCCCAGGCTGGAGTGCAGTGGCGGGATCTCGGCTGACTGCAGCCTCCACCTTCTGGGTTCATGAGGTTCTCCTGCCTCAGCCTCCCGAGTAGCTAGGATACAGGTGTACCTGCCACTATGCCCGGCTAATTTTTTTTACTTTTTTTAGTAGAGACAGGGTTTCACCATGTTGGCCTGGCTGGTCTCGAACTCCTGACCTCATAATCTGCCCGCCTCAGTCTCCCAAAGTGCTGGGATTACAGGCGTGAGCCACTGCCCCCGGCCTGTTGTTTTCTTTTTGAGACGGAGTCTTGCTCTGTTGTCAGGGCTGGAGTGCAGTGATGCTATCTTGGCTCACTGCAACCTCTGCCTCCCAGGTTCAAGTGATTCAGCCTCCTAAGTAGCTGGAGTTACAGGCATGCACCACCACACTCAGTTAACTTTTGTATTTTTAGTAGAGATGGGGTTTCATCATGTTGGCCAGGCTGGTCTCGAACTCCTGACCTCAAATGATCTGCCCACTTTGGCCTCCCAAAATGCTGGGATTACAGGCATGAGCCACTGTACCTGGCCTGGTTTTAAAACAAAAAAACGCTGGGCGCAGTGGCTCACGCCTGTAATCCCAGCACTTTGGGAGGCCAAGGCGGGCAGATCACAAGGTCAGGAGATCAAGACCATCCTGGCTAACACGGTGAAACCCCATCTCTACTAAAAATACAAAAAAATTAGCTGGGCGTGGTGGCGGGCACCCGTAGTCCCAGCTGCTTGGGAGGCTGAGGCAGGAGAATGGCATGAACCCAGGAGGCAGAGGTTGCAGTGAGCCGAGATTGCGCCACTGCACTCCAGCCTAGGCGACAGAGCGAGACTCCATCTCAAATGAAAACAAACAAACAAACAAAAAACAAGAAAAAACTTCTCAGAGGACTACAAAAGAGGCCACTGAGGCCGGCCATAATAGACTGCATTTAAACAAAATTCCTCAGGTGTTTTTGTTAACCTGGAAAGCCTGGGCAGGGATTAAACATTTCTCTTTCTCTCTTTATCTGAATTCTCAGGTACCATAAATACCTTTATTTGAGCCTTTAGGACTCAGTTTTAGTGAAGATAATTTTTTCAGATTTGAAGTTAGACAAAATTCTCAGTCATGTTGCTTTCGTCCATTCCCAAATTATTGCTAATTTAGCCAGTTTTTGTTTCATCTTTGGGTTGTTTTGGATATAAAACAGGAGCCTTCTGCAGAGTCTTCTCAATTTATTTATTTATTTTTGAGACAGAGTCTCGCTCTGTTGCCCAGGCTGAAGTGCAGTGGCGTGGTCTGAGCTCACTGCAACCTCCACCTCCTGGGTTCAGGCAATTCTCCTGCCTCAGCCTCCCTAGTAGCTGTGATTACAGGCGCCTGCCACTATGCCTGGCTAATTTTTTGTATTTTTAGTAGAGACAGGGTTTCACCATGTTGGCCAGGCTGGTCTCAAACTCATGACTTCGTGGTCCGCCTGCCTTGGCCTCCCAAAGTGCTGGGATTACAGGCATGGGCCACTGTGCCTGGTCTCCTCAAATTTTTTTTTTTAACTCTTGTTTTTCTCCTTGAAATAGTGCCAACCTAGGCATTATTTCCCAATTCTATAACCTATATTCCCAGTATTCCATCTCCCCATCTCAGCTTTCAAGGCTGAGTGCTAATCTGCATGTGGGGTGCAGTGTGAGGGCCTTTTTCAGCCTTCACATCAGTAAACCAGCATGGAGATTTAGTATTGACTGCTGCAGTGTGTTTCATGCTGAGAAGTCATGGAGGGGAGATGGACTGCATTTAAACAACATTCCTCAGGTGTTTTCGTTAACCTGGAAAGCCTAGGCAGGGATTAAACATTTCTCCTTCTCTCTTTATCTGAATTCTCAGGTACCATAAACACCTTTATTTGAACCTTTAGGACTCAGTTTTAGTGAAGATAATTGTTTCAGATTTGAAATTAGACAAAATTCTCAGTCATGTTGCTTTCGTCCATTCCCAAATTATTGCTAATTTAGCCAGTTTTAGGGGATTTTGTTTCATCTTTGGGTTGTTATAGGGTGATAAAATTTATACACATTGTTGTTTCATTTGTTAATTTTAGTGAGGGAAAATGTTTTTTTATTTTTTTTATTTTTTTGAGACGGTGTCTCGTGCTGTTGCCCAGGCTGGAGTGCAATGGCGTGATCTCGGCTCACTGCAACCTCTGCCTCCCGGGTTCAAGTGATTCTGCTGCCTCAGCCTCCCGAGTAGCTGGGACTACAGGCGCCCGCCACCACGCCCAGCTAATTTTTATATTTTTAATAGAGACGGGATTTCACCATGTTGGCCAGGATAGTTTCGATCTCTTGACCTTGTGATCCGCCTGCCTCGGCCTCCCAAAGTGCTGGGAGTACAGGCGTGAGTCACCACGCCCGGCTGGGCAAATGTCTTTATTGAAAGTTATAGTAAACTTTTATCATAATGCTGAGCGTCCAGAATTTATTGGAAGCCGAGTGGATCTTTTTCTAGTTGTCTTTATTCCCTTTTCTAGCTTGTTTCTTTCTCTTTATTCTTCTTGTAAGCTTGATGTCTTTTTCCTTGGCACAGGGTAACTAAGGAAGTGGATGCTACATCTAAAGAGGCCAAATCCTTCTTCAAGCAGAATGAGAAAGAAAAACCACAGGCTAATGTTCCTTCAGCTCTGCCATCACTCCCTGCCGGGTCAGGGTGAGTATTTGAGTCTCACTCCCTGATGTACTTGGCACGTTGGAGAAGCTTTCAGTGCAAATACCTACTTTCGCTGCAGATCAGACTCCTTGCCTGAGAGAGAGAATTATGATGCTGCTTTGCCTTTGCTGCAATATTTACCAGAATGGAAGATGCAAAGGAAAATTAGCCATAACTTTCTCAGGAGGATTGCTTGAACCCAGGAGTTTGTGACCAGCCTGGGCAATACAGTAAGACCCTGTCTCTTAAAAAAAAAAAAATTAGCTGGGCATGGTGGCTTGCACCTCTGTCCTAGCTACTGTGGAGGCTGAGGCAGGAGGATCCCTTGAGCCCAGAAGGTTGAGGCTGCAGTGAGCCGTGATTGTGCCACTGCACTCCAGCCTGGGTGACAGAGAGATCCTGTCTCTTAAAAAAAAAAAAAAAAAAAAAAAGCGAAGAAAATTAGTTGTAGCTTTCTTATTTGTTGCCAGCCTAAAAGAAGTCCTAGTTTATAGTATTGAACACAAAGCTGAACGTGTAAATTTTACATTTAAAAATAATACTTTTCAAATGAAAATATCAGCCTTCTGCAGAACTTTTCATGAAGATTTGCGATGAACACTCACTCCCATCCTCTGTGATCTTAGAGGAACATAAAAAGATCAAAGATGATTTACAAATAGTTTTCTTAACACATTGTCAGGAACTTAATGGTTTTCCTCCCTTCATATTTTTCATATTACTTGAGTTATTTTTAGCTGAAGGCTAGAATTCTTTCTTTTTGGAAGAAGTAAAAATTCTTTTCTTAACCTAAATGTGAGAAGTAAAGTATTACAGTAAATCAGAGAGGCTTAAGACTGTTGCCACAGGGAAGTGAACATAGACCCATACCATGGATAGCCCTGACTACCCACCTGACTCCTGTGGGGAGTTCTGCATAGTCTCCTACAGTGGCTTCTGTGGCCCTTCAGTCAGATATTGTCCCCTCTTCCTTCCCTCCTGGAGCATACCTGTCATTGCTATGAGCAGTAAAGTTTTGTTTCACATTTTTTTTTTGAGGTGGAGTCTCGCTCTGTCACCCAGGCTGCAGTGCAGTGGCGCAATCTCGGCTCACTGCAAGCTCCGCCTCCCGGGTTCATGTCATTCTTCTGCCTCAGCCTCCTGAGTAGCTGGGACTACAGGTGCCAACACGCCCGTCTAATCTTTTGTATTTTTAGTAGAGACGAGGTTTCACTGTGTTAGCCAGGATGGTCTTGATCTCCTGACCTCGTGATCTGCCCTCCTTGGCTTCCCAAAGTGCTAGGATTACAGGCGTGAGCCACCGGGCCCGGCCCCACTTTTTTTTTTTTTTTTTTTTTTTTTTTTTTTTTTTTGCGACGGAGTCTCGCTCTGTCGCCCAGGCCGGACTGCGGACTGCAGTGGCGCAATCTCGGCTCACTGCAAGCTCCGCTTCCCGGGTTC
Source organism: Homo sapiens (assembly GCF_000001405.40). Lineage (NCBI taxonomy): Eukaryota > Metazoa > Chordata > Mammalia > Primates > Hominidae > Homo > Homo sapiens. Next base: position 75,393,649 of record NC_000016.10, on the reverse strand, counting down.
ACGCCCTTCTCCTGCCTCAGCCTCCCGAGTAGCTGGGACTACAGGCGCCCGCCACCGCGCCCGGCTAATTTTTTGTATTTTTAGTAGAGACGGGGTTTCACCTTGTTAGCCAGGATGGTCTCGATCTCCTGACCTCATGATCCACCCCCGGCCCCACATTTTTAAAAAGAGTGTTGATTTTCCTAAAAAAGTGTGAGCTTTTTTAGGGTGGGCCTTCCCCATCTTTGCAGCCCTGGCTCTTAACAACAGAGTTATACTAGTATACTCTCTTAGGTTGCATTTACCCAGAAATAGACCCTGAGATAAAGGTTTAAGTGCATGTCATTTATGTGAGAGGTGATTCCAGGAAGCCCCAATAGAGAGGTACAAGAGAGGAAAGAAGCCAGTAAAGGTTGAGTTATCAAGCAGGTGACTGCTGGTGGTGACTGGCACTCATTCCTGCTGGGAAACTTAGAGATTGGGAAGAACACAGTGAGGGCTGAGGAGAGTGGGATGTTTAGCCTCCAGTGCCCATCGGACATTGGCTCAGAGCTGCTTCCACACATTCCTTGCCCTCTGTCCTCAGGCTGTGAGCTGCACGTGCTTGCTGTAAGATGCTGCTCTCAGCATGTATCATGGCACTGAATGCCAGGACATGTGGATGGGGCTACTTCCTCATCTGTTACATCTTTATCTACTTCATACTCAAGATATTTCTCTCCCACTGAGCAGAAGTCATGTAGTAGTTACACAGAAACCTATGGAGGAAGAGGATTTGACTGCTTGCTACCACAGTAGAAATGACATAAAATCAGATGAAGGCAGCTGTAGAACAAAATTCTACAGACCTGGCCCTGTTAATACTCTAAGCAAGTACTTTGTAAGCTGTGGTTTGGAATAATCAATTAAGAGAAAATATCAGAGCACATCACATGTAGTAGGAGTAAATACTGTTTTCCAGCCTGGCCAACATGGTGAAACCCCATGCCTACTCAAAATGCAAAAATTAGCTGGGCTTGGTGGCACATGCCCTTAATCCCAGCTACCTAGGAGGCTGAGGCAGCAGAATCGCTTGAACCCAGGAGGCAGAGGTCGAAGTGAGCTGAGATTGCACCACTGCACTCCCGCCTGGGCGACAGAGGGAGACCTTGTCTCAAAAGAATAAAGAATAAATAATGTTTTATAGAATTTTTATTTCAGTTACTTATATGCTTATACCTGGTAACAAGCTGTTTTTTTTTGTTGCTTTGTTTTGTTTTTGTTTTCAAGTTGGAGTCTCGCACTGTTTCCTGGGCTGGAGTGCAGTGGTGCAATCTTGGCTCACTGCAACCTTTGCCTCCTGGGTTCAAGCCATTCTCCTGCGTCAGCCTCCAGAGTAGCTGGGATTACAGGCACGTGCTGCCACGCCTGGCTAATTTTTTGTATTTTTAGTAGAGATGGGGTTTCACTATGTTGGCCAGGCTAGTCTTGAACTCCTGACTTCGTGATCCACCCCCTTCAGCCTCCCAAAGTGCTGGCATTACAGGCATGAGCCACTGCACCCATCCAACAAGCTGTATTTTTAATGAAGATTAGGATTTTTAAAATTTGAAGCTATAGGCTGAAACAACATGTTTTTGGCTTTACATTTATTGTATTGTTTGCAGGGAGTTCTCTTCAGACCAGTAGCTTTATTTATTTATTTATTTATTTTTTATTTTTTTGAGACGGAGTCTTGCTCTGTCGTCCAGGCTGGAGTGCAGTGGCGCGATCTCGGCTCACTGCAAGCTCCACCTCCTGGGTTCAAGCAGTTCCCTGCCTCAGCCTCCCGAGTAGCTGGGATTACAGGCGCCCGCCACCACACCTGGCTGATTTTTGTATTTTTAGTAGAGACGGGGTTTCACCATGTTGTCCAGGCTGGTCTTGAACTCCTGACCTCGGCCACCTGCCTCAGCCTCCCAAAGTGCTGGCATTACAGGTGTGAGCCACCACACCTGGCCACCCAGACCAGTAGCTTTCAAACTTTCTTGACTGCCGCCCATCATAAGGAATACATTTTACATTATGCCCTTGTACACCTATAAAAATAGGTATGTAAAAAGGTGAGATTAAAATTTGGTGAAATATTTACCCTTACTATGTATAATATGCTCTGATTTTCTGTTTTACATTATTGTGTATAGATGTGTCATTTAAAAAACTGTTATGACCTGCTGAATTGATTTCACAATCAACTGCAACCTGAATTTGACAAAATACTGCTCTAGACAACGTATGGAATTAGCCTTCAGCAGGTGATTAAGAGTTGCCAGGTTTGTATGTGGTATTATTAGTGTTTCTTGCACTTATTGAAAGTATTGCTATGAAGTTACCTCTGGATATAACCACCAGATGGAAATAAAGGCAAAGAAGCTCTTCTTAGGTTTCTGGTTAGTTTCAGCTAACACAGTTTTTACTTCTAGTTTCCTTGGATATTTCTTCTTAAAATAATCCCTGTTGATGCTTAGAGATTCTACTTGGAAACTGTATGTTTCAGAAAATACTCTTTGCTACTATAATTATGAAAATAACTAAAGAATGGAGAAATGGCAGCTTAAAATCAGCTTAAGTCACTCATGTAGAAATCTCACTGCTTGTCATATCCATGCCTGCCTTTCTTACAGCTAATATGCTTTTTAGAATAAGAAATCTGCTGAGATGATATCTGCATTAGGGAGATCCAGCAGGAAACAGATGGCATTCTCAAATATGATACTTTCTCACAAAGTGGTGGAAAACCACAGGGATACAAATATTGGTGTGGCCTCCCTGGGGCTGGTAATAATGAGACTCTATTACTACCCCTAGGCCTGAAAGGGCAAGAGTGGGAGCAGTTAATGGCAGGGGAAGAAAGGGTTAGGTGGAATGGACCTCCTGACAGGAGCTGAGACCTTCTGTTAAGTGATGGACTTCCCCCAGAGGGAAGCCAAGGGAATAAATACCCAGATCTGTTTCTTCTCTCTCTGCAGCCTCTTAGGGTACTCCATTGCCCTCTGAGGCTTATTAAAGAATATTCTGACACTTGTTAAAACTGTGAGAACACTTTATCCAAAACTATTGCAGTGGGTCTCAAGACTATCTCTGGGGAGAGAGAGAGTGCTCAACTCCGAATACAGCAAAGACAGCTGGGGATTTTTAGCAGAATCGGGAGGCAGGTGGTCAGTGGATAGAAAATTACTAAGAGGAGACATCAAGGAGAGGGTGATTCTTGCTCAAGGCAGGGTAGTGTGATCAGATATCAAGGGTAGGGGATTCTCTCTACACTGACTTAGCACAGAATTCTTTCCAAAACTGCGCTGTGCAGGCCAGCAAGGGCAGGGGCCAATTTCAAGCCTTAGTTGAGAAGAGGGCTCAGTGGAGTCTGACTAAAGTTTGGTTTAAGGAGAGTCTTCATCAGGCTGTCCTCACAGAGCAGCTCCTAGAGCAGAGAGCCATGTGGGAAAGGGTATAGAGGGAATCTAGGGGCCAACCAGGAGCTACCTTGGGAGCTATACAAGTGAAATATTTTTCAGTAAAGAATGCTGACTCCCTTATAAACAGGGTAAAGTGAAATTTGACCAAAATCAGTTTCTTTGAAAGCCCTGATGGAACATAACACATTACAAGGATATGTCTGCCAAGTGCCTGAGTAAAAGTCCTTAGAGTTGTACGTGAAAATGTACGTGTTTAATTATGATACTGTGAACCTTGGATTTCTGAGTAGATCCAGAATGACTTTCAAGGTTGGTATGCTCATTTTTATGAAATGCATCTCAAAAAGCTTTACAGTTACAATTGTGCTTGGGAAAAGACGGGTCCAAGAGGAATTCAGCTGATCTGGGGTATCTGAGTGGGCACATTTTATCCGTGCAAATATTAGTATCTGTCAGCAGACTCCATTTGCAGAGTATAGAAAGTCTTTTCAAGGGAAGGATCTATAGGAATAATCTAATATTTTAAAAGAAAATTAACACAGTCAAGTTTTTTTCCCACAGACTTTTTTCATTTTGGGAGCTGCTTCAGTTTATAGAAATTGTCTTGCAGAAACACTTTATTTGTTTATTTTCCTCTCTCTAAACAGATTTAAGCAATACAGGAAAACCAGAGCAGGAGAGTAAAACATCCTGTCCCACATCTTTTGATAAGATAAGCACAGATTCAGAAATAAGAACAGATTTAGAGGAGCAAATGTTTGTAACTAAAAATGCATTTCCTCCATGTGTTTAAAATAGCACACTGCTTAGGCTATAAAAAGCCAAAGTTTATGTTTTGGGAATGGAATAAGCCCTACTTTAATTAGAGGCAGGAATCAAACTACAAAAATTACTCTCCTACATTTGGTAGTAAAGTACAAAGCTTAATGTGTCTAAATTCTCATGGTCTTGTCATTCCATGCTCTTGATCCGCCTCTTCCCTCACTCCCCAGTCCTTACTACCAGTACTGTTAGCTACTTGCATCCAGTTTTCTCAGCATTTGCTGGTATCTGGCTGGCCAGGCTTCAACCCCACATTTGCTACCTATTTTCAAGCCAACATTTACTATTTATTCCAACAGCGGGCCACCATTAGTGTCATTAAAATTTGTAATCCTACCCTTACGCATTGACTTGTTTAATTAAGGGCCTACTGTTTAGCTGCCTCTTTATAGATTGAGAATGACCTAAAGCAATATAACTTAAGAGGGAAAGACATCATTTTCCCATGTAGTTTTAGCCTTGTTTTCTTGATCTATGGAGTGGAAAAAAAAAAAAAAGGCCTTAATGTTGAGTATCAAACAACATCATAGGTGATGTCAGTGTAGCAGTGTTTTCCCCAAAGATAGAAGACACAGAATCCCTCACAGTACCATCCTGAAGATAAAAGACTCAGACTAAGGACTGAGAAGACAGTAATGCTGACCATTGTAGTTTGCCAGAATTCAGTGTATGTAGTCAGTAACCAGCAATCTTTGGTTTGTTCAGCAGAGTCTTCCTGTCTGAGCAGTTAATGGTGTGATCTCTCCCAGTCTCCTCATTTGGCCAATATTTAAAACTCTAGAAAGTTGACATAAAAATCTGGATTACTGGCTTTTCTTGAGAAATGAAAATTTCTGCCACTACCTTCCCTCTTCATCTATGGTAACACTGGGGTGGCACAGAGTAGATGGGGTTTGCCCTTTTGTGGTCCCTACTCAGTGGCTTTACTCATTTATATTACCTGCATGGTTCCTGTAGGCAACTGCTTTTCCCACTCTAGGGTAACATGTTTCCCTTTGATGACCATGTTAATTTCATTTTGGAAACAATTTGTTCTCTAGATTAAATACCAAACATACTATCTTCTCAGACTACAGGTTAAATATTCTTTACCCTTTTATAAAGAATAAATAATGTCTATTTATTGGCTGCTTCACCACATTTAAGGCACAATGCTAAATGTTTTACATGTATTATTTCACTTAACCCACATAAACATTCCAAGAGTAGGCACTAACTTTGTGCCCATTTCACAGATCAGGACACTGAGGTTCAGAGAGGCGTCCTTAACTTGTTGAAGTTACATAGTTGATGATTGGTCGAACTCGGATTCCAGCCCAAATCTATTTGAGACCAAAGCCTGGGCTCTCAGCCACTTTGCCATTGCCACTGCTCGCTCTTATTCTCCTGATAGATGTTTTTTTGTTAAAAGAGTCTCTCCTCAATTTCATAACTGATGTGGGACTCTTTGAAAGCTATTTTGTTATTTTTGAAGAAAGTGAGAGGGCTGTTTCCCCATTTTTCCTTTGTAAGCTTTTCCTCATTAATATAACCATTTTCTATACTTTTGTTTCATTCCTGTCTCAAGAAAGTGAAGGTCTAGCACATTTTAAAAAATAAGTTCCAGGTATGTTTGTACATTGATACCTGTCAGCAGCAACAGTGAAGCTGTGGACAAGATGTGATGTGGGGAATAATGGCTATTACTGTTTCCAGAGGGTAATCATTTCCTACTGAGGTATGAATCCTACATTGTGGACAACTTATATGTTGATGGAGAGCCAGGTAGGAGTATCATTGCCCAGCTTGTGTCAAGTGCATTTCTTCTGGTGGCCATTTGTTCCAGGATAGGACTAGCTAGAGATAGCTTTTAATAGGATGTTTCAGGAACTAGTGGTGACAATGGAAATGATTGATTTTGGCAGCTCTGGTGGTACTGGTGTTGTCTTACTTATCAGCTCCAGAATGACATGGTTTGTGTAGAAGCAAGAATACCCTGGCCGGGCGCAGTGGCTCACGCCTGTAATCCCAGCACTTTGGGAGGCCGAGGCGGGTGGATCACGAGGTCAGGAGATCGAGACCATCCTGGCTAACACGGTGAAACCCCCGTCTCCACTAAAAAAACAAAAAATTCTCCGGGCGTGGTGGTGGGCGCCTGTAGTCCCAGGTACTGCGGAGGCTGAGGCACGAGAATGGCGTGAGCCCGGGAGGCGGAGCTTGCAGTGAGCCGAGATTGCGCCACTGCACTCCAGCCTGGGCAACAAGAGCGAGACTCCGTCTCAAAAAAAAAAAAAAAAAGAAAGAAAAGAATACCCTGTACCTGACTTTCACCTTCATGTTCTTCAGTGGATGCTAATACCGTGCTTCATTTGTTTTTAACTTATTCTTAATTTGTTTTAAAATAAGCCTTTATAGGTATTGCAGGTACAGAGTAAATAGATTAGAAATTGAATAAGGAAAATAGTTTTTAAAAGATTTTCCCTTGAATATTTGGAGTATTTTCAATCTATTAAAGGCAATTTCATTCACATTGTTGATTCAAAGCTATTATTCCAGGCTAAGCTAGTAACTGAGATAAGTATGAATGGAGAGTCTAGTGATATCCTTTTGGGAGGGAAGAGGATATCTGACAATTCGGGTCATGAAATAAAGTCCTTGCCAATCTGAGCATCTAAATGAGACTCTAAACAGAGAGAAGGTTTCTCTTTTTTTTTGAGACGGAGTCTCACTCTGTTGCCCAGGCTGGAGTGCAGTGTCGGGATCTCGGCTCACTGCAGCCTTCGCCTCCCAGGTTCAAGTGATGCTCCTGCCTCAGCCTCCCAAGTAGCTGGAATTACAGGAGCCTGCCACCACGCCCGGCTAATTTTTGTATTTTTAGTAGAGACAGGGTTTCACCATGTTGACCAGGCTGGTCTCAAACTCCTGACCTCAAGCAATCCACCTGCCTGGGCCTCCCAAAGTGCTGGGATTACAGGCGTGAGCCACTGTGCCCGGCCAAAAAGTTTTCAAAGCAAAAACTTTTTTCATTTGTGGTCACCAGGATGATGTAACCTCTGTCAGTTCGGATTGAATACCTACAACAAATACTCTGAACCTAGGAATTATCTATAGTGATTTTCAAGGTTGCCTGGAGTTAAATAAATTCTAGTGTTCTTAGAAAATTCTATGAAGAGATGAACTTTATTTACACATAGCAGCCTTTTTCCTTTGCTCTTAGCCTCAAATTATAGTGCCAACAAGTTTCAAACATGTATGATTTTAAGAGCCAGATGTCTATCAGGATCACAAACTTTTTTTTTTTAATTTTACTTTAAGTTCCGGGATACATGTGCAGAACATGCAGGTTTGTTACATAGGAATCCATGTGCCATGGTGGTTTGCTAGGATCACAGACTTTTAAAACTTTATTTTGCCGTATTCCTATACCCTTGGTTGTGCCAAATTGTCCTGGTGTGAAAAATGAGTCAAGTTAAATGCTTTAGGTGCTTCTTGGATGTGTAGGGAAGAATGGAATAGGTATGTGAAGTTATGGTAGTCATACAGTTTACTTAGTATGATAATATAAATTGATTTGGGAGCAAGGAAACGAAGACCTTCATTTAAGAAGATGATTATGATACTCTAGGAATGAAGTGAATATATTTTGGTTAACTTTAAAACAGTAATTTATTATTGCTTCATAGGTCTTTAACTTCTTTTACTGTACACTAGAGGGCAGAATTCCACCTGAAAAGATAGCTCGTCTTTGGCAAGATCCCAGAAAGCATTAAGCAGCATTCTTAAGATTGGGTAAAAGAGTCTTGTACATTTTTCTTTGCCTTATTAGATTCGTCTCTTGGTATGATATTTCTATGTACTATGCAGTTTCTACTTTTTTCTTTTATTAGAATTTTTTTTTTCAACTCTACTATTGTGCTTAGAAAGAGAAATGATTTTTCTTCTTTCATTTTTTTCCTTGGGATACAAAAACTTTGTTGTTGCTGTTGTTGTTGTTGTTTTAAATTACAAATAAGAAAGTAAAAATGACCTGTAGTCCCACCACTTAAATTTTTTTCGGAGAGAAGGCAGTGAAAGTTCCTTTCTGCCTTTCCAATTGTTAATTGTCATCCCTAGAAGCTGATAGCTGTTAACTGATGATCAGTTTTGTGCAGATCCTTCCCTGTGCTATGATAATATATTGTATTCATATATATTAATATTAGTCACAAGATTCTCCATTCATACTTACGTCAGTTACTACCTTGGCCTGGAATAATATCTTTGAATCAAGAATGTGAATGAAATTGCCTTTAATAGATTCAAAATATTCCAAGTATTCATGGGAAAATCTTTTAAAAATTATTTTCCTTATTCAATTTCTAATCTATTTACTCTGTACCTGCAATACCTATCAAGGTTTATTTAAAAATAAATTAAGAATAAGTTAAAATCAATGATCAGGGAAAACAATATATACATATATATTGTATACATATATATGTATTGCATTCGTAGATACTTAAAACAAAAGTGGACTTACCCTGTCTGTACTGGTCTGCAATATATATATATATATATATATATATATATATATATATATATATATAGTTTTAGTTTCTTCTTGCAACTTGTATTTTTACTTAACAGTCTATCTTGGGCATCTCTCCAGGTTCAATATAAACATCTGTATTTTTTTTATGCCTGCCTGGTATTCCATTTTGTGACTTCCATAATTTGAGTGCACCTTCTCTTATTGATGAACATTTACAGTTTTCCAAATTTTACAGTTATTAATAATCTGTGATAATCCTTACACATATGTTTTTTATGTTCTCATACTGTTATTTCTGAAGGACAGAATTTTAGAAGTGGGATTGCTGGGTCATTGGGTATGTGCATCTTAAATTCTAATAGCTGCTGCTAAATAGGCAGAAGCAATTTGAAGTCATGCCAGTATTATGTGAGAAGACCAGTTTCCATACATTTACCAATATGTATTTATCTGCATTTCTCCACGATCATTGTAGTAACTGTATCTTTATAACCTGCTGGTTTGTGTGGTGGTTTAAAATTTTTCCTCTTTTCTTTCTCTTTTTTTTGAGATGGAGTCTCACTCTGTCGCCCAGGCTAGAGTGCAGTGGTGCTATCTCGCTCGGCTCACTGCAACCTCCACCTCCTGGGTTCAAGGAATTCTCCTGCCTTAGCCTCCCAAGTAGCTGGGATTACAGGCATGTGCCACCATGCCTGGCTAATTTTTGTATTTTTAGTAGAGATGGGGTTTCGCCTTGTTGGCCAGGCTGCTCTCCTGACCTCAGGTGATCTGCCCACCTCAGCCTCACAAAGTGCTAGGATTACAGATGTGAGCCACTGCGCCCAGCCAAAATTTTTCCTCTTTTGAAAACTGTTACCAAAACAGACTTTTTATTAAACTAATATTATTTTGTGTATTTGTCAAATGTTACGGAATGAATAAATTAAGGTTTGCATATTACCTGTAGGTAGTTTCCATATTGTATCAAATTATCAAAGTTAATTAATCTTCAGTCATTTAAGAGATCAGGTAAAAAAATCTAGATTTTATAAACACTGAGATAAATTGTGAGCCAAATTTGGGGCTGTATCTTTTTTTTTTTTTTTTTTTTAAGACGGAGTCTCGCTCTTTTGCCAGGCTAGAGTGCAGTGGCACGATCTCGGCTTACTGCAACCTCCACCTCCCAGGTCCAAGCAATTCTCCTGCCTCAGCTTCCCGAGTAGCTGGGACTAAAGGCGCCCACCACCATGCCCGGCTAATTTTTGTATTTTTAGTAGAGGCAGGGTTTCACCATATTGGCAAGGATGGTCTCGATCACTTGACCTCATGATCCGCCCACCTCGGCCTCCCAAAGTGCTGGGATTACAGGTGAGAGCCACAGCGCCTCGCTGGGGCTGTATCTTATTGATCCTTTGCAAATGCTGTGTGCTGCTTCACTCTTAGGTTCTTTGTGTTGGAAAGTACTATCTCAAAATGTTTTAACATCAGGGAAGAATGTCATTCATCCTAATCATAGCACTAAGCGATTTTTATGTTCTGATTAAAGTTCTTAAAAAGGCAACTTGCTGCTATTTCCTGAAGGGTTCTGACTGTACAGAAAGATTCATATTAGATAAATACTTTAATTTGGATTGAGGAATTTTTCTTTTGGGAGAGGCTGAGCAGCTGTCTTCTAATTATTTTGGTCAAGGATTGAAAATCAGGCTGGTCTGAAGTCCAGCACTTAACTATACTCAGTTACTTGAATTTTGGATTCTGCCACAACCCTGTTACCCAAGCAAACCTATGATAAATTTAAGCTGAAATAATTTAAAGCTAGGCCAATATTTTCCCATCATTGAGGATATGGAAGATTCTAATCAAACATTCATCTTTAGACCTAGTAATTCTGGATGCTTAAGACCATAAAACATAACCTTTTGATTATTAGCATTTCCTTGAATTTGAAATGTAGTACAATTTCAGTAGTTGCTAATTTGAGAATGTGTAGGAAAAACTCATGCTTTGCATTGGCTTCTGCTTTAAACTGAGATCTTTTAGTCCTAGCTGCTTGTGAGATGATGTGCCTGTAGGAAGTGGAAACAAAAGGAGAAGAGTTTTCCCCCACAGTCAAATAGAGCATGACATGACTTGTTTGGCCAGAGGTGAGAATTAGGAAGATCCAAGGAATATCATGTACAAAAATGCTCTTGATCTTGGTCTCTTGTATAGCGTTACTTGCTTCAAAGCAAAACTTGGAGGAAAAGTTTCCTTTAGAACAGTAACCACAAGCATCACGTCTGCTTTTCAGCCATGTTTCTGTGTTGTGCTGTGGGGTTAACTAAATCCAAATTTTTGATACCATTTCAAAAGGGCACGCTGATTTAGCCTGTGTTAGACCAGTCTGACCTCAATTTCTCTGTCTTGAGGTGGTGAAACCAGCTTTCCTATTGGGCTAACTTGGATCAGCTGTGTGTTTCACAGTATCCTGCAAGCCTAAGCCAGGCAGAATTTCAGCTGTGTAAAGGCTTAGATTATGAAGTATCTATCTGTCTTTATAGAATATATTTTTTAAACCCTTTGAAGTAGAACTTCTAACACCATAATGAAAGCAAAGGATCAGTGTTTTCGAGGGATACTAGGGAAGGTCTGTGACAAAGACTTTTATTTTCCTTATATTTTATCAATCACTCAGGAAATTAGTTGGCAGTGGAAAATGGAACACAACTCTATCCCAATATAGTATGTCATCTAATTATGGTACTCTATCTCAGAATACCCCTTCTCAGTAAGACTGGTATGCCTCTGAGCTTTTTTTTTTTTTTTCTTTTTTGAGACAGGGGTTTCACTCCTGTTGCCCAGGCTGGAGTGCAGTGGCAAGATCTCAGCTCACTACAACCTCTGCATTCTGGCTCAAGTGATCTTCCCACCTCAGCCTCCTGTGTAGCTGGGACTACAGGCATGCACCACCATGCCTGGCTAATTGTCTCTGAGCTTTCGACTGCTACCTTTCTTATATTTGCTTAGGGTTTTCCCAAGATTCATAGGCCTCTTGTCTTTATGCATCTAATAGTATCATCTACTGCTACAACTTTAACCATCTTTTCAACACTGATGATTCTCCCTCTGCTCTGTCCTTTCAGTACTGCTTTTCTCCTGAACTCCAGACCCATATCTCTTGCTGCTTGCAAGCAGTTTATTCTGAATCCCCTTGACTCCACAACTGGTCCAGTATTTAACTCAGTTTCCCTAAATCCTCCCATATTACAGAAGTGAAGAAACCAACATGTGAAATTCAGTAGCTTGCCAAAGAGAGAGAACCTGGACTAGAAATCTGAGGCTTCTTTCCAGTCTAGTGTTCTCATCTGCTGGGCCAAAACTGCCTGTCGTTGGTAGAGGGAGAATATACCACTATTTTCCTCAATAGTAGTTGAGCCCCAACCTCAGTGTCACCTTTAGTTTTTCCCTTTCTTGTCTTTCCCCCTAGCCCCTAACTGCCCAATCCAATGAGTCCTTTTAACTCTACTCCCAAAATGTCTGTAAGTATTCATTCATATCCCCCTCCCTCATTTTATCTCCACTCTCATTGCCTTTTTTCTGGGTCTTACATTCTTTCTTTTTTAAAAAACTATTTTAATTTTAATTTTTTATTGAGACAGGGTCTCACTTTGTTACCCAGGCTGGTCTCCAACTCCTGCCTTCAGGCATTCCTCCCATGTTGGCCTCTGAAAGTGCTGGGATTACAGGTATGGGCCATTGCTCCTGGCCCTGGGTCTTACATTCTGAAGCATCTGTCACTATGTAATTAGAATATTTTCTAAAATCTTTTGAAAGGCTTGGACTATTGTAATCATTTCCTAAGTTTACATAAAGTCTGTAGTCACTCTTCCTCTCTCCACTCTACGTGCCACTGCTGGGGTAATTTGGCAGAGATTTAGCTTAGATAGTGTCACATGCTCAAAAATTTTATCTTTGTTGTCTATTAGTAAGTTCTAGTTTATTGAACTGCTACTGTCGATTGCTAACTCTCAAAAAAATCCTTCAGTTCACTGTCAGTATTTCCTTTTATGTTTAATATGTTTTTACTCTTTAGCGAGGTTTTATCTGTGGTGTGATCTTATATGACCTGGTTTTAAAAAGTGGGGATGAATTTGCTTTTTCTAGATGCTCTTGCCTGGGCCAATTTTTATGTTAATTCTTTGGTTTGGAGTGCCTGGAACATTCAGATATTATAATTGAAAGTATAATTTTGAAGCCCAAATCTATGTGGGTTGCAGGCCCAGGGTTCGTTCCGGTTCTTAAAAGAGACCTTTCTTCCTACCCGCTACAGCCCAAAAGCTTAGATACACTTTCTTCTCTGTTCCTTGGGCTGTTATGTGATTTTTTTTTTTTCCTAACTCTTTCCTTTCATTGAGGATGCATTGACTTTCCACTTTTAGCCTTAGTTCTAGTTCTCTACTGCCTGTAAGCTCAAGACCATTTTTATTATCACGTGGCAAATAAAACCCCGACTGGAAGTTATTGAAACTGTCTTCCCCCACCCCACCCTGCCGGCTGTAACCACTATTTCAGCTCATGTGCTCTACTGTGGTTTTCAGTTCCTTCTTTGATCCAAATACCCGGAGGTTGCCCATTCTTTCTTATGAGTTTAGCTATACACTTAAAATAATTTTTGGTATATTTTATGTAGCATTTCTAGGTCTTTATCTGGAAAATGTTTAGGTTATCTTAAGTATCCATCTTGCCTAAAATGGAAGTTCATCGGCTTTAAGTGCAGATACCCTATGTAGCTTTTCTTTCTTTTTTTTTTTTCAGATGGAGTTTTGCTGTGTTGCCCAGGCTGGAGTGCAGTGGCACAATCTCAGCTCAGTGCAACCTCCACCTCCTGAGTTCAAGCGATTTTCCTGCCTCAGCTTCCTAAGTAGCTGGGACTACAAATGAGTACCTGCACGCCTGTCTAATTTTTGTATTTTTAGTAGAGACAGGGTTCCACCATGTTGCCCAGGCTGGTCTCAAACTCCTGGGCTCAAGTGATATGCCCATCTCGGCCTCCCAAAGTGCTTAGATTACAGGCATGAGCCACTACGCCCAGCAATCCCTTTACCTTTAAAAAAATAAATAAATAAACCTTTAATTTTAAGAGGTTGTATACTCATGTGTAGTCATATAAACTAGTGCAGAGATTCCTTGTTCCTTTGACCCAGTTTCCCCCTATGGTACCATCTTATAATATTACAACTGGGATATTTACATTGACAGATATAGTCAAGATACAGAACATTTTCATATCTGCTAAGATTCCTCATGTTCTCTATAGCTACATACACTTTCCTCCTGCCCTCACCCCCTCCTTAACCTCTGGTAATCACTAATCTAGAGATTTCCTTTTTGGGAGTTTTTAAATGACAAATTGTTTCCTTAATAGTTACAGGGCTCTTTCATATTGAGTGTCTTGTGGTTTGTCTTTTTTGAGGAATTAGTCTATGTTGCCAAATTTATTTGGGTAGAATTCTGCATAATATTCTCTTATCCTTTTGATACTTGTAGTGATATCCCATTTCATTACCTCCGATATTGGTAATTTGTGCCTTCTCTCTCTCTCTCTTTTTTTTTTGGTCAGTCTTGCTAGACGTTTGTCGATTTTATTGATCTGTTCAAAGAACCAGCTCTGTTTCATTGATCTTTCCCTTTATGTTTTCAATTTCATTTACTTCTATAATTATTTCCTTGCTTCTGCTTGGTTTGCCTATATATTGCTCTTTTTTTTTACTAGATTCTTGAAGTTGGAGCTTAGATTATTGATTTGAGACTTTTCCTCTTTACACTGTATGTATTTCTTACTACACATTTCCCTCACACTGCTTTAGCTATATTCAACAATTTTTGATACATGTATGATTTTATTCCGTTCATTATTTTTTTAATTCCCTTGAGACTTTCTTTTTGACCCATGCATTATTTAGAAGTGTATTGTTCCATTTCCAAGTTTTCAGAGAGTTTTCTGTTGTCTTTCTGTTGTTGCTTTCTAGTTTGATCATGTTGCTGGTGAACACATTCTTTGTGATTTCAACTCTTTTAAATTTGTTGATATTAATTTTATGGGCCAGGATGTGGTCTGTCTTGTATATTCTGTGGACACTTGGAAAGACCAGTATCTTTGTTTTTACCCCAATATCTTTTAAATAAATTCCTTTTTTGTCGGCCAGTCAGTGTCTGTGTCTTGCACTAAACTCTAACTACTACCCCTTTGCAACTGCATTTGTTTAATAGCCTTTATTGTAGCACTAACTATCCCATACTCCCTCATCGTCAGTTTTACACCTTAGTCTCCATCACTACGCTGTGAGCTTGAAGGCGTAGATTTTGTCTTTTTTGTATGTGTCCAGCCTGGTACGTGGCAAATAATTTATAGTATTTGATTAAGGAGTAAATGAATAGCTTTTATTAATGATCACCATTTTTTAAAACTTTGATCTGTGGAAATTTAGTTCTTATCCTTTTAGTTTTGCATATTTTGTCAGTTTTCATCTTAAAAGCAGGGTGGTTTTGGTTTCATAGCTTGTGTTCAGCAAGTAGCTGACCCCAAAAACAGACTGTAAATGTCTGTTATATGATTGGAATGACATTTTATTTCAGCTTAATCATGCCATAGTTCAAGCAGAGACGTGAGATGCTCCTTACTCATTCCACAAGACCTATTTTGCAATTCCTGCTATTTCCTTTATTTCAGGTTGACTTGTCCTCTAGTTGTAGAAGTGTTGTTTCCATAGCAATGCAGCTTACAACGCACATCCCTGTCAGAGTGCACAGAAACCCTGCTGTGTTGCCTGGAAGCCTTGTTTTCCAGTCAGAAAGGAAGCACATGGTATTCCCTCAGCCTTTCCTGCACTTAACTTTGGCTTGCCTTGTGGATAACAAGAAACTCTTGGTTGTTTTCTACCATAGATGCTGGGTTAAAATGTATCTAAGGGATTTTGATGTATAATGTGCCCTGTTACTACAGTGTTCAGGCTGTGGCTGGTGACTGCTAGCGAAGTTGCTGCGTGAAATAGATGTAGGGGACGTTACAGGAATGTGAGCTAAACAGTCTGCCACTCAGCATGAAATTCTATTTATTGCTAAAGCAGTTTGGGGCAACTGCATGTTTGTTGCTTTGGATGATTTTCTTTTGGTTTTTACTGCCTATGAGAACACAATAGAACTGAGTGAACCTCGAGAAGTGGAGAAGCAAACTGTTGGCCTTTCTGAGTGGTTTCCCTGACCTTCAACTAGGAGCATATTTAGTGACTTCATGTTTTTCTTCCTTTGGAACTAAATTGACTAGATTGTACTTGAACACAAGGAGTCTTTTTCATATCTTCTCTCACATTTAGTTTCTTCTTTGCCACCTTTTTCTTTTCTTTATTTCTTTTGTTACTTCAGCTGGAAAGCTTGTTATATGGACATTCATTGGAAATATTCAAGAAAGAGTTGAGTTATAAATAGAGCAGGATTTCAGAGAGACAAGGATATCATCTTAATTGTGATTGGTCAATAAATTGAAGAGATTTGTGTGGACTCACACCAATATAGTGGTAGAAGAATGATGGAGAGCATTTTAATGATAATTATACTCCACACTTCAATATTTTCTCAGTCTTCATGTATTCATCTATTCATCATGTATCAAACAGCATTCATTAAGTACTGCTTTTTGGTTCCCATAGCATTTGACTTTTATGGCAGGAGGTAGGTTCATTATCACAGGGGCCTTAAGTGTTCAATTTAATGAGTTTTCACAATTGAATACATCCATATAACTGATACAGGGCACAGCCAAGCCCCCAGTTGGGGCTTAGCCCTGGAGGGTCTTGGCTTTGCTCAGGAAGTAATTCAAGAGCTAGCTGGTGGTAGAAGAAAACAGCTTTATTGAAGCGGCAGTGTTAACAGCTCCTTGACTGCTCCTGCAGAGCAGGGTTACCGCATAGGCATTGTGCTGAGAGTAGCAGCTCAGGGCAGTTCTGCAGTCATATTTATATCTACTTTTAATTACATGCAGATTAAGGGGCAGTTTATGCAGAAATTTCTAGGAAAAGGGTAATAACTTCTGGATCGTCAGGTCATTGCTCTGGGAAGGGGCGGTAACTCTCAGGTGTTGTCATACCAATGGTAAACTGACATAGCACACTGGTGGGTGTGTCTTACAGAAAGCCGCTTCTGCCCCATACCTGTTTTAGCTAGTCATCAATTTGGTTTGGTATCCAAGCCCTGCCTCTGGAATCCTGTCCTGCCTACTACTTCATAGCCACTATCCAAGATAAGGTATAGTATGATTCCGTCACTCCAGAAAGTTCCCTCATGCCCCTTTCCAGTTGCTTTTGCCCTATGCTCTTTGCCCCAGGCAACTACTGATTTTTATCATGATAGATTAGTTTTGCTTTTCCAGAACGTCATGGAAATCAAAGCATACATTTTTTAAATTTTTGTGCCTGGATTCTTTTACCTACAGTGAAAGAACATGTATTTGAGACTTATCATGTTGCTGTGTATATCAGTGGTTCATTGCTTTTTATAAATTGTTCATATATACCACAGTTTATCCATCTATCCTGCTGATAAACGTATGGGTTATTTCCAAATCTTTTTGAAGACATATGTTTTTATTTATCTTGGGTACCTAAATACCTAGGAATGGAATTGCTAGGTCATGGAGTAGATGTGTGCTTAATGTTTTTGTTTTGGTTTTGATTTGGTTTTTCTGAGACAGGGTCTTGCTCTGTCACTCAGGCTGGAATGCAATGGCATAATCACAGCTCACTGCAGCCTTGAACTCTGTGGCTCAAGAGATCTTCCCACCTCAGCCTCTCGAGTAGCTGGGACTACAGGTGCACACCACTATGTCTGGCTAATTTTTAATTTTTTTGTAGAGATGGGGTCTCCCCATGTTGCAGGCTGGTCTCAAACTCCTAGGCTCAAGCAGTCCTCCTGCTGCAGCCTCCCAAACTGCAAGGATTATAGGCATGAGCCACAACGCTCAGTCTTAATGTTATAAGAAACTGCCAAACAGTTCCTCAAGATGGTTGTACCATTTTATATTTTGCCAGTGATGTATGAGGGTTCTACTTGGTCCATACGTATCCTTGTTCACATGTGATGTTGTCAGTCTTTTTTTTTTTTTTTGAGATGGAGTCTCGCTCTGTCGCCCAGGCTGGAGCACAGTGGCATGATCTCAGCTCACTGCAACCTCCACCTCTGGGGTTTAAACGATTCTCCTGTCTCAGCCTTGGAGTAGCTGGGACTACAGGTGGATGCCACCACACCTGGCTAATTTTTGTATTTTTTGTGGAGATGGGGTTTCATCATATTAGTCAGAGTGGTCTTGAACTCCTGACCTGAGGTGATCCACCCGCCTCGGCCTCCCAAAGTGCTGGGATTACAGGCATGAGCCACCGCGCCCAGCCTTGTCAGTCTTTTTTATTTGGGTAAGTGTGAAATGGTATCTCCTCTGATTTTAGTTTGCATTGCTCTGAAAACTAATAATAATGACATCTTTTCATGTGTAAAGTGACTCTTCCAATCTTACCCATTTTTATTGGGTTGTTTTATTCTGTTATTGGTTTATAGGAGTTCTTCTTATATTCTGAATATAGATAGTTTGTCAGATGTAAATGCTAAGAATTTTTCTTAGTGTTTGTCTTGCTTATTCATTTTTTTGGTGGTGTGTTTAGATGAGCAGAGTTTTTAATTTTGATATTCAGTTCGTCTTTTACAGTTAGTGCTTTTTGTGTCCTAAGAAATCTGCCTATAAGGTTGAGAAGATTTTGCCTTTTTTTAATGGTCCTGGCTTTTATGTTTAGGTTTTTTTTGTACCTTGAATTAATTTTCATATATGGACACATTTAGGTTTTTTTTTTAGAAACATAGAAGCAATATATGCGTGTTCTTCTAAAAATTCAAGCAACACAGAGATATAGAAGACAAAATGAAAGTTAATAATTTGGTGGGGTTTTTGTAAGGTCTCCACTGTTCAGTAGAGTAGTCACTAGCTATATGTGGCTGTTGAACACTTGAAATGCCACCAGTCTGAATTGAGATGTGCTATAGGTATAAATACACACTAAATTTTGAAGAATTAGTAAGAAAAAATAAGCAGTCAATTTTTATTTCAGTTCCATTGTTGAAACAGTAACATTTCTGACATATTGGGTTAAATGTATTAAAAACAATTTCAGTTGTTTCTTTTTATATTTAATAGGGCTAAAATATGTTTTTAAACTAGGTATGTGGTTCCCATTTTATTTCTGTGTGTTTTTTTTTTAAGAGATGGGGTCTCACTATGTTGCCCAGGCTGGTCTCAAACTCCGGGGATCAACTGATCCTCCCTTCTCAGCCTCCCAAAGTGCTGGGACTACAGGTGTGAGCCACTATGCCCCGCCCATTTTATTTCTATTTGACAGCTCTGTCCTAGACCTTTCCCTAAGCATTTAGTAATCTATGTATATGAATGTGTATCTGTATGAGATACTTTTCTGTTCACATATAAGTGTTTTTTATTTATATAAATGGAGTAATCTAAGCCTATTTTCCTGAAGTTTGTATTTTTTGCTTGAAAATACAAAAATACATATACTAACATATTTCATCTTATTGCCTATACATTTATCTGATTCTTGTTAATGGCTAGTATAGTGTTCTACTTTGAATATTCTATAATTTATTTTATTTTATTTTATTTTGAGACAGTCTCGGGAGTGCAGTGGCGCGATCTCGGTTCATTGCAACCTCCACCTCCAGGGTTCAAGTGATTCTCATGTCTCAGCCTCCCAAGTAGCTGGGACTATAGGCACCCACCACCACGCCTGGCTGATGTTTGTATTTTTAGTAGAGATGGGATTTCGTCATGTTGGCCAGGCTTGTCTTGAACTCCTTACCTCAGGTGATCCACCTGGTTTGGCCTCCCAAAGTGCTGGGATTACAGGTGTGAGCCACCGTGCCTGGCCAGTTCTATAATTTTCAAAACTAACTCCCTATACAGACATTTAGGTTTTTTATCATTTTCTTTCTGAGAAACAGTATGTTTGTAAAGATTGCCTCATGTTTAGAAAGATGATACAATTCCTACCAGAATTTTTTTCTCAAATGGAAATGCTTATTACAATTAGGATTAGTAAATTGTGTAGAGGAAGTCAAGGCTTCCCTTGTAAAGGACAAAATGGCTTCGTATCTAGAGCAGAATACAGTCTTGTAGCCAGGAGTTTCAGACCAGCCAGGGCAACATAGGGAGACCCCGTTCATACCAAAATAAATAAATAAAAATAAAAAGAATACAGTCTTTAGGGAAGCAAACCCTTTGAATACAGTGTGTATCTCTAGCTGAAATTCAAACTGTGCCTCTCTTTTGTTCATGATTAGTTACACAGTGAGTTTAGGTAGAATGGGGGGTGGGCAGGGGTCACAGAGAAAAAGAATCCAGCGTTGTGTATCTTATCTTAGCGACATTTATATTACCCACCATGTGAAAGTTCTTTTGAGAAGCTTCCCTCTCCTCCAGTTATTTTCTTTTTTAGTACAAAACAACCTTTTTAATATTTATAAAACTTGGTATAAGGCCAGTCATTTTGTGGGAAGAAAGTCCAATACGATAATGAATCTATGAGCATTAGCAAGAATGAATGAGATGAGATTATTTAAATATACTTTGGCTAATTTAACATCTGTGTGTGTAAGTGTTGAAATGGGTCACCATGTTATTTCCAAAAACGTGGCTTGGGAATTATGCCTTCTTTTCACTTAGCACATGTAACTGGATAAACCGAGACTTAAGTAGCTTTTAGGGGAAGGAGGGAAAGTAGACAGATGGGAGTAGCTGCTCCAGCATAGGTGTGTCAAGCAAATTGTCACCCTTTTATCTCTGGGCCAGAGTTGTTTCAGTTCCTGCATCAGGAATCAAGTGTATGATCTGCTTCCATGCCGGGGAACTCCTTTAAAACAACAAGATGTTGAATTTTTTTCTTTTACAGTTGATAAAGTTAATTTCCCTTTTCAGTTAGCAGTTTGCCTTTAGAATTTTGGAACTAAAATATTCCTTGCTAAGGCTTTTATTTTCTCCTCCCTCACATGTACTCTGGGTTATTTAGGATTTAAATTAGACATTTAAAGGGTATGTATTTGTGTGTGCGTGCATTTTCTTTTAACTGTGAGTGACAGCAATACCAGGAGAAAAGTTAATACTCCATCTTGCCAAAAGATGATGGTTTTATTTTTCTCTCATGAAACAAAACCTGGGAGGAAGAGTTGAATGAACTTTGCAAACAGTTGAGCAAGTAGATTGGCTTCCAGACTAAACCCTGGATTGAGGTACAGCTAGAATAACTCACTTAGGTTTTCTGTTTATTCTTTCAGGAAGAAGAAATTTGATGCCTAGAGATTGATCTGCTTTTTGTTTTTAAGTTCTAGTTCTGGTTCGATTTCAGAACCAGTCTGCAGGCAACTCTGCATTGTCTCCTTAGAGAACTGGACAATTCCACTGATCTGGATCCTTTGGCAGCAAGCTGACATTTTATTGAGGCTGGTCAGCACTCCTGGCCAGAGTCTTGAAATTGTGGGTGTGTTTTTGCTGCCCATTGTTGAGTTATTCATGAACAGATATGAAAACCATATATATCCGAATTTTGTTACCACTAGATGTGATGAGTTTTTCTTTTTGATTATTTGGGGATTCTTAGTTCTCTGTCAAACTCTTCAGATTAAAACCCTTCTTATAGCTATTACTTTGGACTTCTTATATTTTACAGTATAGGGAAGAGAAAGCTGTCATGGTTATTGCTGGCTCCTTTTTTAGAAATAGGTAGAGTATTATATATGCTTTTGACTTGAACAGGATTGCCTGGTGCAAATAATAGTTTTACTTAATTCTTTTAGCTGTAAAATAGGGATCATAATTCCTACTTCATAGAGCTGTTTTGAGAATGAAATGAGATAAGGTGTCACTACAGTTCCTGGCACAGAAGGACTCAATGAAAATTAGTAGTTTTTCCCTTTTCCCTATTTTAAATAACAAGGTTGATCTTCACTTACTAGTTCGTATTAGGACAAGGAAATTATAAAATCATCAAGGAAACAGTAGACTTAACAAATAAATGAAACTTAAAACTATTAAAAACGTATATAGATTTAATCAACATTTTCATCCTCTTCCTACTAAATGAAACCTTTGAGTTGGAGGAGAATACACCAAGACTGAAATTCACTTACTTTTCTTTCCTCTGATTATTCTAATATGTAACAAAACACTTGAGAGGTTCTCAGAAAAGACCAAGAGATTCTTCCTATGAATGTTAGGCTATAGTAATATTTTTATGTACTAAAATATATAAACCTGTTTTTAGAAAAGAGCCTGAATTAGCAGAACAGGAATTTCCCAACTACAAAGGAAGCTTAACCAAAACGCTTAAGGTTAGTTTTTAAAAAACATTTGAATATATAAGAACTTTGTTCAGTTTTTTTAACCTCGCCCCCCATTCAGGTTTCTTAATCTGCTTTGACATCACTATTTTAATCTCCACAGTTTTATTTACTTAAGACATTAGCCAGTGTTTAATCATCTTTAGAGAGAGATATATAATTATGAAATTGTATCATATTATGTTGACATTACTTAAAATGTTTTAACTTGTATTTGTCCTAGGGGACTTTTGGCAGTGTCTAGAGACATTTCTGGTTGTATAACCTGGGCAAGGCAGGGGATGCTACTGGCATTTAGAGGGTAAAAAGTTTGAGATGCTGCTAAACATCCTGCGGTACAAAGGACAGCTCGAAACAAAGAATTGGCTTATTCAAAATGTTAGTAGTTCCCAAGTTAAGAAACCCTGCGGAACACTACAGTGAAGTCCACATGAACATGTGATAGTTTGTTTTTTACAATTCTGGAATTGGCTTTTTTCTGCACTTGGCACAGTATATGCTCATATAGGGCATATTTGATAAATGAATAAACTAACAAAGTGAGATAGATCCCAACCTGAATTTTGTAGTAAGCAAGTCCTTTTGCAAGTGAGTTGATTTCTGCAAATGGATCTTTAAGTTTTTTTTAATTCTTTTTTTAAATTTTTGAGACAGTCTTGCTCTGTCACCCAGGCTGGAGTGCAGTGGTATGATCTTGGCTCATTGCAGCCTCTGCCTGCTGGGTTCAAGCGATTCTTGTGCCTCAGCTTCCCAAGTAGCTGGGATTACAGGCACATGCCACCACACCAGCTAATTTTTGTATGTTTAGTAGAGACGGGGTTTTGCCATGTTGGCCAGAATGGTCTGGAACTCCTGACCTCAGGTGATCCGCCCTCCTCAGCCTCCTAAAGTGCTGGGATTACAGGCGTCAGCTACTGCACCCTGCCACACATTATTATTATTATTATTTTATTATACTTTAAGTTCTAGGGTACATGTGCACAACGTGCAGGTTTGTTACATATGTATACATGTGCCATGTTGGTGTGCTGCACCCATCAACTCATCATTTACATTAGGTATATCTCCTAATGCTATTCCTCCCTCCACATTATTTTTAAAATAGAAAAAATTTGGCCGAGCGTGGTGGCTCACGTTGGTAATCCCAGCACTTTGGGAGGCCAAGGTCAGTGGATCACCTGAGGTCAGGAGTTCGAGACCAGCCTGGCCAACATGGCGAAACCCCATCTCTACTAAAAATACAAAAATTAGCTGGGTGTGGTGGCAGGCACCTGTAATCCCAGTTACTTGGGAGGCCAAGGCAGGAGAATCACTTGAACCTGGGAGGCAGAGGTTGCAGTGAGCCAAGATTACACCATTGCACTCCAGCCTGGGCAACAAGAGCGAAACTCTGCCTCAAAAAAAAAAAAGTAATAAATAATAGAAAAAATTCAAGGCCAGGCATGGTGGCTCACGCCTGTAATCCCAACACTTTGAGAGCCGAGGTGGGCAGATCACTTGAGGTAAGGAGTTTGAGACCAGCCTGGACGACATGGTGAAACCCTGTCTCTACTAAAAATAATAATAATAATAATACAAAAATTAGCTGAGCTTGGTGGTGCAGGCCTGTAGTTCCAGCCACTGGGGAGGCTGTGGCATGAGAATCGCTTGAACGTGAACCTGGGAGGCGGAGGTTTTAGTGAGCCAAGATCGCTTCACTGCACTCCAGCCTGGGTGACACAGTGAGACTCTGTCTCATAAACAAATAAATACAGTAAGTAAGTAAGTAAAGTGTTGGTCAAACAAAAGGAGGCCAGTTTGGAAACTCTGGTTCCTTAACCTGCTGTTGAGACTCTGAGCACTAGAGAATAATCTGGTCTTACTTAGTTTTCTTTGTTTCTGGTAGACAGATTTGCAAATTGCTTTTCCAGTTTCATCAGAAGAAACAAGTGTGGACACATACGTCTCTGTCAATACACTGTTTAGATTATTGGAGAATAAATAGGCAACCTACTGCGAAGCCATGTGTCTAAATGTATATAATAGTTAAAGCAGAAGCCTGCATCTAGCTAGAATTCTGTATAGCAGTGTGCGGGTTTTTTGGCTTTTTGTTTTTTTGTGGGTTGTTTTGTTTTTGTTTTTTTTGAAGCGAACTTTTGCTATATTGCTAAGGCTAGTCTTGAACTCCTGGGCTCAAGCAATACTGCCTTGACCTCCTAAAGTGCTTGGATTACAGGCATGAGCTACTGCGCCTGGCCTGCAATATGTATTTTAAGCTACTTTTTTTATTATTCCCTAAATAAAAATAATTTCTCCTATGCCTGACGAAATCAGTCTTATTTACGTTCAAAAACTATACTGAGGAGAGGAGGACTGTATTTACTTTGGACTTTTGAGCAACTCATTTACACATATTACACTTACATTTCTGATGTGCCTATTTTTAACCAAACCTTGAATTTGATACATTAGCTGATTGGCCACATAAATGTTTTGGTCTTCATAAAGCAAGACATGTTTGTGCAAGTATTGGAATATTTTATTCCATTTTATCCTTACTTTCTTTAAGTTATTGAAAAATGTAAAAAGGAAAGTACTGATACCCACAATGAAAATGTGTAAGTATCAGACTCCTTAAAAAAAAACAAACAAACAACTTTTTATTATGAAAAATTGCAGCAGCCTGGGCACATGGCGAAACTCCATCTCTACAAAAAATGCACAGATTAGCTGGGCGTAGTGGCACGTGCCTGTAGTACTCAGAATGCTGAAGTGGGAGGATTGCGTGAGCCTAGGAGGTTGAGGCTGACAGAGTGAGACCCTGTCTAAAAAAAAAAAAGAAAGAAAATATCAGACCTACACACAAAAGTAAAGTGTAAGGTATAATGAATCCCTGTACCCATCACTAAACTTCAACAGTTATCAATATTTTGCCAATCTTTTATATTAAATCCTTTATATGTGTTATCAAGTTGAATACTCAAATCTTTGCGGGTAGACATTACTATACCCCTTTTATTTTTTATTGTGGAAAATTTCATACAGTAGAGAGACTAGCATAATGAATCTCTCCATGTGCATGTAACCAATCTTCAGTACTTAACACATGTCCCATTTTACATCATCTATGATAGCTCTCCATCCACTCCACCACCAAAACCTCCACTGAATATTTTGAAGCAAAACTTTAACGTGCTGTGATTTTAGCTGTAAATATTTAAGTGTATATCTCTTAAAAGTATTCTTTTAAAAGCAATTACCATTATTACATCTAAAAATAATAATAATTTCTTGATATCCAGTATTTAGTCAGTGTTCATATTTCCTTAATTGTATCGTAAGTTTTTTGTTGTAGCTACTTTCCTTGAGTCAGGATGTAAACAAGGTCCACATATTCCATTTGACCGTTAAATCTTTTTGTTTTATTTGTTTGAGATGGAGTCTTCTCTGTGGCCAGAGGGCACGGTGCGATCTTGGCTCACCGCAACCTCTGCCTCCCGTGTTCAAGCGATTCTTCTGCCTCAGCCCTTGAGTAGCTGGGATTACAGGTGTCCACCACCACATCCAGTTAATTTTTGTATTTTTAGTAGAGGCAGAGTTTCACCATGTTGGCTGGGCTGGTCTCGAACTCCTGACCTCAAGTGATCCACCTGCCTCGGCCTCCCAAAGTGCTGGAATTACAGGCGTGAGCCACCATATCCGGTCTGGCTGTTAAGTTTTTTTTTTTTTTTTTTTGAGATGGAGTGTCACTCTGTCGCCCAGGCTGGAGTACAATGGCAGGATCTTGGCTCACGGCAACCTCTGCCTCCGGGGTTCAAGTGATTCTCCTGCCTCAGCCTCCTGAGTAGCTGGGATTTCAGGCTCCTGCCACCACGACCGGCTAATTTTTGTATTTTTAGTAGAGATGGGGTTTCACCATGTTGGCCAAGCTGGTCTTGAACTCCTATCCTCAGGTGATCTGCCCACCTCGACCTCCCACAGTGTTGGGATTACAGATGGGAGCCACTGCACCCAGCCGACTGTTAAGTCTTTTAAGTCTCATTTTATCTCTCCCACCCTGCCCCCTTATCCCTAGCAATTTTTTTTTTTTTTTTTTTAGTTCTGGAGTACATGTGCAGAATGTGCAGGTTTGTTACATAGGTACATGTGTGCCATAGTGGTTTGCTGCACCTGTCAACCCATCCACCACCTAGGTATTAAACCCAGCACGCATTAGCTATTTTTCCTAATACTCTCCCTAAATTTTTCTATTGTTTTAAACAGGTTTTTGGGTGGTGGTGGGGATTTATCATACCATAAAATTCATCCAAATACAAATGTATAGTTTAATAATTTGTAGTAATTTTTTTTTTTTTTTTTTTTTGAGATGGAGTCTCGTTCCTGTCACTCAGGCTGGAATGCAGTGGCGCCATCTCGGCTCGCTGCAACCTCTGTCTCCCAGGTTCAAGTAGTTCCCCTTCCTCAGCCTCCCAGGTAGCTGGGATTACAGGTGCCTGCCACCACACCCAGCTAATTTTTGTATTTTTAGTAGAGACAGGGTTTTGCCATGTTGGCCAGGCTGGTCTTGAACTCCTGACCTCACGTGATCCACCCACCTTGGCCTCCCAAAGTGCTAGGATTACAGGTGTGAGCCACCACACCCGGCCTATAGTAAATTTTTTAAAGTGGTAACTTTCATTGTGTACAATTTCATTTTAGAACACTTCCATCACCCAAAAAGTTTCCTTCTGCCCATTTGCAGTCAATTCCTGCTCCCATCTTCAGCCCCAGAAGATGGGAGCCCTCCAGACAACCACTGATCTGCTTTCTGTCTCCGTAGATTTGCCTTGTCTGGAAATTTCACTACATAGTCTTTCAGTATCTATCTCCCTATAACGGTTTTTTTGTTTGTTTGTTTTTGAGACAGAGTCGCACTCACTCTATCCACTCCAGGTTAGAGTACAGTGGCACGATCTCGGCTCACTGCAACCTCCGCCTCCCATGTTCAAGCGATTCTCTTGCTTCAGCCTCCCCAGTAGCTGGGATTACAGGCGTGTGCCACCACACCCGGCTGATTTTTGCATTTTTGGTAGAGACAGGGTTTCACCATGTTGGCCAGGCTGATACTGAGCTGCCTGCCTCAGCCTCCCAAAGTGCTGAAATTATAGGTGTGAGCCACTGTGCCTGGCCTCGCTATAAGGTGTTTTTGAAGTTCATCCAAAAATGAATGAATGAGGATCTTTGGGGAACTCACCAATTTCCCATTTGTTAGTGCTGAGCAGTTCTGGACAACTGCCAGAAAACAAATGTTTTCTTGTGTAGTATATATCAATAATTCATTGCTTTTTATTGCTAAAAAATATTGTACTTTATAGCTATACCACATTATACTTATCCCATTCATCAGTTGATGGACATTGTGTTGTTTTTACTTTTTGGCTTTTTAAATAATGCTGCTATGAACATTTTGTGTACAGGTCTTTATGTGGACATGTTTTCATTTTCTAGGATTGATACCTAGGAGTGAAATATGCTGGCTGGTAAATTATTTTCAAAGAAATTTTAAGGAATTGTTCATTGTTTTCCAAAGTGGTCACACCATTTTACATTCCTACCAGCAGTGCATGAGGGTTCGCTTTGTCCACTTCCTCATGAACAGC
This sequence comes from Homo sapiens, assembly GCF_000001405.40. Lineage (NCBI taxonomy): Eukaryota > Metazoa > Chordata > Mammalia > Primates > Hominidae > Homo > Homo sapiens. The sequence continues at coordinate 75,365,888 of NC_000016.10, read as the reverse complement.
TGGTAGTGTTGGCCTTTTTGATCTAGCAGATGGGTAGTGGTACTTCATTGTATTTAATTTGCATTCCTTTAATGCCTAATGATGTTGAGTATCTTTTCATGTACTTACTGGCTATTTGTATATCTTCTCTGATGAATTATGAGTTGTATGTCTTCTTTGGTTTTTTGTTTGTTTTTTTGAGACAGGGTTTCACTGTATTGCCCAAGCTGGAGTATAGTGAGGCACAGCGGCCTCAAGTGATCCTCCTGGCCTCAAGTGATCCTCCCACCCTAGCCTCCTGAGTAGCTAGTGCTACAAGCACTGGCTACTATGCCTGACTGTGTATCTTATTGAGTTGGGGCTTCCTCCCTCACTTTCCAGCTGTTCTGACAGCCAGACTTAGTACTGTCTCCATAACCCATGGAGAAGCATCTTTCTGCTTAAGTTTTAGTCCGTCTGTGCCACAGAGACTGACTAATCTCACACAGTCAGTCCCCTTCTCTCAAAGGTTGAATCCACTCCAATTTCTGCCTGGCTTTGGTTGCTCTCCAGTGCCTTCAAATAGGCAAGAGTTTTCTATGTATTGGCCAGAGTATATAGTTGTTATCTGTCTGAGGGAGGGTTAGTCCCAAAAAGCTGCTTTATTACTATGTTATTCCATTTAATAATAGCTTCTTTTTTGACTTAACACAGATGTATTTAACCTTGCCATTCAACTTCAGTTATCACATAAAATTTATAATTACTTTCTGATTTGTAAGCTGTTTATGGGCTTAGAGTAACTCCACATATTAATATACCAAATATTTAAGATGCTATGGAAAAACAACTAGCCAGTCACCATGGTGAAATTCGTGTCGTGTTGATAGCCAAATAATCCACAACACATTATAGTCACAAATAAGTAACTTGGTTTCCTTCTCAGCACCCATCTATTTAAAATACACTAAAAAACATCCACCAGAATGATGCAGTTAATGGCCAGTGTTTAGCACTTGACATACATTTATAAATGTTTAGTGGTTCTCAAACTCTTTGGTCTGAGGACTTCTTTATATCCATATCAATGATTGAAGACTCCAAAGAGCCCTTAATACCTATTGATATTTACAGTAGTAGAAATTAAAACTGAGAAATTTAAAACATTAACTTATTTTCAAATAACAGTGGTAAACTCATTACATGTTAACATAAGTAGCATATTTTTGTGAAAAATAAGTATATTTTCCAATACAAAAAAATGTTGTGAGAAGAGTGGCATTGTTTTACATTTTTACAAATCTTTTAAATATCTGTCTTCATTGAAGATAGCTGACTCTGCATCTTCTTCACACATTCCATTAGCTGTCAGAGCAATAACACCGTCACCCACCATGTAGCCTCTGGAAAAATCCACTTGTGACAGAATACAAGAGAAGAAGGCAAATAATGTCTTCGTGTTGTCATGAAAATAGCTTTAACCTTTTCAGCTCCCTGAAAAAAATCTCCCATCTCTCTGGGGTCCCTGAACCACACTGAGAACTGCAGGTTTAATATATCTCTGGAAGGATACTCAGGCAGCTAAGAACAGTGTTGGTCTTGGGGAAAGGGGAATTTGGTAGCTAAAAGACAGCAAAGGGTAGAATGGAGGCTTATTTTAAAATACCTTTTGAGTATTTTACTTGGTACATTAATACCATTTTTTTAAAAAGTGAATTGTTAAATAAAGCCCTTATTTTCTTTCTGGCAGAAAGGTGCTTAAAGTAATAGTTTTTTTTGTTTGTTTGTTTGTTTTGTTTTGTTTTGTTTTTTTAATTTCACTTTAAACACATAGATCTAGAGGGGAGAAGTACCTCAGAGGACACATCTCCAATCTAAATTAGGTTCCCACTAGTATGAACCTTCACAGCCCCTAATTCTTTTCTGTAGCACTTACCTCAATTTGTAATTGCATGGCTGTGTGTGTGTGTGTGTGTGTGTGTGTGTGTTTCACCTCTTTTCTCCCCCACTAGACTATTAACTTCCTGAGGGCGTGAATCAAATCTGTTTTGCTCGCTTGTCTCAGTTCAGTACTTGGTTCATAATAGTTTGTTAGTAAATATTTATTGAATGAATGAATGAGGATCTTTGGGAAACTCCTATCAATTTCCTATGTCAGTGCTGACCAGTTCTGGACAGTTGCCAGAAGACAGTTCTTGACCAAACACCTTTTTTTGCATAGATAAAATGCTTCTTGGCTGGACATGGTGGCTCACACCTGTAATCGCAGCACTTTGGGAAGCCAAGGTGGGTGGCTCATTTGAGGTCAGGTGTTTGAGATCAGCCTGACCAACATGGTGAAACCCTGACTCTACTAAAAATACAAAAATTAGCTGGGTGTGATGGCGGGCACCTATAATCCCAGCTACTCGGGAGGCTGAGGCAGGAGAATCCCTTGAACCCAGGAGGCAGAGGTTGCAGTGAGCTGAGATTGCGCCACTGCACTCCAGCCTGGGCGACAGAGCGAGACACCATCTCATGGAAAAAAAAAAAAAAGGTAAAGTGCTTCCTGCATTTGTTCTCATTCCTCATAGATTGTGCACTAGATGAGCAGTAAGTATTAACAATCCATTTAGGAGTGTCACAAGAGGGGATGGCAAAAATTTTTTTTTTTTTTTTTGGTGCTCAGACTTTCATACATTAAGTCTTTTTACTATTTCAAAGATTTCTTTGTCATTCTTTGGTTGTTACATTTTTCTATAGAAAAACAAAATAGCATTTTTTTTTAAAGACCATGTTGGATTTGTCAAACCTGACTCCAGTGCCAGAGTAAAGAGCGTTGTACTAACTTAACGCTTGTGTCTGAATGAAGTTGGCCAAATGCTTACATATGTTTCCTGGTGGTGATTCTTTCAGTATTCTCAGTTCACATGCCACTGGGTCATCAGAAGACAAGTATCTGGATTTCAGAGCCAACAGTTTGCTTTTATTTAAGCTGCAAGACCCTCCATTGCCATAAGATCTGCCACTGCCATAATAACAAAACCTCAGCTGGAACTTCTGCTGCAGCCATTGAGGTCTGTACATAGGCCTCCTGCTCTCGCTTCTGGTTCCATGTAATATCATTGTTTATAAAAAGAATTAGTGTCTGTTCTGTATAAAACAACACTGTGGGGCAGAAGCTTTGCAGTCATTAGTAAGAGGGGCCACCGTGAACTACAGTTGCATTGAAAAGCAATTCTTTTCCCTCTTAGGAAATAGAACTTTAACTTAGGCTTGCTTTTATAACACCTGAAGGAATGGAAGAGGAAAGAGTAGTGTTCTCGAGGGTACCTTAACTTACAGCTTGTGTTGTAGGTCGAGATTGGCTGCATTATTATGTTACATGGTTTCTTGAGCCATGGTGAGCATATTTTCCAAACCAAAAATCAGCATAGCTATTCGGACAGTATTTTTTAAGTCAAATGTAATTACACATTTAGAAGTAAAATTAAAAGTTGAGACTGTCCAGGAAAACCCAGAACATAGGGATGCCTTGCCTGGAAGACGGGAGGTTGACTCCTCAAAGGAGAAGTATGCTGAACTTTAAACTTGACCCCCCTTGCCTTTCAGCACAGTGTTGATATCAGCCCTCCTAGAGGTGCAGCTGGGCCCCGCCTTTCTACCCAAAGTAGGATGCTACACCATAGGCCATAGGCAAGACCACTGATCTGTATGGAGACTTGATTTTTAGTATGAAGGATATTTTTTGCCTGGCCTTGAAGCCTGTAGGGCAGACATGGAAAAGGAAATGACAGTACTGACCCAGGACTGTCCCGTCTGACTTATTACCCAATTTGTGTAGATCATGCAGTCTAGGAACTAGCAAGCATTCGATTGCGGCAAAAGCATCTCCGAATGAATAACTTCATTGAATTCTTGGGTTTTTCTGAGTTCCTTCATTTTGTACAAATGACTTCCTGTAGGTATGGGAATTATTGGTCAAGACAGGCTCTTTTGCTTGTTTTCCTGAGGCCACGCTTTCAGCTCATGCCGTAGCAGAATAGGAGAAGGAAGAGAGCGAAAAATAATAGTAAAATTCTGAAAACAAATACAAGGAAACCTGGGACCCAAAGAGGAAACAGACGTTGAGAAATTCAAAAAGAAACCAGACAAGGAGAGAACATGTTCATGTGTTCAGAGTTGTTTTCTACAGTGTATTTATGGAGGGTGCAAGTGCCTTTTGACAGTTCTATTGTGTATTGTAAAAAAACTTTTTTTAATTCTTTGAGTTTTTTACATGTTTATCCCTTCCTAAGTTGATTTGTGTGTCTTTTTGGTTTTGTTTTTCTTTTTGAGACATAGTCTTGCTCTGTTGCCCAGGCTGGAGTGCAGTGGCATGATCTCAGCTCACAGCAACCTCCGCCTCCCAGGTTCAAGCGATTCTCATGCCTCAGCCTCCTGAGTAGCTGGGATTACAGGCGTGCGGCACCACACTTGGCTAATTATTGTATTTTTAGTGTACGTGGGGATTCACTATGTTGTCTAGGATGGTCTTGAACTCCTGACTTCAAGTGATCCACCTGCCTCGGCCTCCCAGAGTGCTGGGATTACAGGTGTGAGCCACCGCGCCCGGCTTTAAATTTAAACAATATCTGACTTGCCTGGGTGTGGTTACTCATGCCTGTAATCACAGCACTTTGGGAGACTGTGGCGGGTGGATCACTTGAGGCCAGAAGATCGAGAGCAGCCTGGCCAACATGGCAAAACCCCATCGCTACTAAAAAATACAAAAATTAGCCGAGTGTGGTGGTGCGTGCCTGTATTCCCAGCTACTACAGAGGCTGAGGCAGGAGAATCACTTGAACCCAGGAGGTGGAGGTTGTAGTAAGCCAAGATCACGCCACTACACTCCAGCCTGGGCCATAGAGTAAGACCCTGCCTCAGAAAAAAAGAAAAGAAAATTGGTGAATGGGTGGAATGTTTGAAAGAATAGCCAAAAATGTATCTTAACATTGGATGATGTTTCTAGAGATGGTGTGGAAGATCAACTGCTGTTTCTTACTATTTCTTTTTAAAAAAGAATTCTTATGTGAATCTTTTTAACATCTTACCTGTAATATTTTTATGGTTTGTTTAATGGTCAGTTGTTAAATTTGTCTATTGAAAATTAACGTTGCTTAAATATTACATATAAATTAAGGTAGCTTGTTCTTTTAAGCACATCAAACATCTTAAGAGATAAAATATAAATACAATTATTAATAAGACTTATTCTGTGTGGTTTGGGGTAAACTAGTGGCAAATTTCCAGTTATCTTGATTTTCAACAATTTCTACTAGAAGGGATTTTATTCAGCCACAGGAAAGTTATTGTTATGTATGCTCTGTTTTTGTCTTTAACTTATGCTCCCATTGGGGGTTAATGCGATATAAGAAGAGGGGTAGTATTCCTTTCCATGTACAAAAACCTGTTTTGGACCCTCTGGTGCTAAATTATTTTTACAAAATTAGTTTTGTTTCGGTTTCCTTCAGTTAACCATAGTTATTTTCTTTTTGAAGCTCAGATTGTCATAGATTGGCTAATGGCATTGTCTTTGAGCTGATTCCTTTGTCCTTTTGACACTAACTCTGGCAGTCTGAAAAGTATTCTTACTTTCTGGCAGTGCTAGAAAATACCAGAATGGTCTTTATTGTTTTTTTGCCCCAAGACATGGAGTCATCTCCCATCTAGGTTCCTGGTTCCTTTAGTGGAAAGTAATATTAGAAACCAAAATCTGGGCTGGGCGCAGTGGCTCATGCCTGTAATCCCAGCACTTTTTGGGAGGCCAGGATGGGAGGATTGCTTGAGGCCAGAAGTTCAAGACAGGCTGCCCAACATAGTGAGACCCCCTTCTCTACCAAAATTTTAAAAATGAGCATGCATCTGTAGTCCTAGCTATTGGGAAGGCTGAGGCAGGAGGATCATCTGAGCCCAGGAGTTTGAGGCTGCAGTGAGCTAAGAAGGTGCCACTGCACTGCTGTTGTCTCTCAGCAGATCATTTTCAGCTTTCTTTGGAGAGTAGCCATTAGCAATGCAAATGTGAAGTTTGATAGCACAATAAATAAAACACTGAAAACTGTAGATGTTACTTATAAAACACTGGCACTCAGATAAATTGGGTTTGGTCAAGAAGACAGTGAAGCATATCCCTGTTGGGCCAGAGGCTGTTATCGTTTTGCTCTGAATTCAAAACCTGATATGTCTCCAAATTTGCTTAGGGTTGTTATCCTGGAAAATAGAATCTGATAGAAGGTGGGCACTGGTACCAAGTGCAAGGTGGAGGTGATCATGGTTAGGGCAATTGCATACAGGTCATGACTGCATTGGAGTCTCAGGAAAGATTGGTTTAGTGATTTGGCAAATCCAAGGCATGAGTTTTGGGTGGTTTTGTTGTTTTGTCTTATTTTTCCACCCCTTAAGAGTCTTAGGGGAAAACAGCATCATTGAATAGACTAGCTAAAAATTCAGCACTTAATACCCTTCACAGCGTATTAGCCTCTGCAGAGCTTTGCTATTTTGGAACCAGTGGTGTGAATTATTCTCTGTTAATAAGAATCTGGCTTTCTTTTCCTGTTGGAAAAGAGGCTCGTGTGCATGTTACTCTGACTCAGTAGTTCTCAAACTTTTTGTTCTCAGGACCTCTTTACGCTCTTCAAAATTATTGACTGGGTTATAACTGTTGTTATTTATAGTATAAGAAATTAAAATAAACTAGTATATTTTTAAAATTTAGAATAGCATGATTTTGTAAATTTCTTTAATATCTCGCTTAATCGAAGATAGCTGGAGTGTCAGATCTGCTTTTCCATTCAGTCTATTTTAATCAGTTGTTTTGGCTGAATTATATAAAGAAAATTTAGTCTCACTCAAATATGTAGTTGGAAAAGGAAGGAGTATTTTACTAGCTGTTTTGATAATTTTGGTTATCCTTTTGTGATACTACGCCAAATGTGAACAGTGATGTAACAGCATGCATTAATCATTTCAGAACTGCTGATTACTGGGTTATACAGCTCTTCTAACGTTGACTGATTTCATTAGACATTCTCAACAAGTCACATTCATTAATATCAGTGCCAATCAAAAGTCTTCACAAGGAAGCTGTCTAGTTCACGGTGGTAGGCAACAAGTTTTCCAAAATTCTAAAGCTCAGAATTTATCACTGCCAGCAGATACTGTCAGGTCTTGGACAGACAGACATTGTTCACTTTCGAGAAAAGAGAAAATGTCTGTCGAATACTTAAGTATGAATAACCATAGTCTATCTGCCAGTCATTTTTTTCAGGTAAAAATGGTGTTCATGGGGGAAAAGTAGGTAATTCAGCTTGTAATTTGGTTGTACAAATGCTCTTCCTGGAGACTCCCACTCTTGGCAGAAGTGCTTTATGATCACTTTCATTTTCATAAAAAATATTTAAAAGATACCTAGTTAAGAATCAAGCTTTAATAAATACCTCATTTTATGTAAAATATTTATTTTACTTAATAACTTGCTGTTTCATTTTTTTATTAAAAAAGCTTTAGAATAATGTTGTATTGAATATCTGAAGAGATTATTATTTCAGAAAAGCTGCTAAAATGACATGGAGAGTTCCTATATGTAGGCATGCCTCATCTGATGGCACTGTGCTTTACTGTGCTTCACAGATACTGTGTTTCTTACACATTGAAGGTTTGAGTTGAGCATATCTACCCGTGCCATTTTAACAGCAGCTTGTATTTACTTCATGTCTCTGTCCTATTTTGGTAATTCTCATAATATCTCAAATTTTTTCATTATTATTATATTATTATGGCGGTGTGCAATCAGTAATCCTTGGTGATACTATTGTAATTGTTTTGGAGCACCATGAGCCACACCCACATAGGATAACAAACTTATTTGGTAAATATTGTATTCCCTGAGACAAAACAATATTGAAATTAGGCTAGTTAGTAACCCTACAGTGACCTCTAAGTGTTCAAGTAAAAGGAAGAGTCACATCTCTCACTTTAAATCAAAAGCTAGAAATGATTTAAGGTTAGTAAGAAAAGATGTTGAAAGCCAAGACAGGCTAAAAGCTAGGCCTCTTGTACCAAACAGTTAGCCAAGTTGTAAATGCAAAAGAAAAGTTCTTGAAGGAAGCTAAGAGTGCTACTCCAGTGAACGCACAAATGATAAGAAAGTGAAATAGCTTTATTGCTGATCTGAAGACAGCTTGAATGGTCTGAATAAGATCAAACCAACCACACAACATTCCCTTAAGCCAAAGCCTAATCCAGAGTAAGGCCTTAACCCTTCAATTCTATGAAGGCTGAGGGAGAGGAAGCTCCAGGAGAAAAGTTTGAAGTTAGCAGAGGTTGTTCATGAGATTCTTTCCTTAGAAAGAAGCTGTTTCATCAGCTGCAGGAGCTTACACCTGTAATCTCAGCACTTTGGAAGTCAAGGCAGGTAGATCAGTTGAGGTCAGGAGTTCGAGACCAGCCTGGCCAATATGGTGAAACCCCGTCTCTACTAAAAATACAAAAATTAGCTGGTCATGGTGGTGCACACCTGTAGTCCCAGCTACTCAGGAGGCTGAGGTAGGAGAATCGCTTGAACTCGGGAGGTGGAGGTTGCACTGAACTGAGATCATGCCACTACACTCCATCCTGGGTGACAGGATGAGACTTCGTTTCAAAAAAATTAAAAATTAAAAATAAATAAAATAATTTTAAAAAAGAAAGAAGCTGTTTCCAGGCTGGTCGAGGTGGCTCACACCTGTAATCCCAGCACTTTGGGAGGCCAAGGCGGGTGGATCACATGAGGCCAGAAGTTCAAGACCAGCCTCGCCAACATGGCAAAAGCCCATCTCTACTAAAAATACAAAAATTAGCCAGGCATGGTGGCACACGACTGTAGTCCCAGCACTTGGGAGGCTGAGGCAGGAGAACTGCTTAAACCTGGGAGGCGGAGGTTGCAGTGAGTCAAGATCACGCCACTGCATTACAGCCTGGGCAACAGATCAAGACTCTGTCTCAAAAAAAAAAAAAAAAAAAAGAAAGAAAGCAGCTGTTTCCATAACATGGAAGTACAAGATGAAGCAGCAAGTTCTGATGCGGAAGCTGCAGTAAGTTATTTAGAAGATCCAGCTAAGATAATTGATGAAGGTGGCTACACTAAACAACAGATTTTCAGTGTAAATGAAACAGCCTTTTCTTTTTTCTTTCTTCTTATTATTTTTTTAAATAGCTTTCTATTGGAAGAAGATGCCATCTAGGACTTCAGTTAGCTCGGAAGGAGAAGTCAATGCTTGGCTTCAAAATTTCGAGTGATAAGGTGGCTCTTTTGCTAAGGGCTAATGTAGCTGGTGACTTTAAGTTGAAGTCAGTGCTCATTTGCCATTCTAAAAATCCTAGGGCCCTTAAGAATTATAATCTACTCTGTGTTTTTTAAGTGAAACAACAAAACATAGATGACAGCACATCTGTTTCCAGCATAGTTTCCTGAATATTTTAACCCCACTTTTGAGACATACCGCTCAGACAGAAAGATTCCTTTCAAAATGTTACTGCTCATTGACAGTGTACCCAGTCATCCATATGCTCTGATGGATGTGTACAAGAAGATTAATGTTGTGTTGTTTACTGTTAACATCCATTCTGCAGCCCATGGATCAAGAAGTAATTTCAACTTTGAAGTGTTACTTGTTTATTTGTTTATTTTCACTCCTGACAAGCTGTGATGGTCTTATTACTTAAATACATTTAATAAGGCTATAGCTGCCGTAGATAGTGATTTATCTGATGAATCTGGACAGAGTTTATTGAAAACCTTCTGGAAAGAATTCACTATCCTAGATGCCATTAAGAACATTTGTGATTCATGGGAGGAGGCCAAAATATCCACAGGAACAGGAGTTTAGAAGAAGTTTATTCCAACCCTTATGGGTAACTTTGAGGGATTCAAGACTTCAGTAGAGGAAGTAACTGCAGATACAATGGAAATATCAAGAGAGCTACTATGAGAAGTATAGCCTGTATTAGTCCATTCTCACACTGCTATGAAGAAATAGCCGAGACTGGGTAATTTGTAAAGAAAAGAGATTTAATTGACTCTCAGTTCCGCATAGCTGGGGAAGCCTCAGGAAACTTACAGTCATGGCGGAAGGCACCTCTTCACAGGGTGGCAGGAGAGAGAATGAGTGCAAGCAGGGGAAATGCCAGATGCTTATAAAACCATCAGATCTCAGGAGACTCACTCATTATCATGAGAACAGCATGGGGGAACTGCCCCCATGATTCAGTTACCTCCACCTTATCCTGCCTTTGACACATGGAGATTATTGTAATTCAGGGTGAGATTTAGATGGGGATACAGAGTCAGACCATATCAGAGCCTGAAGATGTGACTGAATTGCTTCAATTTTATGATAAAACTTTGACAGATGAGGAGTTGCTTCTTATGGATGAACAAAGAAAGTGGTTTCTTAAGATGGAATCTACTCCTGGTGAAGATGCTGTCAACATTGTTGAAATGACAGCAAAGGATTTAGAATAGTATATATTTAGTTGATAAAGCAATAGCAGGGTTTGAGAGGATTGACTTCAATTTTGAAATAAGTTTTACTCTGGGTAAAATGCTATCAAACAGCATTGCATGCTACAGAAATCTTTCATGAAAGAGGAGTCAATGTGACAGACTTCACTGTTGTTTTATTTTAAGAAATTGCCACAATTACCCCAGCCTTCAGCAACCACTACCCTGATCAGTCATCAGCCATCAACACTGAAGCTAGACCTTCTTCCAACAAAATGATTTTGATTCACTGAAGGCTCAGATGATCAGCAGCATTTTTAGCAATATTTTAAAATGAAGATCTGTACATTGTTTTTCTTAGACATAATGCTATTACACACTTAATAGACTGCAGTGCGGTGTAAACATAACTTACATATACACTAGGAAACCAAAAAATTTGTGTGGCTTACTTTACTGTGATATTTGCTTCATTGCTGTGGTCTGGAACTGAACCCAAAATATCTCCTAGGTGTCCCTGCATGTGTCACCCAGCTTTCTCTGATGTTAACATCTTATATTTGGCAGTGGTACATTTGTCAAAATTAAGAGATTAACAACGGGACGGTACTATTATCCAAACTCCACTCTTTATTATAATTTCCCATTTTCCCACAAGTGTCTTTTAGCATCTTATTCCAGGATCCAGTTGCGGATACCCTGTTGCATTTAAGCAGTAACTTTTAAAACAGCACTTTTCCCTTTCCCCACCACATTTAAGAAAAGAAGCACATTTTAGACTTACAGAAGAGTTGGAAAGATGGAACAGAGAGTGCCATGTACTTTTACCCAACATCTTGCATAGCCATGGTGCATTTGTCAGAACTGAGAGACTAACAGTGCCATCATGTTTTTATGCATCATGAGGACACTTCTCTTGGAGATATGTCTTGGATTTTTTTTTTAACACCAAGGCTGTGAACCTCATGCTCATATGACTTTAAGGCTGGAGTTAGGCAGACCAGGACTTCACATTCCTCCCTGGCCATATCCCGCTCTGTGATCTCTTTCAACTTTCTTCTCCACAACAGTGAATGCAGAGCCATGAGAGAATGTGCGGGTATGTGGCAGGCACTCAGCAAGTTACTACACATGTTCCTTGACATATGATGGGGTTATGTCCCAATAAATGCATTGTAAGTTGAAAATATACGTTGAAAATGCATTTAATTCACCCAACCTACCAAACATCAAAGCTTGGCCTAGCCTACCTTAAATGTGCTCACAACACTTACCTTAGCCTGTACTTGGACAAAATCATGTAACACAAAGTCTATTTTATAATAAAGTGTTGAATATCTTATGTAATTTATCAAATACTATACTGGAAGTGAAAACCAGAATGGGCGTATGGGTACTCAGAGTAGTTTGTGCTGAATGCATATCACTTTCACACCATGATAAAGGCAAAAAATTCTAAGTCAAACTATAGTAAGGGACATAGTCTTTTCTGTTCCCAGAAAGGGGCTTAGAACAGAGATTCAGTAAAATAACAAAAAGCTTTAAAACTGAAGGGAAAAATGGTTTGAAAACTCTGTTAAGGAATTTTTTATCATTATTTCTTTTAATACCATGGTCCATTTTTTAAATCTACTTCAGTAATTAACCATTAATGACTTTTTTTTTTTTTTTTTTTTTTTTTTTTGAGACGGACTTTTGCTGTGTCGCCCAGGCTGGAGTGCAGTGGCACGATCTCGGCTCACTGCAAGCTCCACCTCCCGGGTTCATGCCATTCTCCTGCCTCAGCCTCCTGAGTAGCTGGGACTATAGGTGCCCGCCACCGCGCCCAGCTAATTTTTTGTATTTTTAGTAGAGATGGGGTTTCACCATGGTCTCGATCTCCTGACCTTGTGATCTGCCCGCCTCGGCCTCCCAAAGTGCTGGATTACAGGCGTGAGCCACCGCCCCCAGCCTCATTAATGACTATTTATATATCACCTGTACTCCTACCTAACTCCCACATATGATTTTGAAGCAAATTTCAGGTATTGTATATAATTTTACACATAAATTTTTGATATATATCTAAAAATATTTACCCATAAATATTTCAGTATGTATCTCTTCTTTTTAAACATAACTACATACTATTCACATACCTAAGAAAAAATAATGTCTTCATGATATTACCAAATACCCAGTCAGTGTTTAAATATCTAATTGGTCTAATAAGTTTGGTTAATTGTTTACAGTTTGTTTGGATCCAGTAAGGTCTATACATGGCAGTTGGTTGGCACTGCCTCTTAGTCCTTTTTAATCATCAGATTTCTATTCCATCTTTTTTTCAATTTTTCTACTTGGAATGTATTTGTTGAAGAAACTGAGCTGAAGAAACTGAGGATGTTGCCCACATACTCATGGGTTTTGCTGGTTACATCCTCATAGTAGAGTTTAACATGTTCCTCTGTCCTGTGTGTTTCTTGTAAATTGGTAGTTTTATCGGAAGACAATCAGATTTCAATTTCACATATATAGTTTTTCTTATCAAGACTGTATTAGAGTGATGTTTTATTTTGGGACACATAAGGTCTGGTTTTCTTTTTTTGTGATGCTAGTAGCTGTTGATATCCTAGATACACTAGGATCATGTAACACAAAGTCTATTTTATAATAAAGTGTTGAATATCTTATGTAGTTTATCAAATACTGTACTGGAAGTGAAAACCAGAATGGGTGTATGGGTACTCAGAGTAGTTTGTACGGAATGCATATCACTTTCACACCATGATAAAAGGCAAAAAATTGTGAGTCAAACCATAGTTAAAGTTCTGAATCTTTAAAGGAAGACATAAACGTCCCTGTAATAAAATTATTATTTTTTTAAAAAGATAGAGATACACTTATGATTATGATACACTTATTACACTTATGGTTATGAAATGATGGCAGTCTAATTTTATCATTTCTTCATTTATTTGTTGTAATGCTTCTAAAGATAATAAGTCTCATCTCCTTCTCTGTTTGGTTCCCAATTCATATAGGAAGATAAATTCTTTTTTTTTTAATTGGGTGGTCTTTTTGTTGGTTTTTAATTTGTTTTGTTTTGTTTTTTTGAGACAAAGTCTTACTCTGTTGCCCAGGATGGAGTGCTGTGGCGTGATCTCGACTCACTGCAACCTCCGTCTCCTGGGTTCAAGCGATTCTCCTGCCTCACCTTCCCCAGTAGCTGGGACTACAGGCACGCACCACCATGCCTGGCTTATTTTTGTATTTTTGGTAGAGACAGGGTTTTGCCATGTTCGCCAGGCTGGTCTCAAACTCCTGACCTCAAGTAATCCACCCACCTCAGCCTCCCGGAGTGCTGGGATTACAGGTGTGAGCCACAGCACCCAGCGAATAAATTCTTTCATTTACCTTTTCTTTTTTTTTTTTTTTTTTTTTTTTTTGAGACAGAGTCTCAGTCTGTCGCCCAGGCTGGAGTGCAGTAGCGCAATCTTGGCTTACTGCAACCTCTACCTCCCGGGTTCAAGTGATTCTCTTGCCTCAGCTTCCTGAGTAGCTGGGATTATAGGCGTGTGCCACCACACCTGGCTAATTTTTGTATTTTTAATAGGGACGGGGTTTCACTATGTTGGCCAGGCTGGTCTCGAACTCCTGACCTCAAATGATCCACCTCCCTCAGCCTCCCAAAGTGCTGGAATTACAGGCGTGAGCCACCACACTTGGCTATTTACCTTTTCATATCCTTTTATTTTCCCAATTCATATAGGAAAGATAAGTATTTTCCCTTTCATTTTCAAAATTGATTGGTACACTAACCTCCTCCATAGTAACTAATTTGTATTTTTTTATTATGAACTCATGAATTTAAACATTTGATGTTGTTTCAGTCCATTGCAGTCATTATCCTTATTGATTCTCAAAGTGTTTTATATTTGACAAATAAGTTCTTCAAATTAGTTAGTTATTTTGATAGTGACCTTAATAGTCTTTGCTAGCTTCCATCCCTGTATGGCATAACAAAACATTCCAGGCCCCTTTAGTACATTTCCTGTCCCAGACCTGGTATTAGTCATCTAATCTGGAAGCCCTGCTTTCTTTCTGTGGGAAACATTATTTCAAGACATTAGGGATAAGAATGCCAGTTGCTACTGAGTTGGTTATTGTTTCAAGGATTTATCAATACATAGAGTAAATAATTATGTTTTGCTTTGTCTTATTTTTATTTCTTTACTTTAGAAACAGTACAGCTACTTACAAATCAAGTTTAGAACTCTCAGGTTATCTTAAATCTGAAGCTTCTACCTTCCTAAGAACAAAACACCGGAATGATGAGATGTCATATAAATATCCATTTATTTTATTTCACAATACATACATTGACCTATTGTATGTATGATTAGTACAAATGGTTTAAATTGGCTTGTTGTGCTTTGTTTTGTTTTTGCAGTTTTTTTTTGTCATTAGATTTTATCTCACTAGAAATGTATAGTCAAATTTCTGTGTTCTAAAGTCACTTGAAGTAGTTTTTCTGTTTGTAGTAATGTTACCAGTTGGACACATTAGGTTCATTTATTTTTGGGAATTGCTTTTGTTCCCATTTAAATTTTTATTTATCTTGCGTATCTTGGATTAACGGTAATAGACCATATACAATTTTCTCTACTTTTTTTCATTTGAGAGTTTCCTCATTTATTTTGTTTTCGGATGCAAAGTATTTCATTGTATGAATTACCAGTTTGTTCAATTAGTTTTCTTTGATAACATTTGGGTTGCTTCTAGTCTTTTGTTATTACAGAGTCTTGCAATGAATAGTCTTATGCTTATATGTTTTTGTGGTTTCTGGCAAGGATTTCAACGTAATTTAAGGCTATCCTCTACTTAAGTTATGGCCAATTAAGTGTCTGATTAAATGTCTGTAATAATTTAAAAATAACAATACTTAATTTAAAAGAGCTTATAATACATAATTATTCATTAGAGAGATGCAAATCAAACCACAGTGAGATAATACTTCACACCCACTAGGATGGTTATAATTTAAAAAGATGGAAATAGCAAGTGTTGGCAAGGGTATGGAGAAGTTGAAACCTTCATACCTTGCTGGTTGGATATAGAATGGTGTAGCCACATAGGAAAAGAGTTTGGCAGATTCTCAAAGTTAAACATAGAGCTGTATACAACCTAACAATTCTGTGCATATACCCACAAAAAATGAAAACATATATCCACACAAAAACTTGCACACATATGTTCATAGCAGCATTATTCATCCAAAAAGTAGAGGTACTCAAATGACTTTCAACTGATAAACACAGATGAACAAAATGTATGTCCAAACAGTAGAATATTATTCAGCTATAAAAAAGAACAGAGTACACTTAGCAAACTAAGAATAGAAGGAACTTCCTCAATCTGATAAAGGACATCCATGAAAAACCCACCACTAATGTCATACTTAATCATGAAAAACCGAATGCTTTTCTCCTAAGATAGGAAAAAGACAAGTATGTCTACTCATGCCATCTCTATTCTACTTTGTATTGGTGCTTCTAGCCAGGGCAGTTAGACAAGAAAATGAAACAAGAGGCATCCAAATTGGAGAGAAAGGAGTTGAACTATTCCCAGATGGTATGCTCTAATATGGAGAAAATCCTAAGCAATCCACTAAAAATTGATTAGAACTAATGAACAAGTTCAGCAAGGTTACAAGATACAAGATCAATATGTAAAAATCAACCGTATATATGTATGTATATATATTTTTTTTTTTTTTTTTTTTTTTTTTTTTTTTTTTTTTTTTGAGACGGAGTCTCGCTCTGTCGCCCAGGCTGGGGTACAGCAGCACAAACACAGCTCACTGCATTCTCAACCTGGGGTCAAGCAGTCTTTCTGCCTTAGCCTCCCAAAGTGCTAGGAACTATATTTCTTTTTTTTCTTTTTTTGAGACAGAGTCTCGCTCTGTCACCCAGGCTAGAGTGCAGTGGCATGATCCTGGCTCACCGCAACCTCCACTCCCGGGTTCAAGTGATTCTCCTGCCTCAGCCTCCTGAGTAACTGGGATTACAGTCGCCCGCCACCACGCCCGGCTAATTTTTCTATTTTTAGTGGAGATGGGAGTTCACCATTTTGGCCTGGCTGGTCCTGAACTGCCCTCAAGTAATCCACCTGCCTTGGCCTCCCACAGTGCCTTGAGATTACAGGTGTGACCCACCGCACCCAGCCTAAGAACTGTATTTCTATAAACTAGCAGTGAACCATCCAAAAATGAAATTAAGGAGACAGCCCTGGTGCAGTGGCTCATGGATGTAATCCTAGCACTTTGGGAGGCTTTAAGAGGCTGAATTGCTTGAGGCCAGGAATTTAAAACCAGCCTGATCAACAGAGACTCCATCTCTACCAGAAAACGAACAAAAAAAGTTATCCAGGTGTGGTGGCATGCCCCTGTAGTCCCAGCTACTCAGGGTGCTGAGGCAGGAGGATCGCTCCAGCCCAGGAGTTTGAGGCTGCAGTGAGCTGTGATCGTACCACTATACTCCAGCCTGGGTGGCAGACAGCAAGACCCTGTCTCTGAAAACAAAAATTAAATGGAGACAGTTCCATTTACAAAAGCATCAAAAAGAATAGGAATAACTTTGACAATAGATGTGCACAATTGTATGCTGAAATCTACAAAATACTGTTCAAAGAAATTAATGAGTTCTGAGTAAAGACATTTAATGTTCATGGATTGAAAGATAATATGGCAACACAGACATGATTCACTTAAGAGCTGTATCTTATGATGTGCAAATTATATCAATACAAAAAAAAGCTTGCAGTAAATAATTACTGCAGTAAAATTTGAATTTTAAAAATATAAAGTGAGCCAAAAAAGAAAAAAACAACTTATGGTCTACTGCAGGTTTTTAATATTAAATGAGCATTTCTTTCCCATTCAAGATGAGCCACAAAAGCAGAGCCCAAGAAATTTTAGGCTTTGGGCTTAAAGTTGATTTTTTTGTTTATTGTTTTTAAATTTTATTTTGAAATAACTTTAGATTTACAGAAGTGTTGTAAAGATAGTACAGAGTTCCCATAAGCGCTTCACCCAGCTTCTTCTAATGCTGACATCTTATATAATCTTAGTACATTTATCAAAACTAAGAAATTAACATTGGGAGCCAAGCATGGTTCACACCTGCAGTCCCAACTATTTTGGAGACTGAGGAGGGAAGACTGCTTGAGGCCAGAAGTTTGAAGTTGCAGTGTGCTGTGATCACTCCTGTGAATCACCACTGTACTCCAGCCTGGGCAACATAGTAAGTGAGACCTTGTCTCTAAAAAAGAAAGAAATTAACATTGGTACAGCGCCATTAACTAAACGATAGACTTCAGATTTTGACAGTTTTCCCACTAATAACCGTTTGTGTTCCAGGACCCAAACCCATTTTCCACATTTAGTTAGTTGTCATGTCTCCTTAGTCTTCTCCCGCCCCATGACAGTTTCTCAGCCTATATTTATTTTTCATGACATTGCCTTTGGAAAGTGCTGGCCAGGTATTTTGTAGAGTGTGTCTTCATTTGGGTTTGCTTCGTGATTTCGCATGATGAGAATGAGGTTATGGATGTTGGAGAGACCACCAGAGAGGGGATTTGTCCTTTTCTCATATATCAGTGTATTACTCATATTAACTTTAATCATTTGGTCAAGATGGAGTTTGTCAGATGTCTCCACTGTAAAGTTTTCCCTTTAAATTTATGGTTTTGTATTGCTTTGTTCTTCCTTTTTTTTTGAGACGGAGTCTCGCTCTTTCACCCAGGCTGGAGTGCAGTGGCGCGATCTCAGCTCACTGCAACCTCCGCCTCCCGGGTTCACACCATTCTCCTGCCTCAGCCTCCCGAGTAGCTGGGACTACAGGTGCCTGACACTGCACTCAGCTAATTTTTTGTATTTTTAGTAGAGACAGGGTTTCACCGTGTTAACCAGGATGGTCTCGATGTCTTGACCTCGTGATCCACCCACCTGGGCCTCCTAAAGTGCTGGGATTACAGGCGTGAGCCACTGCGCCTGCTTTTTTTTTCTTTTTTCTTTTTCTTTTTCTTTTTCTTTTTTTTTTTTTTTTTTTTTGAGATGGAGTCTCACTGTGTCGCCAGGGCTGGAGTGCAATGGTCCGATCTCGGCTCACTGTAACCTCCGCCTCCTGGGTTCAAGCGATTCTCCTGCCTCAGCCTCCTGAGTACCTGGGATTACAAGCGCCCGCCATTATGCCCAGCTGACTTTTTGTACTTTTAGTGGGGACAGGGTTTCACCATGTTGACCAGGCTGTTGTCGAACTCTGACCCCGTGATTCACCCACCTCAGCCTCCCAAAGTGCTGGGATTACAGGTGTGAGCCCCCCGTGCCTGGCCTGTTCTTTCTTCTATTTTGAAGGTCACTTGGGATGCATTTTCATGCTATTAATAAAGAAATGCTGACCCTTGTTACTGAACTCCTGCTCCCGGGACGCATTGTGACACCAACTACTTGCTGTCATATGGAAGGACAGACAAGACCATCTGTGTTTTCCCAAGCTAAGCAGAATTTTTTTTCAGGAGTGGGGTGGGCAAGTCCTGTTGACTAACTAGATTTTCGAGTTTTGATTAGGCAGCAAAATACCACCTCAGAGAAGAGGAATGGGGCAAAATTATTTCCAGAGTTTGGATGGCATATCAATCTTTTGTAGTAGGTGCTGACTTTTTTTTTTTTTTTTTGAGTGGAAGATTTTAGAGCTATCTTGGAAAATCAAAGTATATCCAATATCGATTATATAAAACTTAGTTTATTGTTGCTTCCTTCATCCTGTCCACCTGGTACTCTTTTTTTTTTTTTTTTTTTTTTTTTTTTTTTTTGAGACAGAGTCTTGCTCTGTCACCCAGGCTGGAGTGCAGTGGCATGATCACGGCTCACTGCAAGCTCCGTCTCCCAGGTTCACGCCATTCTCCTGCCTTAGCCTCCCGAGTAGCTGGGACTACAAGCACCCACCACCACGCCCGGCTAATTTTTTGTATTTTTAGTAGAGATGGGATTTCACCGTGTTAGCCAGGATGGTCTCGATCTCCTGACCTCGTGATCCACCTGCCTCGGCCTGCCAAAGTGCTGGAATTACAGGCGTGAGCCACCATGCCCAGCCCTACCTGGTGCTCTTTACACTGGAGAGTTTACCCCTAGAGAACTTCAGCACATTGACATTCCTGGTCCTTGGGCTACTTCATTTACATTTACCTACAGCTTTGATGTCAGAATCCAGGACACAATCTCACCACCTTTCTGTTACTTTCACTTCACATGTGCTAGTAAACACTGAGGATTCAGCAGAATTTAAGCACAGTGAAGTGCTCATGGGAGATGCATTGGGAGTACTGAACATTGACATTTGAGCCATTGTTCCGTGTTGCTCACACTACCATCCAATTCTTTTTCACTTCACATGCATTCAGATTTCTTCTTGAGTAGAGACCTGGAAGCCTCAGACCTCATATCTAGAAGACCTTGATTATGTTCTCTGGTGCAGCCTCAGCTTAGTCACCGATGACATGACCAGGTCTTACAGCAAATGAGCACCAACTTAGGACCCACTGTCATGTGCCTTGAACATTTTTCAAAGTTTTCAGCATTTTTCAAGATTTTAAAGTTTACTTAATTATTTTCCTCATGGTGGTCTAACTGATCACAGTAAGAAAACAAATGATCTTTTGTTTAACAACTCATGGCATGAAAAAAACATATGATCTTGATCTCTTATTACCAAACTCTCTTGCAGACTTTGGGATGTTCTTTTCTTTCTTTTTTAAGAGACAGGGTCTTTGTCATCTAGGGAGGAGAACAGTGACATGATTATAGTTCACTGCATCCTTGAACTCCTGGGCTTAAACAGTCCTCCTTCCTCTTGCTCAGCCTCTTAAGTAGCTGGGACTACAGATGCATAGCCACCATGCCCAGATAATGTTTTGTTTTTTTTTGTTTTGTTTTGTTTTTGAGACAGAGTCTCACTCTGTCACCCAGGCTGAGGTAAAGTGGTACGGTCTAGGTTCACTGCAACTTGCACTTCCCACATTCAAGCGATTCTCATGTCTTAGCCTCCTGAGTGGCTGGGACTACAGGCATGTACCACCATGCCCAGCTAATTTTTGTATTTTTAGTAGAGACAGGGTTTTGCTATGGTGGCCAGGCTGGTCTCAAACTCCTGACCTTAAGTGATCCACCTGCCTCGGCCTCCCAAAGTGCTGGGATTATAGGTGTGAGCCACTGCTCCCAGCCTGTTTTATTTTTGTAGTGATGGGGTCTTGCTTTGTTGCCCAGGCTGGTCTCAAACTCTTGGGCTTAAGTGAACCTCCTGCCTCAGTCTCCCAAAGTGCTGGGATTGCCCAGGCTGGTCTTGATCTCTTGGGCTTAAGTGATCTTCCCACTTCAGTCTCTCAAGGTGCTGTGATTACAGACACGAGCCACTTTACCCAGCCTGAAAATGTTCTTTCTTTTTTTCTTTCTTCTTTTTTTGTTTTTGAGATGTAGTCTCCCTCTGTTGCCCAGGCTGGAGTGCAGTGGCACGATCTCAGCTCACTGCAACCTCTGCTTCCTGGGTTCAAGTGATTCTCCTGCCTTACCCTCCCAAGTAGCTGGGACTACAGGCACGCACCACCATGCCCAGCTAATTTTTGTATTTTTAGTAGAGACAAGGTTTCACCATATTGGCCAGGCTGGTATCAAACTCCTGACCTTGTGATCCACCCATCTGGGCCTCCTAAAGTGCTGGGATTACAGGTGTGAGCCACTGTGCCCAGCCAGGATGTTCTTTCTAAATGATGTTACTTCTGGGCTCTTTGTAAGGGTTATTAGTCCCTTTCTGAAGATTTGTTTTGAGTAGCTTTTCATTCAGTTTTTCTTCTTGTTTTGGTTTTTCTTAGGTGAATACACGCCTACTATAAAATATCTGAACATAAGCTATAACGTGGTTGTTCAGTCACGAATTGTACCATTATTTTATAGTTACTTTTCTAATGGCATAAGTCCCATGATTTTGTTTTCTAAAGCAATTAAAGTGATTTGACACCTGATTTCCTTTGTTTTCTTACTGTGGTGAAATACACCTAACATAAAATTAACCATTTTAAAGTGTACAATTCAGTGGCATTTCGTACATACACAGTGTTGTGTAGCCATCACTCTGGTTCCTTTTTATGTTTGTGTATACCAGTGAAAAAACATGCATAGTCCCTCAAAGCCTTGTATATACTGACAGAGCAAGCTTTTCATCAGCTTCAGAATTTATGCACTACTGCCAAAAGTTAGTTACTTTCATCCAGTAGCCAAGCAATTCATCGGTTGGGTTTTAAGTAACTGGTTTATTACAGCTTGTTGTCATACAGTAATTGCACTAAATAAGACCTCTAAAATTATTCGTGCTGCTTTAATTTGGGAATGGGGGAAACTGTTTCCTGCTAGAGATTCTAATTTTAGTATACATGCTGTGGAAGTGAGTACCCTGCTAGAGATTCTTAAAATGTCACAATTAAGCAAATGCCTTTAAAAATTCTGCATAAAATGTCGCATGCTTATGTATTGCCCCGTCTACTCAACTACCAGATCATCTACAGAATTATTTCCTTTTCTTTGCCTTCTTAGGAAATCAGCCTTTCATGCGCGAGATGACCCTGCATTGATTAACTGAGTTACTGTGAGTGGTATGACTAGGGCTAGTCAGTGCTAGGATATTGACCATTTTTAGTTTACTGGCCAAGGCAGTTCTGAAACTTACTGCCTAGTTTCTTTTTGGAAGCTTGTAAAATAATTGAGCTAGTGATGAAGTCATGAACTCTTTTCCAGGCTTCCCCAGGTGCCCTGAGGCCTTGTGTCCCCCAACCCCCTCAAATGACTGGGAATTGGCCTAGCTGTTTTGTCATACACATACATTTTCTCTACATTTCCTTTCCATCTTGGAACTGTTCCATTAGTGTTTGTTTCTCATCTACATGATGTGGAACTAACTGCACCTTTTTTGCTGGAAAAAAATGGAGTCAACACATTTAGTGTAAGGAAACCATAGCCAGGCTGTTCCACGACTCCTTGAGGACTGCTCAGAGGTGGAATCCTCAACAGAGGAACTGCTATTCAGCAAGAGAGAACATGCATGTGCGGAGAGGCCTGCTATCTAGTGCCAGCAGCATTTTGTTCTCTAAAGAGCTAAAATGTAAAGGAGTTTTTGCTGGAACATTTTTTAACTTATTTAGTGTCATGTAGTAGAGCCTTGCAGTTTAGCCCAGGGACTTTTTTCCATTTTTCTGAGGACAAAGCAAGTCTCTGTCTTCCCCAAGAACAACCAGAAGTTGGTACCTATGGGGTTTGTTCACTAATAGTCCTGACCTTAAATCTAGTTGTTTTCTTCCAGGGAGCTCAGAGTGCCTTACCAGGGAGACTGCCATCCTCCATGCAGCAGATCTCCAGTGACCCCATTGGATTGAGGGGGTGCCATCTCACCTAGGGCAGACTCCTCAACCTTAGCACCACTGACATTTGGGCTGGATAGTTCTTTGTCCTGTGCATTACAGCATGTTTAGCAGCATCCCTAGCCTTTACCCACTAGATGTCTGTAATATCTTCCCCAGATTGTGGCAACCAAAAATTTCTCCAGACTGTACCAAATGTTTCCTGAGGGCAGAATGACCCAAGGTTGAGAATCACTGCCCTGTGGTTTCTTCCAAAGGCAAGAGGAAGATTGCTGATTCTTAACCTAGCCACCTAACCTCAAAATATTTGTTCTTCTTCCCCCAAGTAAGAGCCTAGAGAAAGGATGTTTTTTTTCCGCTGTAGTATGCAGATAGAGCCCACGTGTGCAGATGTACAGGGCCAGGCAGAACTCTAACTCTGCATTTGGCTTTGGCTACCATTAGGGGTGGGAAGTGATGAGCCAGCAGTGACCTCCTTACTACCTGCCCCTTTTGTTCCAAGTAAACAAACTTTTACAGCCTTTCTGTTAATGAGTCAGCTGGTAAAGAAAACAATCTACTTTGCCAAAGCTATTCTGAAGCTGAGACATGGCAGAGTTTTGGATACATAAGTTCCTGTTATACTGACTTTTTCTTCCTGGCAAATGAGGAAGGATACTAGTGCAGACAGGAGTGCCAACAAGGATTTGTGACTGTAGCAAGTAGCAATTTTTTAAAACAATACATCCCAGACTTTTCCAGCAATGGTAATTCAAAAGCACCAGTGTTCTCTACATCTTAAAGTAAAAAGTAAACTTCGATGTTAACAGAGGGTTATAAAATCATTGGCATAGCAGAAGCCACAAATCAATCCTGACAGTGAATTTTTGGCAATGTGCTGGCCTTTGGAAACATCTGTTGGTGTGGCCTGTGATATTCAGGGATGAGGTACATCCTTAAAAAAGCTATTTAACTTGGAATGTGTGAACTATACAAATATTAGGAATTAATAAAATGCCACTGGAGTTTTAGAAGAGAAAGAGACCACAGGGACCTGCTTCTTTTGCAGGAAAGGGAAGTTAAGAGAGGCAAAGGACCAGAACAGAGTCGAAAGACCTAGGTCTTTTGATTGCTCCAGCTAGAGTTACTTTTCCATGGAACCACACTGCCTCGTTACCTGGCTGCTTGAGTACAGCAATAAACTGAGCACAGAAAGGGAGTCCTAGAAACGGTGGAAAATACTAAAGCAAGAAGAAGAAAGAGAACAGGACAGCTTGGCCTCCCCCAGAAATGCTATGGCTGGAGCTGTGGAAAGTGTGTCAGCATTGCAGGGTCAGGCCTTTTTTTTTTTTCCTTTCTACACTCTGCTGAAACCTTCTGCTGTCAAAGAAGCCTTCCCAAATTGCCAGAGCAATGCCAGACATAGGAGTTGCATTTATAATCCCCTCACTGAGAGGGTTCCCTTGAAGTTTTGCTTTAAACTCTCTGCTAATCTAGCCAATCTCTTATTTTGGAGAAAAACTACCAATCTTCTCTTGACAGCCTCAAGATAATCTCTTCATAATTTCCTTCCTCCAAGGTAGATGCTAGGAACAAACAAAAGAAAACCTTTCTGAACATTATAGCAAAGCCAGTTAGGTTGCCATAGGGTTATTAATAACTTTGAATCCCACTGTGGACTAGGAATAGTAGGTCCCAGTTAAGAACAGCAGCTGTCAAAGAGAATTGTAGCTGGTGGTATGTGGTGCAGGTGGACGGGTGGGCAATTACTGCTGCAACTTGCCTAATTTACAGCCATTAACATTTACATAAAAATTCATTTAAAAACTGGTGCCTTGTCAGGAAGACCCAATGAGATGCACATAGCATCATTAGGAATAATTAACTGGAGAGGGAAGAAAGCATTAGAAAGTGCTCTGGGAGTGGAAGCACTGTGCATGCCCAGTGTGTCTTTGGGCCAAATGTAACTCCAGCCTGAGAAAAGAATGGTCATCATGAAAATATTTTTTTTACTTCCAAGTCAGGAAACAGACTCACAATGGAGTCTACTTCTCTGCTTGGAATTTTGAGAGGTGCAGGAAACAACCAGCCATTACCAGCTGAGGTTTTCCTGCTGATAAATGAACCCTGAGGCCACAGTGACCTGTCTTGTTAATGAGTTAATGAAGAAGCTGGTCCTCGCATTGACCTCATCCTTAAAAGCTTTCTGTAGAGCTGAAACAACATTCCTCTCATTTATAAGTTAACTCTTTTCTTACTCAGCAGATGAAAAACAGAAGACAGAAAAGAATCTGTGACAGAGAAGTAGAGCGTCTATCAATGGGCTTCTCTTTCTTAAGTTTCTTAAAACTTTAACTTCACTTGCAGAAAGAAATTTCGTCCAAAAAATAGTTCCTCTTATTGCAGAACCTTAATAAAACTGGTTTTTTATTTATGTTCTGTTTACCCCAAAGGCAATGACATTTAATGAAGAATTTTCCTACTCACTCTGACAAGAAACTGGTTGGAATAGGCAACATAAGTGGTTTGAGTTTATGTAAATATTTTAGTGTGGAGGGAAATAATGAGAAAATTTTACTCTGTAAATAAATGTTATTAACCAAGCATCTTATTAAAGGGAGCAGATCCTGTCTGTAGCTTACTAGAGAAGAGAAATAACAGTCTCCTTTAAATTGGGTTATATTTGAGTAACCAAAAATGAATTCTTCTTCTAAATTATTTCTTCTCTTAGTGATTGATTGTTGGTGATGTCCCATAATTTGAAGGAGGCTCCAGGGTTGTTGTCGATACCTCTGTTACAGGATCATCGTAGGAGCATTGCGGTCCTGGAAATGTGATTTTATCAGTCGATTAGATTGCGATGAATTGATTCATGACAATCATAAGGCTGGCGTTACATTTGTCTTACAAAACTCAAATGCTTGCTTATTAACTTAAAATTACTATTTCAGTAACTAGAGGAGTCTGTCCTATTGAGGCATGCAAAAACTAGTATGAGAAAATAATAAACAAAACCAGAAAAATCATAAAAAGTAACAGGAAGATTTGTTTGGTAAGCAAAGCAAAGAAAATGGATTGATCATCTTAAGACATCTTCTCCATGTGCCATTTAAAGATTTTTAAGGAATCTTTGTCTTCCACTATAAGATCCTTGGTATTAGTGGTTCATATCTAGAACAGCTTCTACCTGGTGAGTGCTGAAGGGCTCCTGTTAAGATGGCTCTCAAGTTGGCAGACTGAACATGCATCACATGTATGCCCCAAATCCCTAATATGTTAGATATATGTCCTGGCAATGCTAGAAGAAAAGAAGCATCCTGAGAAGTCTAGAAATCTGAGGAATTCCTAAAGGGCAGAAGGCTGAGGGAATCAAATTAAAGGTGGAAGTCAGAGTCCAGAAGCCCTGCATATCCTGCCCTTCCCCTGTAACCGATGGAGATTGGCAGTGGTGAAGTAATGCAGCATTTACACACCGAGGATCTAGACAGCCATGAGCAAGCACATAACAGTCGCCAAACCATCATAAAAGAAACACCAAACTGAAGAAACTGAAAAGCTCACATTGGAGGATCCTAATAAGAACCTAAAGAAGACTTTAAGGGAAGTGAATTTATCCCTGAAAGAGATAAAAAGAGAATGCTGCACTCATGAAATAAGAAAAAAGAATGATTTTTATTTCCTAGACCTTGGAAATAAAACATGATCCTTTAGTTAGAACCTCATTAAAGGGTTGAGTAGCAGAATGGATACAACTAAAGGAAGAAAGTGAGCAGGACGAATGAGCCAAAGAATTGTCCTAGAATATAAAATAAGACAAAGAGATAGAAAGGCTGACAGAAAAGTGAATACAATAAGGAGGCTCATTTCAGAAGTTCCAGTGTTCATCTAGTAGGAGTTCTAGGAGGAGGAGACAGAGACAGTGGAGGAGGGAGCAAATAACCAATGAAATAATGGGAGAAAATTTCCCAGAACGTAAGCAACAATTTGTAGATTGAAAGGGAACACTGAGTGCCCACTGTGAAGTTATGAGTTTAAGAAGACTCAAATTGTACACATATAATGGAAGCGTCCAGAGAGAGAAAACTGGCCAGCCTATAAAATATCAAGGATCAAGTTGGCATCAGAGTCTTCTGGTAACACGCAAGAGGATGATAAAGTAACATATTCAGAGTTCTGAAATAGCATAGTCCAGAACCTAAGAGTCTGTACCCACAGAAGCTATCCCTTAGATATCAAAGGCAAATGAAGACATTTTTCAGGTGTGCAGGAACTCAGTTTCTCATTCATAATCCCTATTTTATAGAATTATCAAGGGATGTTGTCCAGAAAAATGAAAGGGGGGGATCAAAAAGAATAGATGAGCAAAAAAACAGAAAATGCATTAGGTCAGTAACCCTCTGGAAAGTGAGCAGCTGCACGCTCTCAACAGCAGTGACATCACTAGACGCAGGTAGAAACAGCCACCCAGAAGTTCTCATTCACACTGTGCTCTGATATCCATTGCAGTTGTCACCAGAAATCCAGTCCTCCAGATCATGCTCATCTTTAAGATGCTCATCTGTACTCTGCCCTGAACATTCCCTGAATGGACCCCTCTCCAACCCCTCCCTATCCTCTGCTTCTGTGTACACACTAGAACCCATTGGTTCCTTTCAGTCTCTGCTTCCTTGATGAATGATCCCTTTATCTTCTTGCCTTTTCTGAAATGGCCCAGTGGTCCCCTGGAAACACTGCCACCTGCAGCAACCTCAGGCAGAGGCTCTTTTTCCCCCCCATGCTTCACATTCCCCAAGAGTGAGAGGTGAAGTAAATGTCTCTTTTGTAACCCATCATTGCTTCCAAATTCTCCCTGTCTCCTGGATTTGCCATTGAGTTCAGTGGAAGTACAAAAGTATCCAAGCTAAGAAGGGTAAGAGGAAATGAACAGAGAGCAGAACCTTTGAAGTAAAAGTTGCAGCAGTTTCATTGGGTATGAGAGAATGCCGTGTGAATAAGTGGCTGAGCTGGGTGAAAGACAAAGTTGATTGGCTCTGAGAAGGTTGAAAAAATTGAGGCCAGGTTTGGATCATCTGTGGATACTGAAGTCACTTGAAAGAGAGGAAAAGGGAAAACGAGCAAACTCCTCCCAAGTGCTGAAGTCGTTGGTCAATGATATGGTTTGGATTAGTGCCCCGCCCAAATCTCTTGTCCAATTATAATCCCCAGCATTGGAGGAGGGGCCCGGTGGGAGGTGATTGGATCATGGGCATGGACTTCCCCCTTGCTGTTTTCGTGATAGTGAGTTCTCATGAGATTTGGTTGTTTAAAAGTGTGTGGCACCTCCCACTTCTGTCTCTTCCTCCTGCGCCACCCATGTAAGACGTGCTTGCCTCCCCTTCCCGCCATGATTGAAAGTTTCTTGAGGCCTTCCCAGCCATGCTTTCTGTACAACCTGTGGAACCATGAGGCAATTAAACTTCTTTTTTGTATAAATTATCCAGTCTCTGGTAGTTCTTGATACCAGTGTGAGAACGGACTAATACAGTCAGTGACAGGGGATTGAGTGACTGGAGAGGTTAGTTGTGGCAGCAATAAGGAGGGGCAAAGGTCAGTAAAGCCTAATGGCCTGCGCCTCAAAGTAGCTCTGTGTTTGGCTAAGAAAAGAGGAGGGAGAGTTTGGAAGCAGCGACTCCACCATCCTTCCAGTGCCAGTACCCATGGATCTTGCCTGCCTTGTGGTACTGCCTGTGGCCGCTGCTCCACCTTTGTGCCGGGCCTCGCTCCCTCTCCCAGTGTCATCATTCCTGCACTTAGTCCCTCTCACATTGCTGTCTTCTCCCTTTCAGCTGGATCATTCGCATCAGCGAGCAGAGTAGTACCTGCCTTAGTAGGAAGTTCATTTTAACTGAGACAACATCCTTCAAAGGCTTAGAACAATGATACATTCATAATTTTTTTTAAAAACTTGTGCATGGCAGAGACCGCCATAAACAAAGACAGCAAACCAGGAGAAAACTATTTGCAACTCAGAGCCAAACAAGGTGCAGATTTCCATAAGATCCCCTACAAATCAATAAACATAGCAACTGTCCAGTTTTTAAAGGGCAAGGAACCAACAGCTCGCAAGAAAGGAAATACAAATGGCTCATACATTAGAAAAGATGCTAAATTTTGTTAATAAAGAGACAAATTTAAATGACAAGGAGGTGCCATTTTTCACCATATTGGTAGAAATCCTAAAATAACACTTTTGACAAGGGTGTGGCTATCCATGTTTGTAGTAGCACAGGATTGCCATTGGCAGTCCAGCAGTAACCACTGTTGAATAAATTATGGTTCTTCCCTACAATGGAATAACATACAGCTTTAACAGAATGAGGACATGTTTTGTGTGCTGATCGGGAATGATCCCTGAAATACATGGTAGATAATTGAAAAAGCTAGGAGCAGAATAGTGAAGGGGCATACAGCCATTTAAGTTGTTAAAGAGGGGTATATGCATTGTTTGTATGTGCAGGAAAGGAAGAAGTGGAGGGTCTTCTCCCGGCTAAAGCCAAACTCTCTTTTCTGTTTCTGACCAGATTGTGCTCAGGATCACTGCCCGTTCTTGCTGCTTACAATGTTCTTGCTCCCTACCTCTCATCACTGAGCTCTCAACTGTCCCTTCTCAGAGAGGCCTCCCCAGGCACTCTAGCTGCAGCCCAACTTCCCTGCCCCCTTAACTCCTGTGCCTGCCAGGATCTAGCATCTTCACACAGGCTCCTGTGCTACCTATCTGCACCACAAGCATTTGGCTCCTTGAGGGCAGTGTCTTGTTCTCTGCTCTATTTCCACCTCCTAGAACAATGTCTGTCTGGCTGAGAGAAAGTGCTCAGTGTTTGCTTAATAACAACTAAAATCCTAAGTGATACTGATTCTGATGATGATAGTAGGAAAGAAGAAAAGGGCAGAGGGGCAGCTGCAATTTTTTTCCCCACTTATTTGGGGGAGGCTTATATTAATTTCATTTAGATTATTTTCATCCCCTTCTAATTGTCTTCCCCCCAATTCTGTCATTTTGAAGTCAGTCATCTATTTTTTGTGTTAGGTCGAACCGCTACTATATCCTTGGTATTTTTTACTCTTGCTTGCAGAGCTTTATTTCCAGACACAAATGTAAGCTAAATACATGGAGATTTGGTCAGGCGCGGTGGCTCACACCTGTAATCCCAGCACTTTGGGAGGCCGAGGCGGGCGGATCACAAGGTCAGGAGATCGAGACCATCCTGGCTAACACGGTGAAACCCCGTCTCTGCTAAAAACACAAAAAATTATCCGGGCATGGTGGCGGGCGCCTGTAGTCCCAGCTACTCGGGAGGCTGAGGCAGGAGAATGGCGTGAACCCGGGAGGCGGAGCTTGCAGTGAGCCGAGATCGTGCCACTGCACTCCAGCCTGGGCAACAGAGCAAGACTCCGTCTAAAAAAAAAAAAAAAAAAAAATGGAGATTTGTCAAAAGTGCTTATAGATAAAGTAGGAAATCAGTTGAAGGGGAGATAGTCTGTGAACTGTTAATGATTGTATATGCAGAGAATCTCTCCGGATGGACACATAAGAAACTGGTAACAGTGGTTGCCTTGGAGAAAAAATAATTTGGTGGGAAGGGAAAAGGGTGGGAGATTTTTTTCAGTGTGTCCTTTTTTGATCATTTTGAATTTTGACCACGAACATAAGCCAAATAAAGGTTTAAGTTATTTTTCCCCCTAAGGGCAAAGGGGCACTGACAAGACATCTAACAAGTTACTATGTCATATTCTAATAGCCCAAACACGTAATTGTAAATCAAGATACCTCAGGGCGTTTGAAGCCCAACCAGGGGGGAACTTACCACATTTATGAGCTGGTAAGACCAGCCTGAAATAGAATGATCACAGGATTAGGTAGGTCCGTGGACTGTAACCCACATGAAGAATAATTTTAGGGGTACATGAGCCATATCTCAGCTTCCACACACATGCCCTTAGTCTATCAGTTGACCTACTGAATAGATGTTTTGCTTTGTCTCCAGACTTTTCTTTTTTTCTTTTCTTTTTTTTTTTTGAGGCAGAGTGTCTCGCTTTGTCGCCCAGGCTGGAATGCAGTGGCATGATCTCAGCTCACTGCAACCTCCACCTCCGGGGTTCAAACGATTCTTGTGCCTCAGCCTCCCAAGTAGCGGGGATTACAGGCATGCACCACCACACCTGGCTAATTTTTGTGTTTTTAGTAGAGACTGGGTTTTGCCATGTTGGCCAGGTTGGTCCTGAACTCCTCACCTCCAGTTATCCGCCTGCGTCAGCCTCCCAAAGTGCTGCAATTACAGATGTGAGCCACTGCACCTGGCTTCTAGATTTCAATTTCATAAGGTTTAGCTTGTGCTTTGGTTTCTTCGTAAGCCTTGTCTTGACAGATTTCAACATGAATAGTAAAAGAGGGGCAAGAGACTTATGCCTAAGTCACCCTTCTCTCTTCCTCCCTCCTTTATAGAAACCTCCTCCACCCTCTGCGCTGCCTCCAGCTGATGGCTTCTGCTTAGCTCTAGGTCAGCTGGCCATCTAGTAGCCTATTTCTGGGGCTTGTATCCCAGGAAAGTGCAGATGTTCTCTAGAGCACTTCGGGCTGGCCGGATTGTCTCGACAGGTGGGACTGCCGTACAGTTTTATCCTCATTACCATCGTCTTTCCCGGTCCTTTTTACCCGTCTGTTGTTTTAAAGGGTTTTGTTGGGATTAATTCATTACAGAAGGGGAAAAAAGAAGCAAACGTTTGCTTAGCTGCAGGGTTAGGGTTAGGGTTAGGGTTAGGGTTAGGGTTAGGGTGCTGCGAGGAGGAGGCAAGTCAAGTCTTGGATGTGTGAGAGTGGGTGGGGCTGGCAATGATTGGCCCTTGAAGATGATCTTGAGGTAGCTGGTATTTCCATACCTCTGTTGCACAGAGGCTCTGGCAGAACATTCATGATTAATAATGCTCACAGCCTCTCACAGAGTTAAATTGGTCTCTCTGTGTCTCAGTCACTGAAGTAGAAAATGTGAAGGATTGATTTATCCAGGGTGGGGGCAGCCCAGAAGTCTTGGCATCTTCACGCCTTGCTCTAACCACCATAACTTCCTTCCTTATTTTTGAATCGCTTGTGGAGAGAGCAAAAAAAGTAATGGGCTGTCTTAAAAACCAGAATGTGGTATGAAAGGCTTTAAAGACTTCCTTTCTTCATCTTTTTTTACTTCCCTCTATTTCAAAAAAACAGTAACAACTTTCTGGTTTGATGACAGTCTGTGGCATTTCAGGACTTCCCTTCCTAATTCTCATTTGACAGAGCCATTTCCTGGGATCACCGTTGGCTCAGCAGAACAGCATATATCTGAAAGGGGCATCCATCAAATATTTTTGTCTTTTAAAATTTAGCCTGCAATAAGTATAATGGTTCTACATTTGCTAAGATAGAGAATTGGCTTCTAAAAGCAAATAAAGAAGAAATGCTGATCATTTTCTTTCTTCAAATCTGTGACATTACTACTTTTTTCCTTTTTTGTTGACTTAGTAGCCATGCAAATAATCCTCCTTCTGCCCATCGAAAGATGTCATTAAGAACATGAATAGGCTGGGTGTGGTGGCTCATGCCTGTAATCCCAGCACTTTGGGAGGCCGAGGCGGGCGGATCACGAGGTGAGGAGATCGAGACCATCCTGGCTAACACGGTGAAACCCCGTCTCTACTAAAAATACAAAAAATTAG
The DNA here is from genome assembly GCF_000001405.40 of Homo sapiens. Classification (NCBI taxonomy): domain Eukaryota; kingdom Metazoa; phylum Chordata; class Mammalia; order Primates; family Hominidae; genus Homo; species Homo sapiens. The sequence continues at coordinate 75,333,286 of NC_000016.10, read as the reverse complement.
CCAGGCGTGGCGGCGTGCGCCTGTAGTCCCAGCTACTCGAGAGGCTGAGGCAGGAGAATGGCGTGAACCTGGGAGGCAGAGCTTGCAGTGAGCTGAGATCGCGCCACTGCACTCCAGCCTGGGCGACAGAGCGAGACTCCATCTCAAAAAAAAAAAAAAAAAAAGAACATGAGTAGGCTGGCTGGGCGCAGTGGCTCACGCCTGTAATCCCAGCACTTTGGGAGGCCGAAGCAGGCAGATCACCTGAGGTTAGGAGTTCGAGACCAGCCTGGCTAACATGGTGAAACCCCATCTCTACTGAAAATACAAAAATTAGCCGGGCATGGTGGCAGGGCCCTGTAATCCTAGCTATTCCAGAGACTGAGGCAGGAGAATCACTTGAACCTGGGAGGCGGAGGTTGCAGTGAGCTGGGATCGCGCCACTGTACTCCAGCCTGGGTGACAGAACGAGACTCTGTCTCAAAAAAAAAAAAGGAAAAAAAAAAAAAGAACATGAATAGGCAAGCCACAGACAGAAAAAAATTGTAAAATATATATCTGAAATATGTTTTTATATATAAATATATATAGAACTGACTATATAAAAAATATAGACAACTCTTTTTTTCTCCTTCCCCAAGACAGGGTTTTCTTGCTCTGTTGCCCAGGCTGTGGTGTAGTGGTGCAATCATGGTTCACTGCAGCCTCAACCTCTCGGGCTTAAAGGATACTCCCACTTCAGCCTCCCAAGTAGCTGGGACCACAAACAAGCACCACCACATCGAGCTACTGTATTTTATTTTTTATTTTATTTTATTTTATTTTATTTTACTTTTTATTTTTGTAATGGAGTCTCACTCTGTCACCCAGGCTGGAGTGCAGTGGCACAATCTCTGCTCACTGCAACTTCCACCTCTCAGGCTCAAGTGATTCTCCTGCCTCAGCCTCCTGAGTAGCTGGGATTATAGGTGCGTGCCACTACAGCGTGCTAATTTTTGTATTTTTAGTAGAGATGGGGTTTCACCATATTGTCCAGGCGGGTCTCGAACTCCTGACCTCAGGTGATCCGCCCACCTCGGCCTCCCAAAGTGCTGGGATTACAGGCGTGAGCCACCGCACCTGGCCTAATTTTATTTTTCGTAGAGGGTGGGGTCTGTCTGAACTCAGTTTTCTAAATGGCAAAAAAATTGACAGACATTTCACAAAGGAAGATAGAAGCGCATGAAAAGTGTTCATCATCTTAGACAATAGGGAAATGCAAATTAAAATCATAGTAAATCTCAGTTTATACTCCTGAAAAGACTAAAATGAAACAGACTGAGTAACAACAAATATTGGTGAGAATATGGAGCAGCCAGAACCTCTTAAAACATACATAGCTGATGGTAGGACTATAACGTGTGAGAGTTCTTAACTTTGGAGAACTGTTTGGCATTAAAGTTAAATATACGCCCACTCTATGACCCAGCAATTCTAAGTTTTCATCCAAAAGAAATGAAAACATCTCTACAAAAGCTATACAAGCCTGATAGTGTAAAACTGGAAACAACCAGGTGTCCATCGATAGGAGAATGGATAAACAAAGTGTGGCAATAACAAGGAACACACAACATGGATGAACTCAAAAACATTGTGCTGCATGAAAGAAACCAGACACAAAAGAAAAAAATAACGTATTATTCCATCTACATAAAGTTCAAAACAAGGTAGAACTTATCTGTGATTATAAAAATCAGAATAGTCGTTGCTGGAGGGTGGGGAATTGACTGGGAAGGGAACTTCTGTGATGGTGGAAATGTTCTATATTTTGACTGTGGGTATGAGTTACATAGGGGTATACATTTGCCAAAACTGATGGGAGATAAATAGTACCTTTAATCTGTGCATTTCAGGCTGGGCATAGTGGTTTACGCCTGTAATCCCAGCACTTTGGGAGGCCGAGGTGAGAGGTTTGCTTGAGCCCAGGAATTTGAGACCAGCCTGGGCAACATAGCAAGACTCTGTCTCTACAAAAATAAAAATCAAAATTTTAAAAAATCTGTGCATTTCACTGTATGTAAGTTTTGATGCCAAGTAAAGGGAGGAGAGGACCCTGGGAAAGATGAAAATGACTGAGCCATTGGCTGCTCATCCTTCTCCCCTGCTGTCATTGCACGAATTCTGATGTGGAGAGAGGGACACAAACTGCATTTGGCCCCCACTGGAACAGGGCAGGTGCAGAGGCAAGCAGAGCCTTGTGGCAGAGGAGGCCTGTCCTGAATAGCTGTGAAATAAGTCCCATTGCCCATTGAGGTAGCCCTGGTGAATAAGGCCCACTTTGTGTTTTTTTTTTTTTTTTTTTTTTTAATAATTGGAATTTGCTTCATTTTATCATAAGGACTGGCCTGTCTGCCTCAGAGGCAGCCTTCAGAATAATAGCAAATTGTGCTACTTGGACTCAGTGTACTTGGGGATGTACAATGGAACTTGATAATTAGTAAAATGAAAGACATTCTCATCTTACAAGACTTGTAAACTCTTTATAGTCTACTTAGCATACAGAATTACCAAGAAATAAATATGATTCTGCATAGCTTTTCCAATGGAAAAGAGCAATAAATTGAGTGTTTTTTCCTAAGGAAGAGAATTCAAAACCAGCTGTAGAAGAAAGACCTCTCCATCCTGGCCTTACCTCTGTCCTGAAGCCAAACTTTCATCATTTGTTTTTGTTTTTGTTTCGAGATGGAGTTTCACTCTTGTTGCCCAGGCTGGAGTGCACTGGTGCTATCTTGGCTCACTGCAACCTGCACCTTTGGGGTTCAAGTGATTCTCCTGCCTCAGCCTCCCTAGTAACTGGGATTACAGGCATGCGCCACCACGCCTGGCTAATTTTTTTGTATTTTTAGTAGAGATGGGGTTTCACCGTGTTGGTCAGGCTGGTCTTGAACTCCTGACCTCAAGTGATCCACCTGCCTTGGCCTCCCAAAGTGTTGGGATAATACACGTGAGCCACTGTCCCAGGCTTATCATTATTTTTGAAAACTAGCCTCAGGCTGTCTTAATGACTAGGTCCAGCTGACCTAAATTGAGTCCACAGCCTTGCCCATTTCAGTTTATCTCCAAGCCATAATGTGTGGATAATTACTGAAGTAGTCATGTGGGTCATTGAGGAATATCAGGAGCTTTCGCTACAGCAGTGGCCTTCAACCCTTAGTGCGCTGCTAGTGAAATGCAAATATTGGGACTCTGTTCCCTGAGAATCTTGGGGTCAGGGAAGTAACCCTAGAGTTTGCATTTCTAATAACCTCTGGGGATTCTAAAGCACGTGGTTCTTAGCACTGAAAAACACTAAAAAATATAACAGGTGTTTGAGGGAGGAGGAGGAAAGAGGAATTCATTCTTGGTATTTATCAGGCACTGTCAGGGGCCATAGCTCCCCAAGAACAGGAACCATGCTTACTCTTCTGTATCCCTAGCATCAGCATGGTTGCTAGCACTGAGTAAGAATGTAAGACATTTTGAGTGGATAAATTCATTAAAACAAATTGATAAATGACCTATACATAGGGTGCTATCAAATACAACTCTCTTCAGGTACTTTGATGTTATAAAAAGGATTGCACATGTAGACAGTCTTTATTAGGAATAAACAAGAAACATGTTAAGTGACAACAGTAGCAGAGATAAAACAGCACATGTTCAAAATTAGGAAAGCCAATGAGGCAGGAGGATTGCTTGAGCTCAGGTGTTCAAGGCTGCCATGAGTTATGATCATGCCACTGCACTCCAGCCTGATTACAGTGAGACCTTGTCTCTTAAAAAAAGAAGCAGTAGCAGCCAAGAGACTAAGATCAATTAAGCCAAACTGGTTATCACGGATTTTTTTTTTAACATCAAAGTCACACGGATGCATAATTTGAAAAGTCAGAATGTACTGTACAATTGCCTGACTCAGTCCTGGGTCCACTTGCCAGGGGCAATCACTTTAAACTCTTAGCTGTTTCTTTTGGTATTTTTGTCCATATTGTAAAATTCTGTGCTTGGGCTGATCGTGGTGGTTCATGCCTGTAATCCTAGCACTTTGAGAGGCCAGTGCAGGCAGATCACCTGAGGTCAGGAGTTCAAGACCAGCCCGGCCAACATGGGGAAACCCTGTCTCCACTAAAAATACAAAAGTTGGCCGGGCACAGTGGCTCTCATGCCTGTAATCCCAGCACTTTAGGAGGCCGAGGCGGGCAGATCACCTGAGGTCAGGAGTTCGAGACCAGCCTGACCAACATGGAGAAACCCCGTCTCTACTAAAAATACAAAAAAATTAGCCAGGCATGGTGGCGCATGCCTGTAGTCCCAGCTGCTCGGGAGGCCGAGGCAGGAGAATCTCATGAACCCAGGAGGTGGAGGTTCCAGTGAGCCAAGGTTGTGCTGTGGCATTCCAGCCTGGGCAACAAGAGCAAAACTCCATCTCAAAAAAAAAAAAAAAAAATTCGCTGAGCATGGTGGCATGTGCCTGTAATCCCAGCTACTCGGGAGGCTGAGGCAGGAGAATTGCTTGAACCCAGGAAGCAGAGGTTGCATTGAGCCAAGATCACACCACTGTACTCCAGCCTGGGTGACAGAGTGAGAGTTCATCTCAAAAAAAAAAAATTATGCTTATTATACTGCTATTTCTTTATTTATCAGTATTTATTGACTTCCTCCACTCTAGTTTTTTTTTTTTTTTTTTTTTTTTAAGACAGAGTTTCATTCTTGTCGCCCAGGCTGGAGTGCAATGGCATGATCTTGGCTCACTGCGCCCTCCGCCTCCCGGGTTCAAGCGATTCTCCTGCTTCAGCCTCCCGAAGTAGCTGGGATTACAGGCGCCTGCCACCACACCCAGCTATTTTTTTTCTTTTTTTTTTGTATTTTTCGATGAGACGGGGTTTCACCATGTTGGCCAGGCTGGTCTCGAACTCCTGACCTCAGGTGATCCACCTGCCTCGGCCTCCCAAAGTGCCAGGATTGCAGGCATGAGCCACCATGCCCGGCCATCGCTCTAGCTTTTAAAACATACTAATTCCTGGCTCACGCCTATAATCCCAGTGCTTTGGGAGGTCAAGGCAGGAGGATTGCCTGAGGCCAGGAGTTTGAGACCAGCCTGGGCAACATAGTGAGACCTCTGTCTCTTAAAAAAAAAAAAAAAAAAAATCAAGTACCAATTCCTGTTTTAGAAGAGGATTTAACACTCTCATACCACCTCCTGCCCCTCAACATCCCAGTTCTCTTTCCATTCTTCCAGTTCTATTACATTATAATTTGGTGTTGCCGGGTGCTGTGGCATACGCCTGTAATCCCAGCACTTTGGGAGGCCGAGGCAGGCGGATCACCTGAGGTCAGGAGTTCGAGACCAGCCTGGCCAACATGGTGACGCCCCATCTCTACTAAAAATACACGCAAAAAAATTAGCCAGGTGTGGTGGCGGGTACCTGTAATCCCAGCTATTCGGGAGGCTGAGGCAGGAGAATCGCTTGAACCCTAAAAGTAGAGCTTGCAGTGAGCCAAGAACGCGCCATTGCACTCCAGCCTGGGCGACAAGAGTCAAACACTGTCTCAAAATAATAATAATAATAATTTGGCGTTGACCTGATTATCCAGTATTGTTCACTACTGAGCCATGGCATGGACTATTTTTATTTTCCCTTTCATGTATATGTGTGTATATTTGATTGGCTGGATGGTTTTCTGTCCCCATCACAATTTTTTTTCCCAAACTCTTCAACAAAGCCATAAAATCCTTCTGAATACTCTTTCTACCATACTTTATATTCTACTATAGTCTATACTATTCTACTGTATTCTATAATTTGTCAGTCCCATCCTTCACCTTCTGTCCCCTTCCCCCATTCCCCGTAACATCCCTCTGGGGCCTTCCATTCTCCTGCACAAGTCTGGGCTCTTTGTTCTCTTTGCTTTCTGTGCAGCTCTTGTTCTGGGACTGCCTTTTCTTCCTCTTTGTGGAACTCTGTTTCTTGGATTCCATGTCTTCCAGGTTTATTCCCCTGGTTTTTTGTTTCGTTTTGTTTTTTGAGACAGAGTCTTGCACTGTCGTCCAGGCTGGAGTGCAGTGGCTCTATCTTGGCTCACTGCAAGCTCTGCCTCCCGGGTTCACGCTATTCTCCTGCCTCAGCCTCCCGAATAGCTGGAACTACAGGCGTCCGCCACCACGCCCAGCTATTTTTTGTATTTTTAGTAGAGACAGGGTTTCACCGTGTGCCAGGATGGTCTCGATCTCCTGACCTCATGATCCGCCCGCCTCGGCCTCCCAAAGTGCTGGGATTACAGGCGTCAGCCACTGCGCCCGGCCTATTCCCGTTTTGATAGAACTCATCCTCTAATAACTTCCTCAGGAAAAGGTTTATGGGAGCTAAATTTTTGAAACTTTGCATGTCTGAAAATGACTTTTTTCTCCCTTCACATGTTATTTGTGGTTTTCTGGGTATAACGTTATAGGTGAAAGATGCTTTCCCTTCAGAATTGTGAGGCCATTGCTTCACCGTCAGTCTTCTAGCTTCTAGTGTTGAGAAATCTGAAGCCATTTGGATGTCTTGAATCTGTATATATGACCACATTTTACCGCTCTCCTTGGAAGATTTTAGGCTCTTCTTTTTATCCCTGACGTTCTTACCAGGCACCACGGTCCCCAGCAGTAAGAAGCACCAGTTCCTTTTTGTGTCTTTTTCTAGCTGTTGTTAGCCACCTTACCTGTTCACTGTGCTCCCCAGCTCAGACCACTGAACGAGAGAGGAAGTTTGTGTCTGCATAATTCTCTTACCTTGCCATGGCAGGATGTGAGAGCTTTAGGGAGTGGCCATCTTTTCTGCAGCTTAGCTTGCTGCCTGTAGCAAATTTGTACACCTAAATTAATTCTTTCTGGCAGATTCTGACGAGGAGTTGTTCAGTTGACTGAGTATTGAGTGAGATAATTGCTCCAATTATGTCCATTCAGTGTTGGTTTTTAGCTTCCAGAGTGGACTAAGGCGTTGCTCCTGGCTCATAACGTAGTAGTGTACATGACTTTAAAACTAGCCCTCCAAAACCAAACAAACAAAAGCAACCCGGCTGCAGTGTCGCCAGTGTCAAGGGGAAAAACTCATTTGGCACACAAAAGTCTTTCATTAGGTCCCCTGACTTGGTTGTTATAGAGCTTCATTTTCACATAAAATGACTCCAATATCACTTTTCCACAAAATTCTGTTTTCATGGACCAAAAAACAAAGAGCAAAGAAAAAATTTATCCAGACTTCTCCTTAATTCTGTCCCTTATTTGTTTGTCAACTAAGATATCTTAAACCCTGTACCTCAGATTAATGACAAGATTATTGAACGTTCTGCAGGCTCTCATGAGAGGTGCCTAAGCCAGCCTAGGACAATTTCCAGGCTATTGACAGCCATTCAAGAATGTCTGTTGCAATTAATAAATGGTTCCCTGTGCTTGCTCTGAAGTACTTAGTTCCCCTGTAGAAAACCTAGCTAGCTTGAGTAGCAACTAAGAGGTTAGCCAATGCAGAGTTGTTACTTTAATCAGTATCACTTCACTGGGATTTATAATGTATGACATTGATATGGTTTCCCAAGATCCATACATTCTTTCAACAAATATTTTTTGAGTGCCTACCAAGTGCCAGGCACCCTGCCGGGTGCTTAGGTTATATCAGTGAACAAAATAGACATTCGTTCCAGCCCTTGTGGAGTTTCCACTACAGCAGAGAAATAGACAGTAAAAGAATAAACATAACAAATAAATTATGGGATACATTAGAAAATGCTAAGTGTGATAGAGAAAAGACAATCAGAGGAAGGGAGGAGGACCAGGTATGTGGGATGAAGAGGAAGCTTGCAGTATTAAATAGGATGATCAGCATAAGCCTCATTGAGAAATGGAGATTTGACCAGACTTGAAAGAGGTCAGGAAGTTAGTCAAGGGGATAACTGGGCACAGTCGTTGGGCAGAAGGAATAGCTTGAGGCAAGGCCTCTAAGGTAGATGCATGCCTGAAGGGGACTATACAAGGGGCTGTGCTAGGAGAGGAAGTCTGGGAGGTAAGGACTGGACAGATGTTGTCCCCCACAACTAAGATGTGCAAGGCTATAGGCAGAGCAGACTAGGGCCCTCAAGGCTGTTGGGTATATAAAGCTGGAGTTAGAGTCTGGGCTGAAGGTAAGACATTTGGGGGTCATAGGCATACAAATAGTATTTAAGCCTTGGGACTGGATGCAGTCACCCAAAGAGTGGGTATAGATGGAGAAAAGTCCAAGGACTTTCCATGCTAGAAGACTCCCATATGCCATCAAAGAAGCTCAAATTAACAATCAGACAATTCCAAAGAGCAGGCCATTCTACAGGTAAGGGGACTGTTCTAAATTAAAGGAGACCAACGTTTCTTGGCTTGAAATTTCTCAAAATCAAAAGTTTGTGGGGAAAGAAACCGCCAAAATTTAAAATACACTTTGCTGCCAAAGATGACTTAGCCTCGAAAAAAGAACAAGCAACTTCTGAGTCCCAGCTCCACTAATCTTTCCTAGCAGCAGCAATTTTTTTTTTTTTTTTTTTAAGACAAAGTCTCACTCTGTAGCCCAGGCTGGAGTGCAATGGTGTGATCTCGACTCACTGCAACCTCCACCTCCCAGGTTCAAGTGATTCTCCTGCCTCAGACTCCCGAGTAGCTGAGATTACCAGGAGCCTGCCACCACTCCCGGCTAATTTTTGTATTTTTAGTAGAGACGGAGTTTCACCATGTTGGCCAGGCTGGTCTCAAACTCCTGACCTCAGGTGACCCACCTACCTCGACCTCCTAAAGTTCCGGGATTACAGGCATGAGCCACCGCGCCCAGCCAGCAACAACAATTTTTAAAATTTCTTTCTGGATTCTAGAGTGAGTTTTTTTCATAACACAAGAGGATAAGAGTGAGGACAACAGGAGGTATTGATGATCTGCTGTGCACCAGGCATTATGCTAAGTGCATTCACACACATCTCAGTGCCTGTTGCCTCGTTGTGGACTTCTCTATCCCAGCTCGTCCCCCTGGCAAATTCTTTCTCATCCTTCAACTCTCAGACACCTCCCCCACCCTCTCTATAGCTTTCCCCATCTCAGACTCTTATGCTCTACTGCACTTCCTGTGTAATGGTTTTCTCCTAATGTAATTGCTTGTTTGTGTATCTTTATCTTGTGAATAAATTAAATGAGGGTAAGAAATCTGTCTATCTCCAGTGGCCAAAAAAGAGTCTGGCACACTGAAGGCACTCAACGATAAGGGCTGAGTTGATGAATATCTCATTTAATCATTACCCTGCAAGGTAGTTCTTATTATCTTCATTTTACTAATTGGTTACTTACTTGAGACTCAGAGAAATTAACTTGCCCAGAGTAAAAATAAATACAGTCACACACCACTCGTGTGTTCACAGTGATGCTGGTGTAAACAAACCTACCATGCTGCCAGTCATATAAAAGAGAATAAACAGCTATGTTACTGTTTTATGTATGTATAGTATACTTTTTTTTTTTTTTTTGAGACAGAGCTTCGCTCTTGTTGCCCAGGCTGGAGTGCAATGGCACGATCTCGGCTCACTGCAACCTCTACCTCCTGGATTCAAGCAGTTCTCCTGCCTCAGCCTCTGGAGTAGCTGGGATTACAGGCACGCTCCACCAGGCCCGGCAAATTTGTATTTTCAGTAGAGATCGGGTTTCACCATGTTAGTCAGGCTGGTCTTGAACTCCTGGCCTCAGGTGATCCACCTGCCTCGGCCTTCACAAGTGCTGGGATTACAGGCGTGAGCCACTGTACCCAGCCCTATAGTATACTTTAAATTGTTATTTTAGAGTGTATTCCTTCTACTTGTTAAAAAAAAAAAAAAAGTTAAGTAAAACAGCCTCAGGCAGGTCCTTCAGGAAGGATTCCATAAGAAAGCATTGTTGTCATAGGAGATGGCAGCTCCAGACACGTTGCTCTTGAAGACTTTCCAATGGGACAAAATAAGGAAGTCAAAGACAGTGATATTGATGATCCTGACCCTGTGTAGGCCTGGACTAATGTGTGTGTTTGTCTTAGTTTTTTTTTTTTTAACGTTAAAAAGTAAAAACAGTGAAAACATTTTAAAATAGAAAAAAACCTTACAGAAACAGGGTATAAAGAAAGTTTTTCTACAGCTGTGCTATGTTTTAAGCTAAGCATTACTAAAAAACAGTCAAAAAGTTTTAAAAGATTAAAAAGTTTATAAAGTTACAGTAAGCTAAGGTTAAATTTTTATTGAAGAAAAAAAAATTTTCTAAATAAATGTATTGTAGCCTAAGTGTACAGTGGTTATAAAATCCACAGTAGTGTGCAGTAATGTCCTTGGCCGTCACATTCACTCACCACTCACTCACTGACTCACCCAGAGCAACTTCCAGTCCTGCGGGTTCCACCATTCATGGTAAACTTCCTATACAGCTGTACCTTTTTTTATCTTTTATACACAGGTTAAGTATCCCTTACCCAAAATGCATGGGACCAGAAGTGTTTCCGATTTGGGATTTTTTTTTTTTTTAATATTTGTATTCTACTTAGTGGTTGAGCACCCCAAATCTGGAAATTCAAAATTCGAAATGCTCCTTTGAGTGTCATGTCAGTGCTCAAAATATTTTGGATTTTGGAACATTTTAGATTTCAGATTTTTGGGTTTAGGATGCTCAACTGTACCATATTTTTACTGTACCTTTTCTAGGTCTAGATGTGTTTAGACATAGATGCTTACCATTCTGTTACAGTTGCCTACAGTACTTAGTACAGTAACATGCTATACAGATTTGTAGCCTAGGAGCAATAAACTTTACCACACAATGTAAGCCTGTAGTAGGCTATACTATCTAGGTTTGTGTAAGTACACTCTGTGATGTTGGGCACAACAATGAAATCACCTAACACATTTCTCAGAACATAAGCAACACATGACTATAAATAAAAATTTATTAAGTGGGAGGGACAGGTTTCTACACTGACTGCAAAGCCACTGTACCCAAGTGCTTTAAAAACACAGATCCGAAATAGTGTTGGTGATATCTGGGACTTCACTTTACAAGCAATGCCCAGATATTCTAATATTCCTGTGTAAAGACTAGATTTCTGATTCTTCTTACAAAATGTATGCATGACCATCATGTAGAAAACAAATTAGGAAAGTTTAATAGGCTGGGCGCGGTGGCTCACGCCTGTAACCCCAGCACTTTGGGAGGCCGAGGCGGGTGGATCACAAGGTCAGGAGATCGAGACCATCCTGGCTAACACGGTGAAACCCCGTCTCTACTAAAATTACAGAAAAATTAGCCGGGTATGGTGGCGGGCGCCTGTAGTCCCAGCTACTCGGGAGGCTGAGGCAGGAGAATGGCATGAACCTGGGAAGTGGAGCTTGCCGTGAGCCAAGATCGCACGACTGCACTCCAGCCTGGGCGACAAAGCAAGACTTGGTCTCGAAAAAGAAAAAGAAAACAAATTAGGAAAGTTTAAATGTGTTTCCTATAGGAGGCTGTGATAGATACCAACTGAGAGATGTGTTGTTTCTTCTGGATGCTTATATATAATCTTAAATTTATGGTTTAAAGCAGGGGTGTCCAAGGGAGAGAATACAGTCATGAGTTCTTAGTTTCTGTTTCTGGTTGGGCCCATAAAGCCCCTTCCTCACCCCTCTTTTCCGCTTATCACTAGAGGCAGAAACTGAAAAACATGGCTTCAGGCTGGTAAAAGCCCAAAACAAAACAAAACAATAACAGAATAAGGCAGGTTGGACAAGCTTGGTTTAAAGTATTACCTGAGAGATAGGTAAATCTGTTGAGGCAGAAAGTAGATTAGTAGTTGCCAAGAGCTGGTGAGGGGAATGAAGAGTAACTGCTACTGGATATAAGGGGCTTTTTGGCAGGAGTGGCAATTTTCTAAAATGAGATTGTGGTAATGGATATACTAAAAACCACTGAGTTGTACCATTTTAAATAGGTGAAATCTTTAGAATGTGGATTACATCTCAGTAAAGCTATTATAAAAAGTATTAGCCAGGCTGGGCACTGTGGCTCACGCCTGTAATTCCAGCACTTTGGAATGCCGAGGTAGGAGGATCCCTTGAGCCCAGGAGTTCAGGATCAGGCTGAACAACATAGTGAGATCTTGTCTTGTAAAAATAATAATAATAATTTATTAAAATATTAAAGTATTAGCTGTTAGCTGAGCAAGGCATGATGGCGTGTGCCTGTGACTCCCAGCTACTCAGGAAGCTGAGGCAGGAGGTTCACTTGAGCCCAGGAGTTCAAAACCAGCAAGATCCCATCTCTTAAAAAAAAAATACTAGCTGAGAATAAGAAATAGTAAGTCATCAGATTTTCCAGCATTCTTCCAGAGTACAAGTACATTTAGTAGCTTATATTTGGGTTCTTGTTTCTCTTCATTCTTAGAGGGAAACTATTCCTTGGTGTGACTCAGGTCATGTTTTTGGATTTTGTTCTTTTATTTGCATGAGTCCCCCTCATTTCAGTTGTTTAATTCACATGAGACCATCAATGTCCCATATTCTGAGCCCCTTTCCTTCATCTGAACAGTGAGAACAATGAACACACTCATGCAATCCTTGCAGAGTCACCAGCTGAGCCTCACGGTGACTGGAAGGCCATAGCAAAGCCACTCGTCCCCCAGGAGAGGGTGTCAATCACACACTCTCACAGTCTGGGGTGAGGAGCCCTGGGTCAGAGGCCTTGCTCTCACAGCAGGGAGATCGTGATGCCAAGTTTCCCAAAGCAAATGGCTAATACACAGGGAAAAATCAAAGAATGGAAGGGTCTGCCCTACTTTAGTTGATTGCACTTGATTTTTTTCTTTTTTTTTTAACTAGTTTTCCTTCAAACAATCTGTTGGCAGAGCAGCCAACTTTGTTTCAGCAGACCTTCTTCGTTTGCCAGCCAGTTAACGCTAAAGCATCTTTTTCAAACTTTTTGGCCTTCAGTCATAGTTACACGTTTTACATTATGACCCAGTGTGAGTCATGGTCACATAAAAGCGCATGCTCCGAGGGGGTCTCAGAATGCAAAGAAACTGGACTTGTTTAAGGGTTCATACATCTCCTAGCAGTAGGGATGGGATGAACCTTGGAGGACAAACTACATTTCTGAATGAAAAGGCTGTTTTAGCAACCCCTGGCTAGCAGATTAAGGAAAGAAACTCTACTTACCGTTTTCTCTTGCTCTAGAGATGGAGGATGGGAATTCTTTTTGATGGTCAGTGATACCGTGGGTAAAAATCTTCCATTTGTTAAAGAGAAACAATGTTGTGGTTTACAGATGGCTCAGCTGTGGTTAGCCTCTATGAAAACCATTTCCTGCATGCAGTAAAAAGAAAGTTTTCTGCTTTCAGTATCAAACTACGTGGAAACGAATATTTCTTTGTTGAAATCCATTGTATTGCCTTAGCAAAGTGACACTTAGGGCTCATGCTTAAGTAACCCCATTCTTGTGATCACCCTTGTATAGATGATTGCTTCCTAAGGGCTCTTTAAATCCTGGGTTGTGAGGGGTGGCACCACAGGGGGAACGCTGATGATGCCATATCCCAGCTTTGTGAGGAGAAGTGGAAGCTGCCTCTGGAGGAAGAGGGGCAGGTTGGGATCTGAGCCTCATTAAGTTTTCCCATTGATATTAGTAGAATTGTGGCCTCTAGGAGGCCAGAGCTGCTACCCTGGCAACTGAGTGAGCAAACGATGTTGCGGATGCCACTGAGAAAGTAGATTTGGGAGTCAGGACCCTAGCAGGAGCGCTAAGTGCTGAAAAATGACCTTCACCACTTCAGTCTCGTGTAATGCAACGACCATAAAGCACGTTCCCCCCCAACCCCAGATGTAACTTTGAGGTGTCAAGGATCACAGCTGTGTCCAATGTCTATCTCCTCCTCATTTGGAATTTTGCATGCTTATTTAGTAGCAGTTAGAAGTTTGGGGCTGGGCGTGGTGGCTCACACCTGTAATCCCAGCACTTTGGGAGGCCGAGGTAGGTGGATTATAAGGTCAAGAGATCAAGACCATCCTGGCCAACATGGTGAAACCCCATCTCTACTAAAAATACAAAAATTAGCTGGGCATGGTGGCATGTGCCTGTAATCCCAGCTACTCAGGAGTCTGAGGCTGGAGAATCACTTGAACCCGGGAGGCAGAGGTTGCAGTGAGCCGAGATCGCTCCACTGCACTCCAGTCTGGCAACAGAAACTTCATCTCAAAAAAATAAATAAATAAAGTAAGTTTGGTATTGAGAGGGAGTAATTTTGCAAAATGTGTTCGGCTCCTATGAGTTTCATTTAAAGCTATGTGCTTAATGTGCCTTCTCATTTCTAGAAAGGGGCAGGCATGACTTGTTTTAAGAGAGGTGTCTATGATGTAAGGAATTATTTCTGATTTGACTGAGGACACCCCTGTATCCCAAAACTTTAGCCTAGTCTCAACCTGAGAGGTGCCCAAGAATTTAAAATTTATGTTAATATCCTCAGATTTTTTTATGAAGAGACAGAGACATGCATCCCTGGGAGAAAAAAGAAAGCTGAAAGTCTAAAAGCAGGATGCAGATATTTAAGAAAGCATGCCGGCCGGGCGCAGTGGCTCACGCCTGTAATCCCAGCACTTTGGGAGGCCAAGGCGGGCGGATCACAAGGTCAGGAGATCGAGACCATCCTGGCTAACACGGTGAAACCCAGTCTCTACTAAAAATACAAAAATTAGCTAGGCATGGCAGCATGCACCTGTAGTCCCAGCTGCTGGGGAGGCTGAGGCAGGAGAATGGCGTGAACCCAGGAGGCGGAGGTTGCAGTGAGCCGAGACTGTGCCACTGCACTCCAGCCTGGGCGACAGAGTGAGACTTCATCTCAAAAAAAAAAAAAAAGAAAGAAAGAAAGCATGCCAACTCCCTAATCAACAGTCAGCCAAACAACACACCACTGAGGCATATTGATCTTCTGCCCAGTGCTTTGTCCTGTTGACTTAGTTGGCGAGATGTGCTATTTGCCTGGCCATGTTGTCCCTGATGGGAACGATCAGGGGAATGTTCATGAGAGTGTGTGGCTCCAGCCGTCAGACCAGCACAGACCAGTCACAGTCACAGCAGAGCACAGTTCTCCTTGAGAAGGGTCATTGACCTTTTTCTTTTTTTTGTGATACGGAGTCTCACTCTGTCACCCAGGCTGGAGTGCAGTGGCGCGCTGGAGTGCAGTGGCGCGATCTCGGCACACTGCAACCTCTGCCTCCCAAGTTCAAGCAATTCTCCTGCCTCATCCTCCTGAGTAGCTGGGATTACAGGTATGTACCACCATGCTTGGCCAATTTTTTGTATTTTTTTAGTAGAGATGGGGGGTGGGGTCTCACCATGTTGGCCAGACTGGTCTCGAACTCCTGACGTTAGGTAATCTACCCACCTCAGCCTCCCAAAGTGCTGGGATTACAGGGGTGAGCTACCACACCTGGCCAGGTCATTGACTTTTAATGCCAGATGCTGACTCTGCCTCAGCTTTTCTTGGCCTCTGCGGCTGTGACTGGTGGGAGGCCATATGGAACCAGTATCTGGAAAATAAGCTGTGTCTTCCTCTGTTGAGCTCCCAGGGTTCTGCATAAAGTTGTCATTATGGTCTTTGTTAGAAGCTGTATTTAATAATTCCTTTAAAATTGTGTCTCAGAAATGTAAATTGTCTGTTTGTATTGGTCAATAAATTATTCTCCCCAGCTGTGTCTAATCATACAAATTAAAGCAACAGCAGTTCGCACCTCAGGGGCAAAGCATCTCCTCCCCAGGCAGAATCTAGTTTCCATTACACTCAACATTTCCTCCTTGGAGAGCCCCCTGGCCTTCTTTACTCCCACACTGCTGTGAAATGGTGGCGTGTCCTTCTCTGCTTTGCCAGGACTCCCCCACCATGGGAGTGGTTCAAAGAAGGAAATTGCTAGAGCAGAGGCGGGAAGGGCTGCAGCATTATCTCTTTCCCAGGGAGGAGATGAAACCACATTTGAGTGGACAAAGGGGAAGGGAAATTCAGAAGTATCATTTCCTTAGAGGTCTGGCGGCAGGTCAGAAGAGGTTTTCTTTGCTGCTGACTTCGTGTCATTTAACCCTCATGCGTACCAGGCACCAGGCCTTGAGAAGTCTCCACTCATCTAGGCGAGGGCCTCCATGTTGGCCAGAGAGGCCTCTGCCCTCGCCACTTGCCTGTCCAATCTAGGACTTTGCTGAAGATCCCATAGCCTTTTGCCTTTTCTCTAGTTAACTGCTCTTTTACTTTTTATTTTTATTTTTATTTATTTATTTATTATCTTTTTTTGAGACGGAGTTTTCACTCTTGTCGCCCAGGCTGGAGTGCAGTGGTGCGATCTCGCCTCACCACAACCTCTGCCTCCCGGGTTCAAGCGATTCTCCTGCTGAGGCAGTAGGAGTAGCCTCCCGAGTAGCTGGGATTACAGGCATGCGCCTCCACGCCCGGCTAATTTTATATTTTTATTAGAGATGGGGTTTCTCTGTGTTGGTCAGGCTGGTCTCGAACTCCTGACCTCAGGTGATCCGCCCGCCTTGGCCTCCCAAAGTGCTAGGATTACAGGCGTGAGCCACCGCGCCCGGCCTCTTTTACTTTTTAAAGACTTTTTTACAGCTAGAGCTTTACTCTCCTTTGGGGATTTCCTGAATATTTGTATTTTTGTCCTTCAAATAGGACTTTTTTTTTTTTTTTTTTTTTTTTTTAGACAGGGTCTCATCCTGTCAACCCAGGCTGGAGTGCAGTGGCACGATAACAGCTTACTACAGTCTTGAACTCCTAGGCGTAAGCGATCCTCCCTCCCTGGCCTCCCAAAGTGCTTGAATTATAGGCGTGAGCCAGCACACTGCCTGGCCTTTCAAATAGGATTCTTTACTATTAATTCACCCTAGTCTGTCTGTAGACGTAGCCGAAGACGTTATAGAGTGAGGCATAAGAAATAAGAAGCGGTCAACTTTCTGAACTTCCTGAGAGTATTATCTCACATATTATACATGAATTACAAATTAATTACAGAGGGAAAATGTACCTTTACAAGTGAGAGTTCTGGCCGTCACAACCTTACCCAAGGGATCACGCTTGGCATCGCCAGGATGGGCTGACCTGACACTAGTGCCTCTGATGATGGTGCAGTAAGAAGTGCCCAACCTCATCTATTTAGCATCCTCAGCAAAAATATTTAACCTGAATCTAGTCATAGGAAACAGATAAATCCAATGAGCAACATTCTATAGGTCAACCAGACTGGACTCTTAAAAATTAACAAGACACTGAAGACCAAAAATCAAAACAACAAAACCAAAGGCAAGAGACTGCTAGATTACAAGATTAAAGGAGACTAAAGAAACTTTGAAATGTGATGCATTTTGAGAGAGAATGGGGAGCAACTAACGAGGCCATTTTGGGAGGTGTGTTGAAGGAAATTTGAACCTGGACTTTATATTGGACTGTATATTGTGTCATTATATCAATGTTAAATTTCTTGGGTGTATGTTGGAAAGTGTCCTTGGGAGATACATGCTAAAGGTATGTAGAGGTGAAATGATGCAATGGCTCCACACGGCCACAAAAAAGTAAATCTATATATAGAAAGAAAAGTTATATGTGGCAAAATGTTAACAATTGAATCTAAGTGAAGCGTATTTAGATAAATAGTGGTTCTGTTTTCAACTTTTCTTTCAGTTTCACATTTTTCAAACTATAAAGTTGGGGGGATTTTTGCACCAGACCATATTGGAATTCCTCACCAGACCATACTGGAATTCTTGTACATAACCCTTCTGAGTTACCACCTTAAGGTTACAAAAACAAAGAAGAAAAAGCAAGAGTCAGCCTCAAGGTTCATTAATGCCAGCGCCCCATTTCTCGTTATTGAGTATCATCATTATAAATTGCTGTGCTGGGAAACCCTTCTCTTTTTTTTTTTTTTTTTTTTTTTTTTTTTGAGATAGGGTCTCACTCTGTCACCCAGGCTGGTGTGTAGTGGCATGATCTCTGCTCACGGCAACCTCCGCCTCCCGTTCTCAAGCAAACCTCCCACCTCAGCCCCCAAGTAGCTGGGACTACAGGCACACACCGTCACACCCGGCAAATTTTTTGTAGAGACGGGGTTTTGCCATGTCGCCCAGGCTGAAGCCTTTCTTTAGGTTGGCCAAATGATGGCCCAATTATGTGATGCTTTTGTGAATCCAGGAAACACATTTTTCCTTTAATAATATTTTCCTGGCCAGGTATGGTGGC
The DNA here is from genome assembly GCF_000001405.40 of Homo sapiens. NCBI lineage: Eukaryota > Metazoa > Chordata > Mammalia > Primates > Hominidae > Homo > Homo sapiens. Next base: position 75,315,035 of record NC_000016.10, on the reverse strand, counting down.
TCACACCTGTAATCTCTGCACTTTGGGAGGCTGAGGCAGGCGGATCACTTGAGGTCAGGAGATCAAGACCAACCTGGCCAACATGGTGAAACCCCATCTCTACTAAAAATACAAAAGTTAGCCAGGTGTGGTGGCAGGTGCCGGTAATCCCAGCTATGTGGGAGGCTGAGACAGGAGAATTGCTTGAATCCAGGAGGCAGCGTTGGCAGTGACCTGAGATCGCGCCACTGCACTCCAGCCTGGGTGACAGAGCGAGACTTGGTCTCAAAAATAAATTTATAAAATAAAAATATTGTCCTTCATTTCCTTTTATTTTTCTGAATGATGAAAGATAAATTGAGCATATAAATCCAGTACCTAGAGAAAGAGTAGTCATTTATCATTTTTCAAAACAGCTTTATTTAGGTATAATTCCCATGCCAGTCTATAATTAAATGGCTTTTAGTATATTTGCAGAATTGTGCATCACTACAACTTAGGACATATTCATTACTCCAAAAAGAAACCCCACACCGTTTATCTGTCATTAGCTGTCAGCAACTACCACCCCCAACTCCTATCCCCATTTCTCCTTGACTCTGGCAACCCTTAATCTACTTTCTGTCTGCGTAGGTTTGTCTATTCTGGACATTTCATATCAATGGAATCATACAATATATGGTCCTTTGTTCCTGGCTTCTCTCGCTTAACGTAATGTTTTCACGGTCCATCCATGTTGTAGCAGGTATTGGTACTTCCATGTATTGGTATTCCTTTTTGTAGCCCATTAAGTAACTTATCTTACTGCCATTGAAGGTAGTTATTCACTTCCTTTTCTTTCTGTTCAAATAGACAAATATAACAATGAACAAGGCCAGGTGCGATGGCTCACGCCTGTAATCTCTGCACTTTGGGAGGCTGAGGCGGGAGGATCACCTGAGGTCGGGAGTTCGAGACCAGACTGGCCAACATGGCGAAACCCCATGTCTATTAAAAATGCAAAAATTAGCCAGGCATGGTAGCGGTCACCTGTAACCCCAGCTACTCGGGAGGCTGAGGCAGAAGAACTGCTTGAACCCCGGCGGCGGAGGTTGCGGTGAGCCAAGATTGCACCACTGCACTGTAGCTTGGGCAACAGAGCAAGGCTCCGTCTAAAAAAAAACAAAAAACAGTGAACACTGAACACTCACTCATTTGACTCTATAAGAAATCTCATTTGCTTTAGTTAGGGGCAGCAACTCAGACTTTCAACTTGAGATTCTCTATGGAATTTCTTTTATGTAATTCAAGGGAATACATGCAAAGAGAGAAGACAGCTTGATGATATTTTGCTTTCTGAAGAACTAAGGCATGTTTCACCATATAACATCCCTCAGAAGCAAGAGTGGAATGAACATTCGCACACCTTAAAACTCACATGCTGGCCAGGCGTGGAGGGAGGCTCATGCCTATAATCCCAGCACTATGGGAGACCCAGGCGGGCAGATCACTTGAGGCCAGGCCTCATGGCGACCAGCCTGGCCAACATGGCAAAACCCTATCACTACTAAAAATACATAAATTAGCTGGGTGTGGTGGTGGGCGCCTGTAATCCCAGCTATCAGGAGGCTGAGGCAGGAGAATCACTTGAACCCAGGAAGCAGAGGCTGTAGTGAGCCGAGACCACGCCACTGCACTCCAGCCTGGGTGACAGAGCGAGACCCTGTCAAAAAAACAAAAAAAACTCTCACATGCCTACCTGGTAGCACAAGTTCTTTTACATCTTCCTGCAGCATTTCTCTCTGCATTATATGCACGAACCAAGCACCACAGATGTTTTACGTGCACCAAGGAAGGGTGTGGAAGAGGATCTGCACTTTCCTAACACTTATCAAACGTAGAGCTTCTCTGAAAGGTCTGAAGTAAGCAGAGTAATAAACACAAACAACACGTTACTCTTTGTGGCAAGAGACACAAAGCCACTGAGTTGGCTGGTTGCAGTGGAACAATAGACCAGTAAAGGACTGTTATTCACAGAGAAGAATGTTAGCTTTCTCTTGGTGCTAGTACTGAGACTGCCCAGCAGGTCAGTTAGCTTGTCCCAGAGAAAAAGTCCATTTCACTGTCACTTCAGAGCCCCTATACCCATCTGACATTCTCAGAATGAATGTCCTTGATTATAATAGAGACCAGGAGTCTGTGCATTTAGAGTACCTCTACTGCTTTTGGGAAAACAGTCCATGTCTTAGTAATTACAAATGGATGGTGGTGTCTTATATAGGAAGAGCTCTTCATTTAAATAGCACCAAAGTCAGCTAAAATTTCTTAGTTCTCCCTGACAGTCAGCTGAGAGGCCAGAACAGGGCAAAACACACCTCTGCTCAACAACACATGGAAGAAAGGGTTGGCAAGGGCTTTCTGTAATATGTTTCTGGAGATACTAGAATTCAGGACTTCTATCACTAAAATAGGTATGTTTTAGACACACGTTATAAAGATGTAGAGCAGCTGAAATCAGATCAGACAAATGTAAGTGCCCTTCATTATTGGCTTAGCAAAGAACAATAGAACTGAGGAATAAATCATTTTCTATTTGTATAAAAAAAAGGTAAAGCTGTTGCTACTTGCCAGCTTTTCTTTTTGCCTTTTGCTGATAGATGGCACTTTTTTTGCTGGCACTGTTATCAACTTTATTAATAGATTTAAAAGTACTGACAATTTTTCAAGCCACAAAAGGTTTAAAAATCTTTGGAACTTCTTGTCATACTTCTGGTTTTCTGCTTTCCTGAGGCCGTTGTCCCATAGAGTACTGTCAATACAGTGTTGAGAAGTGAATGGGAGTTAAACTAGCTCCCTAATATGCCATCAGTGGCTTCCAGTCCATTTCCTTGAGGGGTCTAATCTTGGGCTTTGGGGAGATTACTTAGAGATTTATACAGGTGAGTAGTGAAATTTGCCCAGGGATTTGAGTTGTACTTTTTAGCCTTACGGATTTTAGCTAACTCCAGAGAAAATGCGAAAGAGAAACGTTGGTTCAAGACAGACAGCCCTCAACGAAGAATTATCTTCATAAGCTTGCTTTCATCCTGTTTCTCAGAGAGTTCCAGGCCAGTGTCAGACCTTCCGTGGCTCTGGACAATATTAATAGTTCATGAATGAGCTACAAAAATTCCTGATGGATGCAATTGTATGAGCCTATAGTCCCGGCTACTTAGGAAGCTGAGGCAGGAGGATTGCTTGAGCCCAGGAGTTCGGGGCCAGTCTGGGCAACATAGCAAGACTCTTTCTTGAAAAAAAAAAAAAAAAATTGTAAAGGTCCATTCCTACATTGTAAGCAGATGACAAATACTAAGGAAACTGCATATCTCTGCCAAAGAATTTTTGTTCCAAATAAGTTGCATTTTAGTGATTATGCAGGCTATTAGATGGAAGGCATAGACTTAATCCAGCCTTCACGTGTTGAAGTTTGGATTAAAGATCAGTGGTGCTTCTGTACACATGTTAACCCTATCCTTGCTGGTCCACTTTTGGTACTGGTCTGTCAGTTCAAGTGTAGTGTTGAATATTTTGTTATGAGAAAAAGTGTTTGGGTAAGTCCATTGTCAAATAATGAGGATTTAGTACATTAAAAATGTAGTAGATTGGGCATAGTGGCTCACACCTGTAATCCCAGCACTTTGAGAGGCCAAAGTGGGATGATTGAGGCCAGGAGTTCGAGACCAGCCTGGGCAAAATAGCAAGATCCCTGTCTGTACAAAGACGTTTTTTAAATTATCTGGGTTTGGTGACATATGTCTATAGTCCCAGCTACTTGGACTTAAATCTAGCACCAAGCAAGGTGGAAAAGACAGTAGTCTGGGCATCAAAAGCACTGAGTACTAACCCCAAGTCTCCTGCTATAAACTTGGGCAGGTTTCTTAACCTTTTGGAGTTTAGTTGACTGATCTATAAAATAAGGAGGTTGGACTAAACATCCCTTCAGCTCTTCTTTTGTGCCCTCATAATATGTGGTTACAGTTTGCCTGTATGTTGATCTGTCCTCCACTAGATTTTTGTTTTGAAGCCGAAAATTAAGCTTTGTATATTTTTATATCCCCATTCTGAGCACAGTGTCTGGTAGAGAGTAAGTTCTCAGTAATCTCTGTTGAATGAATGCAATGAATGAATGACTCTGAATTCCTTTCCAAAGCTAAAATTCTATTCTGTGAAACAGCTGGGTACCTGGGGATGATTTTAAAGATCTCCGGGAAAGATCTTCTACCATCCTTCACAAACAGTTGGTAAGCCCTGTCAGCCTTTCCACTTGGCAAGTTACTCTCCCAGCTCCTTTCCAGTACCTCTTTTAAACAAACAGCAGGATCCCGGGCATTGCTGAGGGTGGTCAGATAGAACAGTGCTCTTGCTACAAAATAAATCGGTTGGACAAATCCAAGTCAATGCTGGTGGACATGGAACAAAGTAAACAAGTTACCATAATATCTCTGTGACAGACTCAACAGGATGAAGTTTATTGTTTAGTTACAATGACATTTTTGTTAAAATTACATTTCTTTTGCTAAAGAGAAGCAGAATAAGTTCTAGAAAATTATCATTATAAACTTTGAACCTAGAAAAGAAAAAGATGACTTGTCATTTTACATTCTGTGTCTCTTTTACTTTTCTGAGTTTCTTAATCAAGGTCTTGGTTGGTGTCTGGTGTTATGATAGGTCTTGGTTTGGCATGGTGGGAAGGGAGTTGATAATTGCTGATTGATGGATAACTGAACAAAATATGCAAGAAAGATAAGCTTGGAAAATAAGTGTCTCTTTCACCAGTATGAGCTGCACTCAGCCACTCTCTCTTATGGCATGGAAGCTGGCTGGTGAGAGCAAAGTCCACACTCCTTGAACAGTATTAGTCTTTACATCAAATTTATGGTAGTAAGGTCAACAAAGTCATGTGATGTTCAGGAGGAGGTGGTTGCAATGTCATTGTGACATTGGAAACATCTTGGTAATAACATTCCAGAATGCCTCAGCGTAACATTTGGGATGTAATCTGGGTGAGCAAGTGCATGGTGCATTTCTTTGAACTTTGACTTGCAACAGGTGGGTGAGGAGTCTCTTGACTCAATGAAGTACTGTTGTCTGGAGAGTGGTCTGTTAAAGCAGACTTTCTGGCAGTACCTTGCCCTATGGCTTAGGATAAAGAACAAAGAAACCAGTGGTTCTGTTGGTCTGGAACTGGATTGGTTTTTTTTTTTTTTTTTTTTTTTTTTGAGATGGAGTCTCACTCTGTCACCCAGGCTGGAGTGCAGTGGCATGATCTTGGCTCACTGCAAGCTCCGCCTCCTGGGTTCACGCCATTCTCCTGCCTCAGCCTCCCAAGTAACTGGGACTACAGGCGCCTGCCACCACGCCCGGCTAATTTTTTGTATTTTTAGTAGAGACGGGGTTTCACCGTGTTAGGCAGGATGGTCTCGATCTCCTGACCTTGTGATCCGCCCGCCTCGGCTTCCCAAAGTGCTGGGATTACAGGCATGAGCCACAGCGCCCGGTTGGATTGGTTCTTGATGAAAACAAATCTCCAAGGGAATTCTGACTTCCCCATTCTACAGTTTTCCAATATACACAGCTGCCAGATGCCTGGAGAGCCAGTGCTGATTTGTCCCCTGCTAGCCATAGTTCTCGGAGGTGCGTGGCTGAAGTAGGCTTTTCTGTGTTCTTTCTCAGAATAGGGTCAGCGCCCCCTGCCCAGAGACTGATTCTCTCCCGCCTCGGCTTCCTGAAAGCCTGGTTCATGTACCTTTGTGGCAGAGAAAGCGGCAAGGTCACAGTAAATCTGCCTTTCTGAAAGCTGTGCTGAAATGACACCAGGATTAGGACACTGAAACCCCTCTCAGGGTGGGAGAGTGAGTGGGAGGGCTCAGAACCCTGAGGGAGCCCACAAACAGGTTCTAGGAAGAAGCTGCTGGTCTCCTGGTTATCATGAGCCCCCTGTGTGTTCTGGCTGCTGCTATCAGTGTGTCATTCACTTTGATTTAGCCTCAAATAAAAGACAGATTATTTTGCTTTAGAGACTATCACATTAGGACATCTTACACCTTGTTAATGACCCAGTGAAAGGAGAGTTGGAAGCCTTCCCCAAAAGCATAATAGCACAGGTGACATTTTACTGATGTTTAATGGTGAGCAAGGCAAAGGGGTATTATGGTTTTTTTCCTTTTCTGGAAACCTCACTGCTGTGCATCAAAAAATCAAGTTTCTCATAGACTTCTCAAAGTAATTCGTCAATAAGATGGCCTCACCCAGGAATACCACTGGAGCTGTAGGCTGAAGGGGAGAGGTGGCGTACATAGCTTGTGGTGCTGCCCAAATTAAATGGGGAACCTTGGGCTGTTGAGAGCTGATGGGAGAATAAAAGTGAATTGTTCCCCTTAAAATCTCCAGTGTAGAAGCGCTCTAAAGAATACTTAGTTCTGCGAATATCTGATTCTCTTCCATGAATTGGTTCTGTAATCCAGGTGACGTTGTTGACTTAATTGAGTGCTCACTGTTCACAGAACTCTATCAATGGGTAGAGAGGTTTGGAGACACAGGAACTTAAATAGCCACAGAAAGATAAAGATTACACGAGGAAAATAATTTTTCTCCTAAAATCCTTAGTTAGAGTCCCCTCAAAGCAGAACATAAGACAAGGATTTTGAGTGCAGGGAGTTTATTTGGGAAGTGATCCCAGGAAGCAGGTGTGAGTGGTGGAAAGAATGAGACAAGGAAGGAGGAAAAGTCAATATAAGAGTACAATTCCAAGGCCACGAGGGCTTGATGCCACCAGAACTTCTGAGAAGCATTCCACCTCCTATAGCTACCTTGTGAGGGTAGGAGGCTGGCCGTTTAACCACCAGCTTTTGTGTTCCTTCAGGCTAGCCCCAATGGCTTGAGCTCCACCACCTGTCCAGGCAGTACTTGTGGCATGCAGGCAGGCTCAGAGGAGACCCTGCAGCCAGAAATGGAAAGTCCTCATGCGTATGCTTTTGGTGGGGTGTTGTCAACAGTGAGTCTGCACTTGCCCAGAACCATCTAGTGCAGCTGCAGCTGAAATAAGAGTTCACAAGCATCTAAAGAAAAGATCAGTGTTCCCATATGAAAAGAACTGGTATGATAGAAATACCACCAGGGACACCTAATCTAGAGGTTAGGGAAGGCTTCCTGGAGGAAGTGGTTTTAAAGCTGAGATAAGGCTTAATATGGTGGCTTGTGCCTATAATCCCAGTACTTCGGGAGGCCAAGGCAGGAGGATTGCTTGAGTCCAAGAGTTTGATACCAGCCTTGGGCAACATAGCAAGACCCTGTCTCTACAAAACATAAAAAAGATAGTTGAACGTGGTGGCACACACCTGTAGTCTCTGCACCTCAGGAGACTGAGGTGGGAGGATCACTTGACCCAGGGAGGTTGAGGCTGTAGTAAGCTGTGGTTTCACTGGTGTACTCTAGCCTGGGTAACAGAGTGAGAACCTGTCTCTAAAAAAGTAAATACATAAAAATTTATTTTAATTATTATGTTTTAAAAAGGGGTCAGTGGGCCTGGGCGCAGTGGCTCACACCTGTAATCCCAGCACTTTGGGGGGCCGAGGTGGGCAGATCACCCGAGGTCAGGAGTTTGAGACCAGCCTGCCCAACATGGCAAAACCCCGTCTCTACTAAAAATACAAAAAATTAGCCAGGTGTGGTGGCAGGCGCCTGTAATCCCAGCTACTTGGGAGGCTGAGACAGGAGAATCGCTTGAACCCGGGAGGCGGAGGTTGCAGTGAGCCGAGATCACGCATCTGCACTCCAGCCTGGGCAACAAGAGAGAAACTCCGTCTCAAAAAATAAAAATAAATAAAAATAAAAAGGGGTCAGTGAAGAGACATTTAAGCAGAAAGACATGCTAAGCTTTGTGTTTTGGAAAATTCAGTCTAATTACAGCATGTCACTAGATACCAGGATAGGGCCACTGAGTGAGGATGGGGAAAAACAGGTCAGGGAGACCAGTAAAGAGGCTGTTCAATTATCCAGGTGATATAAGAATGAGAATTCGGGCAGTAGCAGTAAGGAAGATGAGAAGGAAAAAGATTTGAGACACAGTAAGTTTCCATATCCCCACTCATGCTCCGTTCCTGGTAAAATGGTGAAAAAGAAAGTGTGTGTGTGTGCGTGTGTGTGTGTGTGTGTGTGTGTGATCACGCGCACATATGACATTGTAGGGGTTGAGTTGTCTGGAAAACAGTGCTTAGAAGATATGAATTGAAAGCTCATAAAGAGCTATTTGGAGTTCTCTTAAGCAAACTGGGAAGTAAAGTAACTAATGAGAAAATCTCTCAAGTCACTTCTCATCTGGAGGCGAGATAGCACAGTGCACCACCCTGAGAGTTGGGAGAGATCTTCCTTTGTCCCGGATCTGCATTGTCTATTGTTTTGACCCTTGTTTTATCATTTAACCTCTCTGAACTTTGTTTATTTGTCCAACTTAATACAAGGATGATGAAGCTTGCCCAGCCCATTCTGAGTTGATCTTAAGCTCAGCATGTACTGGGGTGTGACCCAAACAGGGAAGTTGACATCCTCTCTACTAAAGTTAATAGAATGAGAATGTTCAGGGTCATTGTTCAGTCCCAGCAGTCTGGTGTTCAGTGTGGACGTTGGCCTGTTGGCTCACACCAGGCAGAGGGGGTGAGTAGTCGTTCACGCTGCTTTGCGGCAGGGACGTGGGGTTTCAGAATGGGTTAGGGTGATACTAGGTTATTTCAAAGATGATCCCTTCCAACTCTGAGACTGGGTCCTGTGTCACAGGCCTTAGTGAGAGTTAGATGAGATCATGGCTACAAAAGCACTTGGAGAACAAACATTCTAGACAAGTAAAGGTATTATTATCAGTAGACCATGTGACATTAGCTCATAGTTTTTAAATGTTTAACTTTCTTGCATATCCCCGTGAGGCGGAAAATAACTTCCAAGTTCCTACATGCTGGTAGATGATTTCGTTTCATTTCATAAAGAGACCAAACCTTTCCTCATACCATCTTAACTGCATTTTGCTTTTCTTATTTTATTTCATATGTTTAACAATGACTGGAAACATTTGACCTGCCAAGACTTGAATTTGGGCATCTGGGGTTTCTCCCACTGTCCATGATAGCATCACCAGCAAGTGGAGCACAGGCTGTACATTCCCCGTGTGAGCTTTCGGAGTGAGGAATGTTCTCCACCTCCTGGAAAAAACAGGGCCCAACTCACAGGAGTTAAAAGGAAACTGATTTTAGAACCCTCTTACAGTACTGTGACTTTTCACTCATCAGTGTTGGGAACTGGTTCTCTTTCTCTTAAAAGAACCCCCTGGGGCTTTAAGCTTAAACGATGACAGTGACTCAGAGTGGCTCATGCTTATTGCACCTTGACGCTGTGCCAAGTGCTGTTTTAGCCCTTTACGTGTAAGATACACCACAGCCTGTGAGTAAGCATTTGCTTTGTAGATTAGGAAACCAAGGAACATGCAGTAAATAACTGGCCTAGAGTCACACAGTTAAGCTGGAAGTTGGACCTTGGCATGTGACTCCAAAGCCCTGCCTGAAGCGCTGCTCCTCCCCTCCTTGCAAGCAGAGACCTGCCACACAGAGCCCACAGAGGTCTGAAGAAGGCAGGATTTCCTGTTCGTAGCTCAGGAGAGCAGACAGTGGTGTTAAGCAGGAAAAGCACATTAGAATTCCAGTTTACTTACAGTGCTCTCCACACCAGGAAGGAAATGCCCCAAATATGAACATGGCTTCCACTAAGATAAATGGCCCCAATCTAGGGGATTCCCATTTGCATCAGAAAAACTGTTAATATAGAGATCAGAGTTTTTACCTGCTACATCTTTCATATTTTCTTTCCTTAGGTTAAAAAGATCAAGTGGCATGAGCAGCCTTTTGGGGAAAATTGGTGCCAAGAAGCAGAAAATGAGCACCCTTGAGAAGTCCAAACTGGACTGGGAGAGCTTCAAGGAGGAAGAGGGGATTGGTGAAGAACTGGCCATCCATAATCGAGGGAAAGAGGGGTAAGAAGGAGTAGGTTTTATGCCTTGGAAAATCCTCAGAACCCTGAAATCAAATGATTTATTGGAGACAAACTGCCCACTGTAAGCAAGCAGGAGCTTTTCATGATGGAACTAAAAATGTGAGCACTTTGGTTTGTCAGTAAGTCTCTGTTCCAGTGTGGGGCAGGGCCTGTCACTGGGAAGGCCACTGCGGGTGGAGGGAAGGCGGGGCATGTGAGGAGTACTCTCAGGGGCCAGTCACATCTGCCAAGCTGAATTTGCTGAATTACAGCTCCAGTGAACTGTAAGTTGCCTAGTGGTTGGATCTGGCCTGTGGTAGCAGCCTTGGCCTTATCTGAATCATTTGTCCTTCTGAGAAACCAAACTAGTTCAGATCCGTCAAAAACTGAGCCAATGGAATGCCTAGATGTTGCATTATTGTGAATTTTTTTTTGTCTGTGTCATTATGGCCTGGGGTGGGGCTTTACCCTTGGCTATAGCCTGTGTGATAGGCCAGGCCCTCAGACAGCACCCCAGGCCATCACTTGCACCTCTTTCTCTTCGCTGTGGAATACAAAGAGAATGTTCATAACCTACGTATTCAGTTGTAAAAAGGGTCCTTTCCTTGTCATATTTGTCTTACTGGTGATTAAACAAAAAATCAAGAAAGAAATGGTGGCCAGGCATGGTGGTTCACACCTGTAATCTTGGCACTTTCGGAGGCCGAGGCGGGCAGATCACTTGAGGTCAGGATTTCGAGACCAGCCTAGCCAACCTGGCAAAACCCCATCCTACTAAAAATATAAGAATTAGCCAGGCATAGTGGTGCACACTTGTAATCCCAGCTACTTGGGAGGCTGGGGCAGGAGGATCACTTGAACCCACTAGGTGGAGGTTGCAGTGAGCCAAGACTGAACCACTGCACTCCAGCCTGGGTGACAGAGCAAGACTGTGTATCAAGAAAGAAAGAGAGAGAGAGAGAGAAAGGAAAAGAAAAGAAAGAAAAGGTGTTCATAAGTACTTACGGACCTCAGAAGGCACTAAGGAAGTTACCACAGAAGTGGCTTCATGGCTCAAAATCAACAGTCCTCACCCCTAGCCATGAAAGGAAATGTTGAGTGTCCCACCAGAGAGCCCTGGCTGCTCGGCAGCTCTGCTTCTTACCAGTAAGCTCTTCTCCACCAGCATACTGGACACCTCTGAGGCTCAGCTCCTTTACCAATAAAACTGGGATAACGATACCATCCTCACTATGTGGTTGTGATGATCTCATGAGATAATATATGTATTGCTTACGTATATGTAATATACATAAAGCACTTTACAGAACACCTGTCACATAAAGGCTTGCGTTAAGTCGAAGTCATTCAAGTTTTTTTTAAGAGACAGGGTCTCACTATGTTGCCCAGGCTGGTCTCAAACTTTTGGGCTCAAACGATCCTCCTGCCTCGGCCTCCTATGTAGCTAGGACTACAGGGGCACACCCCTGCACCCAGCTCATTCAGTTTATTAATGATAGACAAAGGATTTATTGGGGGGGGTCATATTTCTAAATTAGGCTTCAAGATTATCTAAATGAACCTGGAAGCTGACCAGTATGGTTTTTTTTTCCCTAAACATACATACATACATACATACATACATTTATTTATTTATTTATTTATTTATTTATTTATTTAGAGATGGAGTCTCACCCTGTCACCCAGGCTGGAGTGCAATGGCGTGATCTTGGGTCACTGCAACCTCTGCCTGCCGGGTTCAAGCGATTCTCCTGCCTCAGCCTCCCAAGTAGCTGGGATTACAGGCGCGCGCCTACACGCCCAGCTAATTTTTGTATTTTTAGTAGAGACGGGGTTTCACCATGTTGGGCAGGCTGGAATGCAATGGCGTGATCTTGGGTCACTGCAACCTCTGCCTGCCGGGTTCAAGCGATTCTCCTGCCTCAGCCTCCCAAGTAGCTGGGATTACAGGCGCGCGCCTACACGCCCAGCTAATTTTTGTATTTTTAGTAGAGACGGGATTTCACCATGTTGGGCAGGCTGGTCTCAAACTCCTGACCTCGGGTGATCTGCCCACCCGCCTCGGCCTCCCAAAGTTCTGGGATTACAGGTGTGAGCCACCACGCCCAGCCCTAAAAAAAAACATTTTAAACAGCTTCATGAGCTTGTTTAACTAGCAGACTTCTAGATCAGCCTAAGCTGGAATGCTACAGGACAGGGAGAGGGGGCCAGAGTGATCAGGGGAAGACTCCGGATGAAGTGCAGTGTTGTCTCTTCACGAGTGGTAGCTCTGACATGCGCCCCAAACCTCTCCATTCAGATTCAGCTCCAGTAACTCGCAGCTCTGTCCTGTTCTCCACTCTTGCACAGTGATCTGAGACAGCAGAGGAACTATCAGCGTGTGCTACACATTATTGCTTCTCTGAATATTGATTATATGAGTTGGACAGTGTTCACTCTGCTTGAGTTAATAGAGGTCTTAGAAAAGTAAGGAGTGTTGGGAGCAGTGGCTCACTCCTGCAATCCCAGCACTTTGGGAGGCCAAGGCAGGAGGACTGCTTGAGCTCAGGACCAGCCTGGGCAACATAGCAAGACCTTGCCTCTACTAAAAATCAAAAACATTAGTTGGACGTGGTGCACACCTGTAGTCCCAGTTACTTGGGAGGCTGAAGTGTGAGGATTGCTCACCTCCAGAAGATTGAGGCTGCAGTGAGCTCTGATCGCACCAGTGCATTTCAGCTTGGGTGAAAGAGTGAGACCCTGGCCCAAAAAATAAAAATTTTCAATTAAAAAAAAAGTAAGGAATGGTGCTGTTAAAGATAGGAAGAGTTAACAAAATGTAGACTGGAAGGGAAAACAAGATTAAAAAGAACATCTGCCTAGTGAGAACTTTTCAGGCAGTGGAAAGTCACATAACTGGGTTAGGGAACAACTAACTAATACCATCCTCCTTTATGCTCTGCTTTTCCCTCCTTTGCTTGAGGCTTCTCCCCTCATTCGCCCAGCCAGATTCCACAGATGTGACTGCATGTTTCCAGTGCAGATCTACTGGCTCTGTGCTCTGCCTCAGCCCTTCTCATCTGCCTTCTTAAGTGCCCAGCCCCACATCTCCACTCACTCTCCTTTTCTGGCTCCTGCAGATGGATTAAAGGAGCCCAGCCCCTAGGCCAGTGAAGGGACTGGAGCTCTGTTCTTCACCTTGGCTGAGCATGAGAATCCTCTGGTGACATTTTCCAAAGTTCAGGTGACCACCTCTGTACAGAGCTGCTGAATCAAGAGTCTAGAACAGGTAGGTCACAAATATCTGCATCTTTAAATTTTACTTCTCAGGTGATTCTCATGCACAGCCAAGGTTGAGAATCACTAGACCACAGGTTCAAAATTCTAGAGGCATAAGACAGGTACAGTGACATGCACCCATAGTCCCAGCTACTCACTGCACTCCAGCCTGGACAACAGAGAAAGACCCGGTCTCTTTACCAAAAAAAAAAAAAAAAAAAAAAAAAAAAGACACAACAAAACTCTAATGTTGAGAAAAAAGAAACTTAAAGCAAGGAAATGAAGACACAGACACAGGCTCTGGGCAGGCTGTCACCTGAGTAGGCTGCAGGTTTTTGGGGAAGAATTATACAGGCACCTCCTCGACGCTCCAGCCTTCTACTTCTAACCAAGTCAGAGCCATGCGAGCACTTGTTTTATAATGATTCATTGCCCTTGCCCAGTTCATGCACTCTTCTGTATGTATATTATGTTTTACAATAAACAATTCAAATCTTGGCTCTTCCCATACCATAGGTACTAGCCCCATTTTCTTCATATATAAAGTAGACACATTTTAATATACCTCTCGTGATTATTGTGGGAATTAAATAAGTAGAAGAAAGGCCGGGCATGTTTATCAATAGCAGTCTTCTCCCTTTTCCATGAGTCCTGTGCTCGCTTTTCTTTCTCCCACCTGCCATTACTGACCTCACCATGCCTCAGGCCTTACTGGAAAGCTAGATGCTTTATTCCTTTAAGTTTCTTCCTGATGTGTTCCTGCCCACTCTTCAGGAATATTTTCCACAGCGGTGGGAAGTAGAGCTTGGTGGCATCTCCTCCCAGAATCCCTGGCTGGCTTTTTTTCCTTCCCTGGGCCTTTAAACTTGGGAGGTCCCAGGGCTGGGCCCTGGGCAGTCATCTCTTCCTCCCCAGGAAAGCTCACTAGTTGCAAGTTGCAGCTACCATTCTCTACTGAAGACTCAAAAAAAAAAAGTATCCCCTGCCCTGACCATTCCACTGAGCTCCAGGCTTACATTTCAGCTGTTAGTTGACATCACCTTCTGGTTGTCCAAGACACATCAAACTTAACTTTCAAAACCAAATACTTGCTTTCCCTCCATAAACAGAACCTTCATTCCTCAGAATTCTTAGAAAATGGCACATCACTGTCTACCCTACTGTTAAAAGAAAAACTTGGGGCCAGGCATGGTGGCTCACGCCTGTAATCCCAACACTTTGGGAGGCCGAGGCAGGCAGATAACCTGAGGTCAGGAGTTCGAGACCAGCCTGGCCCACATGGTGAAACCCCATCTCTACTGAAATACAAAAATTAGCCGGGCGTGGTGGTGGGCACCTGTAATCCCAGCTACTTGGGAGGCTGAGGCTAAAGAATTGCTTGAACCCGGGAGGCGGAGGTTGCAATGAGCCAAGATCATGCTGTTGCACTCCAGCCTAGGCAACAAGAGCGAAACTCTGTCTCAAAAAAAGAAAAACTTGGGCTTCATCCTTGATTTCCTGTCTTTCCACCAACATCCCACAAGTCCAATTGATGGTTTCATCACAAAATACTTCAGCTTATTTCTATTCACGCAGCCCCACTACCACCACCCCAGTACAGGCCGCAGACATCTGCTCCGCTCCCTGCTTCTACCTCTGTACCCTTTCATCCATTCTCCACCCAGCAGCGGAAGCAGTAATTTAAAAATACCATTTTTCATCTCTTCCCTGCGGAACACCCCCGGGTAACCCTTCAAATCAGTGTTAACCAGGCCCTCCCCGAGCTGTCCCCTGCCTACCTCTGTCCTCTTCTCCCCCAGCTCGCTGCAGCCCAGCCTCACTGTCTCTGTGTAGTGCTCCTTCCCCAGGAGGCTCTGATTTGTCATCCAGGGCTCTATGCGGATGGCACTCTAGAGTACCCCCACCCAAGGAACCCTCAGTCACACTACCCGGTTTGATTTTCTCCGTGACACTTACTATCATCTGATGCATGTTGTCATGTTTTGTTCATCTATGAACATGTTTTGTTACCTCAGGGTAAGTCCCTGAGGGCAACATCTTGTTCCCTATTCTGTTACCAGCCCAGAGCAGGTGCTGCACCATGGCAGTGTCTAAACACCCATCCCACTAGCTAGCAGATAGTCATGGCTTTTGTTTGGCAGTCTAGTAGGATTCGAATTTTTTTTTTTTTTTGAGATGGAGTCTCGCTCTTTTCCCCAGGCTGGAGTGCAGTGGCGCGATCTCAGCTCACTGCAAACTCCGCCTCCCGGGTTCACGCCATTCTCCTGCCTCAGCCTCCCGAGTAGCTGGGACTACAGGCGCCCGCCACCACACCCGGCTAATTTTTTGTATTTTTTTTTTTTAAGTAGAGATGGGGTTTCACCGTGTTAACCAGGATGGTCTGGATTTCCTGACCACATGATCCACCCACCTCAGCCTCCCAAAGTGCTGGGATTACAGGCGTGAGCCACTGCACCCGGCCAAGTAGGATTAGAATTAATCACCCAGAAAAGAAGAGCATAATACGTCAGAATGATGTTTCCATCCAGGAGTCATTTCAGTCAGCAGAGTTGGTTGAAGTGCCTGTACCGGAGACAGTCATTTGTCCAGCAAAGAATTGCTGCTTTTCCTCTGAGCTCCAGACTCCCAGGGCCCAGTACAGCATTCCAGGATCAGCCCTGCAGTCCTGTAACCCATTACACAGATTTCTTGGTGGTGATCAGCAGCAGCAGCTTGGCATCTAGCAGTGCTAAGGCGGGGGCCAACTGACTTAAGGGGAGGAATCCATGCATAGAGAAGAGAAACACTGGCTAGTCCCAGCTGCTGCTGTCTGATCAATCAATTGAAGGTTACAATTGGAGACCAGGTGTTTTTGTGAGTTGGAGCGGCATGAAGGAGGGACTGAAGAAAATAATTTTCTTTCTCCAAAAAAATATATTTTCATGACTCCTCAGGGTCACTCTTTCAGAACCAGCACAACCTGGAGGTGATAGGGGAAGAAGGCAGTGGAGAAGAAACTTAATTAGAAACTGCCCTTCCAGTCTAACCCTTGAGATGTTTGCAAGTTAAATCCTCCTGAAGGCGGGAGGTGTACTATTGGGCAAACTGCTTCTTTCAACTGCATTTCTCGAGGCAGCAAAGTCTGTATCTCTGTACATCATTCCCAGAGCTTTATTCTAGCCTCGGAGTGCTGCCGTAGCCCATGCTTTGTGGTGTTGGAAAATGCATTTACCCACTTTTTGTCCTGTGTCTGTGCTGCCTTGAATGCTCACTTGGGGAACAGAATGCTGGCTTTGTCTGGGCAGCATGATAGTAATGCAGCTTTGGAGTGTCCTCAGTGACTGCCTCAGGTTTCCCTGCACTTCCATGTGCTCTCCCTCTTCCTGACCAGCGGTGCAGGAGGCATCTCAGGGACTTCAGCCAGGGTGACTACGTCGGGTCAGCACTCCATTGGGCCTTACCACCCTCAAAGGCCCTCTGTCCTCCTGCAGGGTGGGTTCCCAGATACAGGTTGAATATCCCTTATCTGAAATGCTTGGGACTGGAAGTGTTTTAGATTTCAGACCTTTTTCAATTTTGAAATATTTGCTTTTACGTCATCAGCAATCTTGGGGATGGGACCCAAGTTTAAACAAACACAGAATTCATTTGTTTTATATGTACCTTATACACAAAGCCTGGAGGTAATTTTATGCAGTATTTTAAATAATTTTGTGCTTGAAACAAAGTTTGTGTACATTGAACCATCAGAAAGCAAAGATATCAGGTGTGGAATTTTCCACTTGTGTCTTGTCAGTGCTTTAAAAGTTTCTGGTTTTGGAGGACTTCAGATTTCGGATTTTTGGATTTGGGATGCTCGCCTTGTACTGACATGTTCCCTAGTAGCATTTTCTACCCTTCTCTTGTCCTCTGCTTCCATTTCTCCCTCCCTTTTCATTGGCCTAGATCTCAGGGAAATTGGTGGCAGATAAATAATTTGGGTTGGAAGATTCAAAAGATGTCAGAGCCTGTTGTGCCTAACCTGGTTCTAAAAGGAAAAACTAGAAAATCCCTTAGGTTCTTAGCATATTTTATTAAAGAAAGTGAAGAGCCTCTTAAATGGGCCACAGAAGGCAATGGAAGCAGAAAGGGATGATGCATCCCCCACCACTAGGCTTCCCTGTGGACTGGGCTGAGTCATGCTGGGCCCCCAAAAGGGCTGCGCACAGGCCAGAAAAGCACCCGGACACATCAAGAGCAAGAGCCGTGATTCCCATTGCACTTGTCCTCAGGTGGGTCTGTTCTGGGACCGTGACCCATTTAAAGTGCATGAAAATGTCCTGAGTCTCAGTGGCCACCTTTGAGGAGGTGGCCTTTCTAATGAGCCCTTCCTCTTTCAGGGACATTTAGTCTCTTGGTCTCTGTTCCGGTTGCCCTGGGTTTTGAGGTTCTGTAGAGGTAAAGTCAAGTCAGAAGAAATGTGAAGCAAGACCGGGCAGAGTGGCTCACGCCTGTAATCCCAGCACTTCGGGAGGCTGAGGCGGGCAGATTACTTGAGGCCAGGAGTTCAAGACCAGCCTGACCAACATGGCAAAACCCCATCTCTACTAAAAACACACACACACACACACACACACACACAGACACACACACACACACACAAGAAATGGGAAGCAAGAACCCCAAGCCCATGACAACTCCCATAGCTATTTTTTGTTTTATTGTATACAAAGCACTTCTCACAGTTTCATTGGATTGCCAGAGGGTTATTGTAATTGTTATTCTGTTTTACAGAGAAGGAAAAAAAGGCACAGAAAATTAAGTATCTTGCCCAAAGTCACACAAAAACTAAATGTCAGAGCTACTGTCATTCTTAGTACCTTTTCTGTCTCTTGGCAGTGGGAGAGTCCATATCAAGTAGTTTTGTTCATGGTCAGCTCTTGGCAGTAAACCAAGGCCGTCACAGGCATCCTGTTAGCAGCTGCAGATGGCTGTGAATTGGGGAATAGTCACCAGACCTGCCTTGATGGCCTTTGTCTGGGTTGCCCTTGAGAATTCAGTTGCATCCTGCACATGTTCCCCTCACTGCTGCCTGAGGCCTCCCTAAACCTAAACTCTGACTGCACCTGCCTGTTTAGCACCCAACCTGGGCTTCACTCTTGATAGTCTCAAAGTCAGCTGGACCCAACACAGCTTCTGGGAACGTGCAGGACCTTTATTCGTACCCAGTTAGCATCCTCATTTAAGTGTCACTTCTTATTTACAGGAAAGTCAGGGCTGGGCCCGATGGCTCTCACCTGTAATCCTAGCACTTGGGAGGCCAAGGTGAGGATCGCTTGAGCCCAGGAGTTCGAGACCAGCATGGGCAACATGGAGAGACCCTATCTTTACAAAAGATTTAAAATTAGCCAGGTGTGGTGGTGTGTGCCTGTGGTCCCAGCTACCTGAGAGGCTGAAGCAGGAGGATTGTTTGAGCCTGAGAGGTCGAGGCTGCAGTGAACTGTGCACCACTGCACTCCAGCCTGAGCCACAAAGCAAGACCCTGTCTTAAAAAAATAAAGTCAGGAAGAAAGACCCCAAATGCTTAAAGCCACATACTTACTCCTTCCCTCCACCTGATCTCCCAGACAGGTAGCACTGGAAGATGGCTCTTGAAACACACCCTAAATTCCTCTTACACCCCCAGGTGAACAACAGCACAGCAAGATCTCATGCTGAGGCTCACCTCTCTTTTTTCTGCTAGCACTTCCAGGGGACAGTTAAAGTGCAGTGCTGTCAAAATCCTGGTCCCCGTGGTAGTGAGCCTCCCTTGGGCTGGTGGGGCTGGGGTGGAAAGATGACCAGTTGTAGTGAACGTGCCTCTGAGACCATTTTGGTTAGCAGCCCCCACTCAAGAATCACGGGTCTCTTAGTGGGAGGTGGGAAGTAAGTTTGTTGTTAGATGTCTACACTTCCCTACCTGTCTTCCCTTTTTCTCTTTTTATCTAAAGGGGTCCATGCTGTCTGCAGCTTCCCTGACTGCCAGGGACTCTGAAGTTCGAATTCAGCCAGGCAGCCTGTAATTTTATTTGTTAAATCTGACAATCCTGACCCCAAGGGCTTTTATCAAACCTAAGAGCAGGCCCTGTCATTGTGTTTCCAGCCATTCTGGCCTCATTGACGGTTTTGACACAGCAGCTTAGTACCTGAGCCAGACCAGGTGTTTTGGTTCCTCATTGCTGAAACCATAAGTCCAGACTTGGGCCATCTACTGTCCTTGGGAGCCTGTTGGAAGCTGGCTTCCTAAAACCATGATAACATTACCTGTCATTTTATTGAGTACCTGCTCTGTGCCCTGTGTGATGTAGACACTATTTTATTTAATCCACACAACAGTCCTTCAGAGTGGAGATGACTAGCCATTATTTATTATCTTTATTACAGATTAGGAAACAGAACTAGCAAGGTTAAGTGACTTGCAGAGTCACAGACAGCAAATGACAGAACTCAAACCTCCAGCCCTCTGGCCTCAGAGCCTGTACATTTCTGGCCAGCCCTCCAGAAGGGTCAGGGTAGTCAGGCCTAGCTGGAAATGAGGTAGGATGGATGGTACTTCCTAGGATGCTGTTGGAAGGGAAAGCAAGGCCCTGGACTCAGCAGGGGAACACAGGTTTCTGAACCTGGTAGCATTCTCACTATAAATGTAATGACTTTGTAATGACAGATGCATATTTTCCACAGTGCAACAAAAGAAAAATTAGTGCAGAGATTCAATTTTGTCTCCCATTTTCCATGGCAATTTTTGCTCTCTCCATAGATTAATTAGCAGCAGAGATCTCCTCCGCCCAGGCAAATCGCAGCACGCTTTATGGTGAGGAGGTGCATTAAGATGCAGCTGTGTCTCATTAAGCAGCCAGCCTCACTCCTAGCAAGCGCGCCTGTGCTTCAGCCCTTGCTGCTTTCCCGTCCTGCCTGGAGGACAGAGGGAAAGTTTGCTGAACCCAACCAGATTAGGGAGCAGAGTGTCCACCTTTCAAGGGGATCCTTGAAAGGAGAGATCAGAGGCCCTTAAACTCATTCTCTTAGAGGCATTTAGGGAAAGAGTTCTCCTGTCATCTTAGCAGAAGCAACCTAGACGCAAACAGGGTGGAGGATACTGCGGAGAGGAGAAAAGGATGAGGGGAAGAAAAGAGCTCAAAGCAGTTAAATCACTTCTAAAGTGTGCACTTTATGAACCTCAGCTCACTTCACCTTCACTGCAGTCCTGTGAGGTCATTTTTACTGTCTTCTTTCCTTCATTACCACATGCCCCCTTTTCATGTTTTGATGTATGTATGCAGGAGGCCTAGCTTTCTCTTACCCACCAATTCAACACACCACTAAAGCCAAGAAAAACAGCATCACCATGCTGCTGTAGAGAAAAGTGAGGCTCAAAGATGTTCATTCCTTTGCCCAGCTAATCAGTGAGCTAGAGCTAGGACTTGAACCCATGCTTGTGTAAACCGGTATTCTTTCTTCTGCCCTTAAAGTCTTGTTAGAAAATTGCAACATCTTCCTGCCACCCAGCCTCTAATATACTTTCTCATTGATAAGCTGTTGCCTTCCTTTTATTTTCACCATCCTTGTTTAGACCAAATGTGAGTGGTTTGGATTGTACTGGAAGAGTCATGGGTGGTCACTCTCGGCACCATTTACTGTAACTTAGTTTATCCCTGGGGGATGGGACTGTGCAGGGGAGGAGTTTTTCCTACTGGATTCTACTGACAAACACTGTTTTCATCTTCTAGGTACATTGAACGGAAAGCCTTCCTTGACCGAGTGGATCACAGGCAGTTTGAAATTGAGCGAGATCTCAGGCTGAGCAAAATGAAACCTTGATGTTACGGGCTAAATCAAGAGCAGCTTAATCCTGTTTACAATGTGAGCTTTTTGTGCGTCTGTGAAATGTTTTACAGTGTTTCTCATCATCTGTTTCCCAGCAAGGTCTTTTTTTTTTCTACATTGAAGTTCTGTCTATGTATCTTAATCACAAATGGTTTCATTCACTTTACTTTTAAAAATTTGTCCTTAAATGAATAAATAAAATAAAAGTTGGTCCTGTGAGAGGATAATGAAGATGACGACCTCGCTCACCTTCCCTTTATTCTGCCGCAAAGTCCCACCCAGTTCAAGACAGCACATTCCAGGTCTGTCCAGGCTGGCAGAGGTCTTGCCAGGCATGGTGAAGATAGCTGACCAACCTGGGTGTGAATTTTCCGGGGCCAAGAGGCTCTTTCTGCAGCCAGCCTTGCCCCGAAGACCTAGAGGAGGCGGCTCACTAGAGTGACTGGAATGCCAGGCCCCTTCGCAGCTTGTTCTCATTTCCACTCGGGCTTCTCTTCTGATCTCTCTTTCTCCTGAATGGATTCCTACTGATGGCATGTAAGGCTGAAAATAAGGATATATTATTGCTGAATTAGCTGTTTTTTCCCTTCAGCCTTTTTCCTCTTCCCAAAGAAAAGTTAAATTCAGATATGCTCCCACTTCAATAATTCATTAATTTTTAGTTTGTCAAAGAATATTCTGAAGGATTTTCTTTTTTATACTCATAAGAAAATGTAAATTTCAAACTTCCTGCTTAGAGTCAGACATTCTTTGCAGAACAGCAGGGAGGAGAGTAAGAGAGTAACATCTTCAGTGAAGAGGGAAAGAGGGATAGAGACCATTCATATTAATAAGCGGGAAACCCCACAACCTGCTTCTGGTGTGTGTGCCTGCATGTGCATGTGTGTTACCCGAGTACCATGACAGGTTTGGGTGATGACAGGTTACCTAAGACTGCATTCCATTTCTTGCTGTACCAGCTTTGTGGCCCTGACCACAGGTCATTTTTCTGTGCCTCCATTTTCTGGTCTGCAAATGGCATGAATAACACTAGTACCTCCAAGGGGTGGAGTAAGCTAATGACACACCCGTCGGGTGTGAGTACTAGTTTATGGCAGGTCTCCCAATCTAGGCCTCTAATGTGGTGGGAATTCATAGCAACAAAGACCCAACTGTCAACACTAGATGGTTATGGGCTATGGATCTTATTACTCAGAAAGGTAGTTTACAAGCTAAATTTGAACACAATGTCTATTCACATCCCCTCTGATAAATAATTCTAAGTGATTGTAGAGCATTTCAGGCCAGCGTCACAACAGGCGGCCTGCGAGGTCTTAGTTATGGTCCCAAATGGGACATAATAACTGAGGAAGGTGGGCCAGGTGGCTCATGCCTGTAATCCCAGCACTTTGGGAGGCCGAGGCAGGTGGATTGCTTGAGCTCAGGAGTTCACGATCAGCCTGGGCAACATGATGAAACCCTGTCTTCACCAAAAATACAAAAAGAAATTAGCCAGGCATGGTGGTGCATGCCTGTAGTCCCAGCTACTCAGGAGACTAAGGTGGGAGGATCACTTAAGCCCTGGAAGTTGAGGCTGCACTTAGCCAAGATCGTGCCATTTCACTCCGGCCTGGGCAAAAGGAGTGAGACCCTGTCTGAAAAACAAAAAAAGAATAACCTAAGAGCTGCCAATATTTTGATTAGAGGACATCCAGACCTTCAGGAGGTAGCAGCCAAGATTTGATGTGAATGTCCTCCCACATGGTACTCTCTGGCTCATCATCCGTCATTCACCACCATTTGGCAACTGTTTCCCTAACTCTTCTCTGGAGTTCTGAGTCCCTCTTCCATTGCGCTTCACAAAGTTCTTCATCTCAGCAGCCAGTGTCTCAGCAACACGTGAGCTGGCTCTCTCCCTATTTGAAAAATGATCTGAAATCCAATAGAATGAATGGTGCTGAGTTCATAGTAAGTTAGGGTTTTTCTTTTTAGCAAATGTTAACACCTGTGAAGCCTAAGGGATTAAGACAAAAGCTGCAAAGCCTGCTGGGTTCTTCTCACAGGTGGGTTTGCTATTCCTGTTTTGCTCCAAGCCATGAAAGGAGAAGTCAGATGTGTCAGTGAAAGTCGTAACTGTGTGCTTGGGCCCTGCCTTTCTTGTTCAGGATCCAGCCCCCCGCCACAGGTTTTCTCCATCTGTACCTGTGTTAAGTTAATGTCATGATTCTGGAGAAAGGTCGGTTCCTTTCTGCTGTCTGTTGATTGGTGCCCCTTTTCCCAGCAGGGTTGCTGCCCACATCTGACCTCCACACAATCACCCATTACCTCTCCATGAGTCTTTTAGAAAGCCCCTCTAGTCTAGTCTTTTTTGACAGATTC
Organism: Homo sapiens; assembly: GCF_000001405.40. NCBI lineage: Eukaryota > Metazoa > Chordata > Mammalia > Primates > Hominidae > Homo > Homo sapiens. The sequence continues at coordinate 75,291,587 of NC_000016.10, read as the reverse complement.
TGGCTGCCTGTCAGGGAATACATGGCTATTTGCATCGATCCTATTACAGGTGCCCTGTTTCCCAATTTGTAGATCCGTGCTTCGGAGTCTCACACTTTCCCACTTTAAACTGTGCTGGTTGCCTTGACTTTAGCTGTCACTCTCTTGGTCTACATGGAACCTCTTTAAAAGCCTCCTGTACTGACCTCACTTCATCTCACTGATAAACCACTTACTCTGACTGATACATGTGCATCTGTATGTATGTATTATGTATACCTGTGTCATCTTACAATGAGGGTTCATATCAGACTTTCATTTATGTCTCACTGGCCATAGCTGGGTCATTGAACTGCCTCTAGCTGTAGGGAAGGCTGGAAAAGTGAGTGTCATGGAAAACAGGCAAGGCAGGGTGGGGAGGTGAGCCCTGGGGGACTGCCCACACTCTCCTAGAACAGCCTGAGCACATCAAAGTCCTTCCTTAGAGCCTCTGACAATTTTTTTTTTTTTTTGAGATGGAGTCTCACTTTGTTGCCCTGGCTGGAGTGCAGTGGTGCAACCTTGGCTCACTGCAGCCTCCACCTCTTGGATTCAAGTGATTTTCCTGCCTCAGCCTCCCAAGTTGCTGGGATTACAGGCGTGTAATCCTGGCTGGATTACACAACCACGTCTGGCTAATTTTTGTATTTTTAGTAGAGATGGGGTTTCACCATGTTGGTCAGGCTAGTCTCAAACTCCTGACCTCAGGTGAACCACCCACCTTGGCCTTCCAAAGTGTTGGGATTACAATGGCCATGAGTGTGGTAGAGGGGACCCTGGTACAGGAAGGAGGTCCTCTCTACCTCCTAAGATCCTGTGCCTGTTTTTCTTTTCTTTCTTTCTTCTTTTTTTTTTTTTTTTGAGACAGGGTCTTGCTCTGTTGCCCAATTAGTGCAGTGGCATGATCATGGTTCACTGTAGCCTCAACCTCTTGGGCTCAAGAGATCCTTTCATCTCAGCCTCCCAAGCAGCTAGGACCACAGGTATACACCACTGCACCCAGCTAACTTTGTAATTTTTTGTAGAGATGGGCATTCACTGTGTTGCCCAGGCTGGTCTTAACTATGCCTGTTTTAACAACTTGGAAACCAAGCTTTGCAGATTCTGACACCTCATCTTCCCAGACTCTGAAGGGCCTCCTCTGGCCCTTTGTTTTTACTCCTTACTGTTGTGGATCAAGTTCAAGGGACAGGAGAACTGGCCAGCAAGAGAGGGTCCTTAGGCATTAGCAGTGGGTATCTACAAATGGGTGGCTGTTTCTTGTAGGTGTAAGCCAGGCCCCAGGAGGCAGGAGTCTTCTCAAGCCCTGCCTGACCATCCCCATGGGCTGGGTGCTGTGGCTGCAGAATGGAGCAGGCCTTTGGCACCAGCCAGTGACCCAGGCAGAGGACCAAGCAGGTGGGTGTCCATGGGGGTGCCTAAGACGGGGATGGACCACTCTTGGGTATTCCTCTCGGTCATCTGTGCTGCCTGAGCCCATCTGTGCCCTCAGTGGGACCTACCTTCTCAGCCAGCATTGCTACCTGTCCCATCCTCTTCCTACCTCATGCTCAGAGGACTGAGCCTCCTCAGCAAATGCCTAGCCTTTCTCAGTGGACCCACCGAGACCAGGCTGGTGGGTGGGACTAATTAAAGTGTGTTTGCCCTCAATCAAGAATCACCTTTTCGGCCAGGCACAGTGGCTCACGCCTGTAATCCCAGTACTTTGAGAGGCTGAGGCAGGCAGATCGCTTGAGGCCAGGAGTTTGAGACCAGCCTGGGCAACATACAGCGAGACCCTATCTCTGCAAAAAATTTAAAAATTAGCTGGACATAGTGGTGCATGGCTGTGATCCCAGCTACTTGGGAGACTGAGGTGGGAGGATCACTTGAGCCCAGGGAGTCAAGGTTGCAGTAAGCTGTGATTGCACCCTTGCTCTCCAGCCTGGGCGACAGAGCAAGACCCTGTCTCAAAAACAAACAAACAAAAAAATCACCTTTTTTAAAATTACAAGTCTGATTTGAACCATGACAGACACTATCCTGCCCACAATTTTTAAGAACAAGTGACTAATATTTTATCTAGCTCTCACATCCACATTTAGTGAAAACTCATCTAACTCCCAAAGGAAGTGATGTCCCTTTATCCAGGAGTTGGAAATTGTCAAGGAAACTGTTTGCAGGAAGTGGGAAGTGGAAAGAGTGAGTCAGTGCTAAGAGGTGTTTGGCAGCCTTCTGCAGGGCATAGTGCTTGTCCCCTGCTGTGGTGTGAATGGCTGACAAGGACAGTCCAAGGACACCTTCTTAGCTGGTCCTGTGGAGTCCAGAGACTCCCCTGGAGTTGACTTTCCTGGCCTTGCTCTTGTCCTCTCCAAGTCCCAAATGGGTGTGTCAGATTTCCAGGGCATCTGGTACCTTCTCATTACTGAAAAAAACTGCCCTAAAACAGGATAATGTCAAAAGTAAAATAAGCCTCTTGATGTGCTCTGCTCACCTATTTCCTGAGGAATGCAGTGCTCTAATTAGGAAGTCTGCATAAGGTCTCTAGGGGCAAAACGGGACACATTAAGAAGGAAATCCTGAGTGAGCTGTACACTGTCAGCATCCATATGGAGGTACTGGACTAAGGCCTGACAGACACTTAGCTGGCACCTGACTTCAGAACTGGGCAGTGCAGGTTAGCTGAGTGGCTGGCACCGCGAAGGCCAGGAGACGTCCTGGGCAGGAGTGGAGTGATGGTGCTTCTGGCACCCTGGCAGGGACCAGGAAGGCCGGTGACAGGCTCTCCAGGTGCCATGCTGCCTCGTGGCAGCAGAACAGAGGCGATGTGGTTGGTGTGGTGAGATGGGAGTATGTGGTGTGGCGTAGTTAACATGGTGTGGTGTGATGTGGTCTGCGGTCTGACACGGGGTGGTAGAAAGGGCTAGAACAGGCTCTCAAGATCAGTCTTCTGCTTTTTGGTATCAGTCCTTAGCCAGATCTGGAATTGCTCAGGCATGTTGGGTGAGACTTAGGACTTTTTTAATTACCAAAAAGTACAGGTGAACAAACAGGAATTGGGCTGAGAATGGTGGGTTCCTGGGAAGGATCAGAAGCTTTTAGCTTCATCAGCGAACGATCGGTTGGTCCTGCATGCCAGATGCTTCCTGACATGCTATCTTGTTAGATCCTCTGCCCTTTCAGAGGAGGAAACTTGCCTGAGGTCATCTGGTAACACAGCCAGGGCCGCACCCACATGGCATGGCTGGAGGGCAGGATGTAGGAGGCAGCAAGATTGAACAGCCTCTCATCACCCCCTGGATCCCAGCGCCATGTTGGGAAGGAAAGACCCGAGGGCAAGGAGACAGAAAAACCAAAGGTTGAGAAGGTTCTTGCAGATGAAGAGCTGCCTTCTGGTACCGAATTTTTGTGTCAAGAGTTCACTGAGATGTGGGCACCCTGGCCTCAGCTCTGGTACCGCCCAGTCTAGGGCAGCTTCTGACCCACTCTTTGCAGGGGAGAGGGGGTACTGCTGAGAAGTCCTTACCTAGGACTTAAGCCCTGCTTCAGACAGGCCTGGTGGCCGGGTGTCACCCATGTCTAAGCTCTGCTCCATGGTCACGTTTCTGTGCTGAGCATTTCTGAGTGGAGGGTGTTGCCCTCTTTGAGACACTGCCTGGGGTTAGGGAGTGAAGGGAGGAGGTGCCCAGATGACTGCAGCCACTTGGTGTGTGGGAGGTTCAGCAACTCAGGGACATTGAGTGCCACTCCCCTGCCCCGCCTTCTCTGGGCTGGAGATTCCCATCTTGGCCTCTTCTGCTTCTTCTTTTTTTGAGACAGGGTCTCGCTCTGTCGCCCAGGCTGGAATACAGTGGGGTGATCTCAGCTCACTGCAGCCTCAGCCTCCCTGGGCTTAAGCAGTCCCCCCACCTCAGCCTCTTGAGTGCTGGGACTACAGGCATGCACCACCACGCCTGGCTAAGTTTTATATTTTTGGTAGAGACGGGGCTTCACCATGTTGCTCAGGCTGGTCTCCAACTCCTGAGCTCAAGCAGTCGTTGTGAGCCAGCCTGCTAAGTCTTTTTTACTATTGCTTTTATTTATGCCCTCCTAGAGCAACTTAAGTCCAAAAATACTACCAGATGCAATCTTTGTGCACAGGCAAGTTGACTCCAGCAAGGAAACTGGGATGGAGAAGTCCAGCAGGGTCGCACGACAGAGCCCCTCCTTGGGGCCTCTCTCCCTCCTATGCAGCCAGCTTTTGTTGTTTGTGGTCTCAGAAAGCTGGTGAGTAGGCTGAGTCTGTGTTCATATAAGGTGCAAGGTGGCTGTGCTAGGGAGGAGGAGGGAGAGAAACTAACATAAGGAGAGCGCTGTCGGGTCAGACACATGGCTTGACATCCTCCTTCTAACCCCTCCTATCTCTGGGATCCGGCTAAATCCCTCAACCCCTGCGTCTCGGATTCCTCACCTTTGAAAGGTTGCTCAGGATGGTGAATAATCCTGCTCTGCCTACCTCACAACACTTTATTAAGTGAAATACACCATCCGTGTTGCTACAATTAAATTGTGCCCCTGGCTTCCCCTTCCCCAAGAGAGCCAAACTTACGGGAGTATAAATTAGTGCCACTTTACAGAGCACTTTGGCAATGTCTAATAAATCTGGAGCTATACCTGGCCCCGGATGCAGCAGCTGTACTCCCGAGATACATCTTGGAGAAGCACCAGCACGTGCACAAAGAGACAGGAGTACAGGTTAAGTACCCCTCATCTGGTGCTCACTTTGGCAGCACATATACTAAAAAAAAAAAAAAAAAAAAAAATAGAATGATGCAGAGAAGATTAGCATGGCCTCTGCACAAGGATGTGATGTGGTTTGGCTGCATCCCCAATCAAATCTCATCTTGAATTGTACTCCCTTAATTCCCACGTGTATGGGAGGGACCTGGTGGGAGATATTTGAATCATGGTGGCGGTTTCCCCCATACTGTTCTCATGGTAGTGAATAAGTCTCACGAGATCTGGTGGATTTATCAGGGGTTTCCGCTTTTGCATCTTCCTCATTTTCTCTTGGCTCCACCATGTAAGAAGTGCCTTTTGCCTACTGCCATGATTCTCAGGGCTCCCCAGCCATGTGGAACTGTTAAGTCCAGTTAAACCCTTTTTTCTTCCCAGTCTCGGGTGTGTCTTTATCAGCAGCGTGAAAATGGACTAATAAAGGATGACATGCAAATTCGTGAAGCATTCTATTTAAAAAAAGAAAAGAAAAAGTATCCCTTATCTGAAATGCTTTGGACAAGAAGTGTTTCAGATTTCAGATTTCTTTGGATTTTGGAATATTTGCATTAGACTGATCCAGCATCCCAAATCCAAAAATCTGAAATCCAACATGCTCCAATTAGCATTTCCTTTTAGCATCAGGTCGGCACTCAAAAAGTTTCATATTTTGGAGCATTTTGGATTTGAAAGCTTAACCCGTATTGGTAATTATTAAAAACTTGGAAACCACTGTAGAGGAGGAAAAATTTATCTTCTACTCTCTTTATTTTTTTATTTTTTTACATGTACATGGGAGTCCTCACAAGAAACATGAAGACCCAAAGAAACAAGAGTTGAAAGCTTATATACTGAGTTGGGCAAAGAGTAGTAAGTGTGACAAGGTGAAAGGGCCTGAGCTAGGGGAGTTACATTGGTTGGAAAAGTGGAAAGATGCGGGTTTGTTAACAAGGTTCACACAGATTTCTCTCAGAATTAACTTCCCCTCCTTGGTGATAAGAGTGTCTCTTTCCTTCTAGTATAAGAAGGGTATATTGGGCCAGGAGCTGTGGCTCACACCTTTAATCCCAGCACTTTGGGAGGCCAAGGCAGGCGGATCACAAGGTCAGGAGATCGAGACCATCCTGGCTAACAGGGTGAAACCCTGTCTCTACTAAAAATACAAAAAAATTAGCCGGGCATGGTAGCAGTCGCCTGTAGTCCCAGCCACTCGGGGGACTGAGGCAGGAGAATGGTGTGAACCCGGGAGGCGGAGCTTGCAGTGAGCTGAGATTGCGCCACTGCACTCCAGCCTGGGCAACAGAGCGAGACTCCATCTCAAAAAAAAAAAAAAAGGATACATTGGCTAGGCATGGTGGCACATGCCTATAATCCCAGCACTTTGGGAGGCTGAGGCAGGCAGATCACCTGAGGTCAGGCGTTTGAGACCAGCCTGGCTAACATCATGAAGCCCCCATATTTACCAAATATACAAAAATTAGCTGGGCGTGGTGGCACACGCCTGTAATCCCAGCTACTTGGGAGGCTGAGGCAGGAGAATCACTTGAACCCAGGAGGCAGAGGTTGCAGTGAGTTGAGATTGTGCCACTGCACTCCAGCCTGGGTGATAGAGCAAGACTCCATATCAAAAAAAATCAAGGATACATTTCACATGACAATTTCATCTGTTTTTAAAGAAAAAGGACAGAGTGTCCTTCTTACACCTGTTTTTCAGGTGCCTTTTTTTAGAGACAGGTTCTTACTCTGTCTCCTAGGCTTGAGTGCAGTGGTGCAATCATAGGTCACTGCAGCCTCAACTTCCTATGCTCAACTGATCTTCACATTCAGCCTCCTGAGCACATATCACCAAGCCCAGATAATTTTTTTGTTCTTTTTAATGACAGGGTCTCACCATGTTGGCCAGGCTCGTCTCAAACTCAAGCAATTCTCCCACCTCGGCCCCCCAAAGTGCTGGGACTACAGGCATGAGCCACCTCACCAGGCCACAGGTGCCTTTAACTCAAAATAGTCAATAGGCCAGAGTGGCATATTTTGAGTGGCATGTTCTGAACACCTTCACAGCCCAGTGATCGCCAGGAGAATGCGTCAATTGTAAAGTAGTCACACAATGGTATACGATTTGGCAGTGAAATGCACAAGCTGGCAGCTATGCGCATCAACATAGATGAACCTTGTAAGCAGCATTGATGCAAAAATCAAATTGCAAAAGACCTGCCATACAATCCCAGGTGTACAGATTTTAAAACATGTAAATATAGAGGTATTGGTTGCCCACCCTTGTGATGTATAATTCAGTACACTTTAAAATGGTTTTATGTTCTGTGGTTCAGAACGTGCATATATATATATATATATATATATATATATATATATATATATATATATATATAGTGATAAACCTTAAGCTCAGCATAGAGGAAGCCTCTTGTGGGGTAAGGAAGGCCATATGATAAGAGATCAAAAAAGAGCTTTGGGCCAGGCGCATGGCTCACGCTTGTAATCCCAGCACTTTTGGGAGGCCGAGGCAAGAGGATCCCTTGAGCTCAGGAGTTCAGAACCAGCCTGGGCAACATAGTGAAACTCCGTCTCTACAAAAAATAGAAAAAGAAATGAGCTGGGCATGGTGGTGCACACCTGTAGTCCCAGGTACAAAAGGAGGGTGAAGTGGGAGGATGGCTTGAGCCCAGAAGGTAGAGGTTGCAGTGAGCCAAGATCACACCACTGTACTCCAGCCTGGGCAACAGAGCAAGACCCTGTCCCCCACCCTAAAAAAAGGAGCTCTGGGCCAGGTGTGGTGGCTCATGCCTGTAATTCCAGCACTTTTGGAGGCTGAGGCAGGAGGATCCCTTGAGCTCAGGAGTTTGAGACCAGGCTGGGTAACATAGCGAAACCCCATCTCTACAAAAAAAAAAAAAAAAAAAAAATTAGCTAAGCATGGTGGTGTGTGCGTGTAGTCCCAGCTACTGGGGAGGCTGAGGTGGGAGGATGGCCTGAGTCCAGGAGGCGGAGGTTGCAGTGAGCTGAGATCACACCACTGCCCTCCAGCCTGGGCAACAGAGCCAGACCCTCTGTTAAACAAAAAAGGAGCTTTATTTACAGCTGTGGTTTTATATCTTAAATTGGGAGGTAGCGATACAATTTTTTTTTTCTTTTTGAGATGGAGTTTTGCTCTTGTTGCCCAGGCTGGAGTGCAATGGCACGATAACATCTCACCACAACCTCCGCCTCCCGGGTTCAAGCGATTCTCCTGCCTCAGCCTCCTGAGTAGCTGGGATTACAGGCATGGGCTACCACGGCCGGCTAATTTTTTGTATTTTTAGTAGAGACAGGGTTTCTCCATGTTAGTCAGGCTGATCTCGAACTTCCGACCTCAAGTGATCCGCCCGCCTCGGCCTCCCAAAGTGCTGGGATTACAGGCATTAGCCACCATGCTCGCCCGCGGCACAGGTATTTCTTATATTATTCATTATATCTATTTATCTGAAATCTTTCAAGATAGCTTTGGTTCGATGAGAGATGAGCCTCACCTCAGAGAAACTTGCATCACCTCAGTCAGCCTCCTTTCTGGAGGCCCAAGGGAAGAGCAGCTCAGGATGGATAGGTTGCCATGGTGATGGGCTTGCTGGGCATCAGGGAGCTTTCCAGAGTGATCTCCTCCAAGTGGCGCCTGGAACATTTCCCAGGAGATGAGTGACTCACAAGTGGCCTGCCAGGTGCCCCCCTTTCTTTCTCTAAAAAGCAGGTTTTGGGGGGCCGGGGAAGCCAAGGGGACTGGGCCAGGCCATGTGCCCCTCTTCAAGCAGCTGCACAGTGGGATTGCCCCTGCCAGCTGACGATGCGAAACTGGCCGAGTCAGCCTCCTCCCAAAACATGGCTGTGACAGATGCTCAGAGGCAGGATGAACAGGCCATATGTTAGAAGGATGCTGCACAGGCCTCGACTTGTTAGATGCAAACTAAATGGTTCCTGACCTGGATAAATGAGCTTGAAATGTAAAGACACCAAAACGAATTACACTCAATGTCTGGATTTTCTGGCAGAAGTTATGGGGCTGCCTGTCTTCAAACTGCCCGGTGTCCTGAGTTGTCCCTGGGCCCTTAGGCCCAGGCTGTGCCTTGAACCTCCTGTGAGTGCCTTCTCTCAGTGGGAGGTGTGGCCAGATCTCCTGAGGATGTGCAGGAGTCTTACTGGGCAGAGCCCTCCTCTCCCAGGTCCGCTGAGCAGCCCCATTCATCTCTGAGAATGATTTCATGCCTTCTTCCACTGAACACATTTGCATGATAACCTGGGCCTGCCAGAGTTCGAGGCACCCCAACTGACAAATGGAACACATTTTTTAAGCTCATTGGGTGCCGAGGGGCACTGTCTGCAGCAGGCTGAACCCTCTCTGTATCAGACACCCTGTCAGGTTGTCTCTAGCAGGCTCACAATTTTGTTACCACTCTGCCATTGAGTTCCATTATTGGATCCTTGAATTTGAGGTTCAGGGTCCTGAGTCATGAGAAGGAAAAGCTGCCCATCTCCCAGTCACCATTCGCCCCACATCCCAGCCCTCCTGTACCAACAGGGTCCGATGTGTGCCCTTGAGCCGCCTATAGACAACTGAGCTAGAGACAACCAGAATAAGCATTATCATTATAAAGGCTTATTTTGTCTTTGTGATGCAGTAGTATTTTCCAAAAAAAATTGCAAATATCCCATGTGTTATAATAAAAAAATATGACTCACCCCTGTAATCCCAGCACTTTGGGAGCCTGAGGCAGGAGGATCATTCTAGCCCAGGAGTTCAAGACCAGCCTGGGCAACATACCAAGATCCCATCTCTAAAAAATCAAAAAATTGGCCGGGCGTAGTGTCGCGTGCCTGTGGTTCCAGCTACTCGGGCAGCTGAGGCAGGGGAATCGGCTGGCAGGTCAAGGCTGGAGTGAGCTGGGATCATGCCATTGCACTCCAGCCTGGGTGTGCAAAAGCAAGATCCTGTCTCAGTTAATTAACTATTAATTAATTATTTGGCTTTGTGTTTCTGGCACAGAGCTCCTAAAACCCTTGGAATTTACTGTCTTGTGTGCTAATGAGGGACCATGGCTTATCATAGGGGAGCCCTCGATAGCTTCAGGATGGGGACTGGGTGCCAGAAAACCAACCACATGATTTCAGCCCTCCCCTCCCAGCCTCCAGGGTGGGGAGAGGGGCCAGAGATGGAGCTCAATCACCACAGACTAGTGATTTAATCTATCATACCTATGTAATGAAACCTCACAAAAACCCCGAACCCCCTTGCACCCCCAAGTCCATGGGGACAGAGGCTACTGCACTCAGGACCCTTCCAGACCTCACCTATATACTTCATCTGGCTGTTCATTCTCATCCTGTATAATAAACTGCAATGGTGAGTACGGCACTTTCCTGAGTCTGTGAGTTATTCTAGTAAATTATCAAACTTGATAGGAGTGTGGGCACAGTGGCCCATGTCTGTAATCCCAGCACTTTGGGAGGCCAACGCAGGAGGATCAGCTTGAGTCCAGGCGTTCAAGACCAGTCTGGGCAATATAGTGAGACCCTGTCTCTACAAAAAAACTTAAAAATTAGCTAAGCATGGTAGCTGTCTGGTCCCAGCTACTTAGGAGGCTGAGGTGGGAGGATTGCTTGAGCCCAGGAGGTGGAGGTTGCAGTGAGCCAAGATTGTACCACTGCACTCTAGCCTGGGCAATAGAGCAAGACCCTGTCTCAAACAAAACAAAAAACCCAATAGGAAGAAGGGTTCATGGGAACCTCCAAATTTATAGTCAGCTGGGCAGAAGTATGAGTAGCCTGGACACTCCATTTGTAGCTGGTGTCAGAAGTGTGGGCAGTCTTGTGGGACCAAGTCCTTAACCTGTGGGGTGTATGCTAATTCTGGGTAGTGTCAGAATTGAATTGTCGGACATCCAGTTGGTGATGGAGAATTGGTTGGTGGTGGGAAAAAAACCTCACAGCCCACTTTTGTCTAACTCTTCCTTTAAGGCAGACAACTGACACAAGCGAATTGAGAGGCAAGGCAATTAGTGAAAGACACCCACATCAGATGCCCAGATCCTAATCCCGGCGCTGCTGACCAGCTGGTGACCTTGGGCACATGGCTTGGCCCTCTGCCTCCCCTGGCCTGTCTATAAAATGAGGGGGTTGATTAAATTATCCCTGGGGCTTAACACTAGGAATCTCTACTTCTAACAAGCAGCCAGGTGATTCTTCGGCACTCCAAAGCTTGAGAACCAGTGCTTATGACCTCCTTAGCAGTAAAATAATTAAAAGGCCTCCAGCTATATATTTAGGAAAATTACATCTTTCTTTATCCTTGCCACTTCAAATAACTGAAATTCCTAAACTGCTGCACCAGCAAAGCCACAATGAATAAGTCAGCCTAGGTTCCATCCCCGATGTCTGCCGAGACTCACCTGCAGGAACTTCCTCCTACTTTCAAAGAGCTTGGCTGAAGTCTCCTAAAAGTTGTGGGGGTCGGCGCCCGGGCACAGTGGTTCACGCCTGTAATCCCAGCATTTTGGGAGACCAAAGTGGGCTGAGCACTTGAGTCTAGGAGTTTGAGACCAGCCTGAGCAACATAGTGAGACCCTGTCTCTACAAAAAAATACAAAAATTAGGTCGGGTGCAGTGGCTCATGCCTGTAATTCCAGCACTTTGGGAGACCAGTGGATCATCTGAGGTCAGGAGTTCAAGACCAGCCTGGCCAGTATGGTGAAACTCCATCTCTACTAAAAATACAAAAATTAGCCAGGCGTGGTGGTGTGTGCTTGTAGTCCCAGCTGCTCAGAAGGCTGAGGCAGAAGGATGGCTTGAGCCCGGGAGGCAGAAGTTGTAGTGAGCCAAGAGCACACCACTGCACTCCAGCCTGGGTGACAGGAGTGAAATCCTGTCTAAAGAAAAAAAAAAAATTAGCCAGGCATGGTGGCACACACCTGTAGTCCTAGCTGCTTGGGAGGCTGAGGTGGGAAGATCACTTAAGCTAGGAGGTGGAGGTTGCAGCGAGCCAATATTGCCCCACTGCACTCCAACCTGGGCAACACAGCGAGACTCTGTCTCAAATGTTTTTATAAAAAAAAAAAGTTGTTGGTAACTTGGAGAAGCAGCTGAAGTCAGGCCTGAGAAGCAAGTGAGAAATTCAGACAACAAAATCCACCGAAGACCCAACAAATACAGCTGAAGAGACAACACTTTCCTGCCAGGTGGGCAACAGATGGCAGGACCCATGTGCACACACACACTCACACCAGCGAAGCCGAGTTTGCAGTGTGTCAGCTAGGTTGCCCTGCCGCTTGGAGACCCAGCCCCCACGCACCACACTCCTGTCAAAACAAGCCCTGAGCTAGGCGGATTCTCGCGGCTCCCGCTCCTGCCAGCTCAGCCAGGGCAGCCCCGCTGGGCTCTTCCTGCCAACCTGAGTTCTACTGGCTCTCCTCTTCCCTCCTTCTCTCTCCTCCTGATATTCCTCTGCTGTTCTGATGGAGAAGAAATCTATTCATTGAGAATTTGACAGCAGAAAAATGAAAGAAAATTTAAATCTCCTATAACCTTCCTAACAGAGAAAACTACTGTATACACTTTGGAATATTATTTCAGCCATTTTTTATGTGTTTAATGTGTTTTTCATACCTTTTTTTGTTTTTGTTTTTGTTTTTTGAGACAGGGTCTGTCACCTGGGCTGCAGTGCAGTGCTGCAATCATAGCTCACTGCATCCTCGACCTTGGCTCAAGCGACTCTCCTGCCTCACCTTCCTGAGTAGCTGGGACTACAGGTGTGCACCACCACGCCCGGCTAGTTTTTGTATTTTTTTTTTGTAGAAACGGGATTTTGCCATGTTGCCCAGGCTTGTCTTGAACTTCTGGTCTCAAGCGATCTGCCTGCCTTGGCCTCCCAAAGTGCTAGGATTACAGGCATGAGCCACCACGCCCAGCCACCCACACCTTTTCTTAACATACTTGGGATTTAGTGTACCTGTGCAATTCAATACAGAAGTCACTATCACCTGCAGCTCTTTAAATGTTAAATTTGTTAAAATGTAAAATTCAGTTCTTCAGTTGTGCTAGTCCAAGACCTCATGTGTTCATTAGTGGCCTATGGTTATTGTCTATGGAATAAGGGACCAGGCAGGTGCAGAACATTTCCATCATCACAGTCCTATCAGCCTGCCCTGGTGTGTGCAGTTTTAACCAAATGCTACGCGCTGAGCATTTCCCTATTAAATATTCTCAACATTCTTTGAGTACATTATTATTATTATTATTTTGAGGGAGGGTCTTGCTCTGTCGCCCAGGCTGGAGTGCAGTGGCATGATCTTGGCTCACCGCAACCTCTGCCTCCCAGGTTCAAGCGATTCTCCCACCTCAGCCTCCTGAGTAGCTGGGATTACAGGCATTCACCACCACGCCTGGCTAATTTTTGTATTTTTAGTAGAGACGGAGTTTCGCCATGTTGGCCAGGCTGGTCTTGAACTCCTGACCTTAAGTGATCCACCCTCCCAAAGTGCTAGAATTACAGGTGTGAGCCACTGCACCTGGCCGAGCACACGGTTTTTAAGGGCTGCAGAGCATATGCCATTTGTGGTTGTGCCATGGTTTATTTTACCGATCTTCCACCATTGGCCATTCAGGTCACCCACTGTTGTGATTATGAATGATGCTGTGGTGCACTGCTTTAGCCCTTTGATAATTTTCCACATTCCTGATTCTCTTTTTTTTGAGATGAAGTCTTGCTCTGTCGCCCAGGCTGGAGTGCAGTGGCGCGATCTCTGCTCACTGCAAGCTCCGCCTCCCGGGTTCACGCCATTCTCCTGCCTCAGCCTCCCGACTAGCTGGGACTACAGGTGCCCGCCACCACGCCCAGCTAATTTTTTGTATTTTTAGTGGAGACGGGTTTTCACCATGTTAGCCAGGATGGTCTCGATCTCCTGACCTCGTGATCCGCCCGCCTTGGCCTCCCAAAGTGCTGGGATTACAGGCGTGAGCCACCCCGCCCGGCCATCCACATCCCTGATTCTTTCTAGATTATTTCTATGAGTGAGTTTGTTGTGTTGGGCAGGGCACGTATTTTCAAGGCCACAAAATGGAATGCCCAGCTACCTCCCAGAAAGTTCTCTCACTTGGACAGGGCAGGTGTGCCCCTCTCTGCTTATGTGAACCCTCTGAGAGGAGAGGACTCATCGAGGAAGCCCTGCCTGTCTGAGCAGAGAGCCTGGTGCTTTGGGAGAGACCTACCTGAACTAGGAGGAGAATGGCCATCCAAGGAACAGACTGGAACTAGATTGTCCCTGAATTCCAGAACCTTCTGCCATATCAGCCCAGGGCTCTGTCTCTGAAGGCAGCATCTGGACAGGGGAGAGATATGCTGCCCCAGGGACCCAGATTCACTCAAGCCCAGCCTTGTGGTACATTCATCTGTGAGTTGCTGTGAATGTGCTTTCTGAATCCCTCTATCCTCTCACCTCTCAGGGTAAGTGAGTTCTGTTCCATTAAAAAGGGGGGTTTTCCAGGCTGGGTGGCTCACACCTGTAATCCCAACACTTTGGGAGGCTGAGGCAGGAGGATCACAAGGTCAAGAGTTCGAGACCAGCCTGACCAACATGGTGAAACCCCGTCTCTACTAAAAATACAAAAATTCGCCAGGCGTGGTGGCTTGGTGTGCCTGTAATCCCAGCTACTCGAGAGGCTGAAGCAGGAGAATCACTTAAACCAGAGAGGCGGAGGTTGTGGTGAGCCAAGATCGAGCCACTGCACTCCAGCCTGGGCGACAGAGCAAAACTCCGTCTCAAAAAAAAGAAGTGGGGTTTGGCCAGGCACGGTGTGGCTCATGCCTGTAATACCAGCACTCTGAGATGCTGAGGCGGGTGGATCACTTGAGCCCTGGAGTTCAAGACTAGCCTGAGCAACAGGACGAAACCCCGTCTCTACCAAAAACAAAAATTAGCCAGGTGTGGTGACACACACCTGTAATCCCAGCTACTCGGGAGGCTGAGGCACGAGAATCGCTTGAACCTGGGAGGCGAAGGTTGCAGTGACCCGAGATCGTACCACTGCACTCCAGCCTGGGCAACAGAGCGAGACTCTGGTGTGGTGGCTCACGCCTGTAATCCCAGCACTTTGGGAGGCTGAGGTGGGCGGATCACCTGAGGTCAGGAGTTTGAGACCAGCCTGACCAATGTGGAGAAACCCTGTCTCTACTAAAAATACAAAATTAGCCGAGCATGGTGGTGCATGCCTGTAATCCCAGCTACTCAGGAGGCTGAGGCAGGAGAATCGCTTGAACCCGGGAGGCGGAGGTTGTGGTGAGCCAAGATCACACCATTGCACTCCAGCCTGGGCAACAAGAGCGAAACTCAGTCCCCACACCCCGCCCCCCAAGAAAAAAAAAAAAGAAAGAAAGATTCTCCAAGAGAGGTGTTTTAACTTCCCAAAAAAAAGAGAACCTGCTATTAGAATAAATTGAAGTTGCCACCTATGTCTCTGAATTGTATTATAGGCTTTTTGTTTGTTTGAAACAGGGTCTCACTTTGTCACCCAGGCTGGAGTGCAGTGGTGCAATCTTAGCTCACTGTAGCCTCGACCTGTCAGGCTCAAGAGATCCTCCTGCCTCCGCCCCCAAAGTAGCTGGGAATATAGGCACGCACCATGACACCCAGCTAATTTTATCCATTTATTTATTTTATTTTTGAGATGGAGTTTCGCTCTTGTTGCCCAGGCTGGAGTGCAATAGTGCAATCTTGGCTCACCGCGACCTCTGCTTCCCGGGTTCAAGCAATTCTCCTGCATCAACCTACCGAGTAGCTGGGATTACAAGCATTCACCACCACGCCCTGCTAATTTTGTATTTTTTTAGTAGAGACAGGGTTTCTCCATGTTGGTCAGGCTGATCTCAAACTCCCGACCTCAGGTGATCTGCCCGCCTCGGCCTCCCAAAGTGCTAGGATTACAGGCGTGAGCCACCGCGCCCAGCCCTGACACCCAGCTAATTTTTTTGGTATTTTTTTGTAGAGACGGGATTTTATCATGTTGCACAGGCTGGTCTCTAACTCCTGACCTCAAGTGATCCACCTGCTTTGTATTCTAGTTTTACATTTTGAAGAATTTAGGACCTTTTTGTTACTTATGAATACAAAAGACATGTTATTAAATGGATTGCTACTTTTAAAAAATTTCGTACTTTTGACCCAGTAATTCAATGTCCAGGAATTTATTATCAGAAAATACAGTAATCAGATTGCAGAGAAAGATCCGCTTACAAGTATACTCATCTCAGCATTATTTGTACATTATTTGGTCCAAAATGGAAAGAACCGCAACACCCACATGCAGAGAATGGTTAAATCAGGTGTGGGAATCCTGTACAATGAATGATTGATTATTTTACCGCTTTTGAGGCCAGGTGCATTGGCTCAGGCCTATAATCCTAGCACTTTGGGAGGCTAAGGCGGGAGGATTGCTTGAGGCCAGGAACTCGAGGCTGCAGTGAACTACAACTACACCACTGCATTCCAGCCTGAGTGAAAGAGTGAAACCCTGTCTCTAAAAGTAAAAAATAAAAATGAAAGTTATTCATTGAGCCCCTACTATTTGTCAAGATGATTTCAGCCCTCACGGAGTTTATAGTTCACAGGAGCAGATAGACAGCTATTGAATACACAAGTAAATATATAATATCAGGAAGTGGTAAATACCACAAATAAAAATTCCTCCCATTTGTTGGTTTCCATGTACCCAGCCCTGTGCTAAATGTTTTACCTAGATTATCTCATTTAATCTTCACAGCAACCTATGACAAGATAATATTTCCATTATGACCAAAAGTAAATCAGGGAAGGCATCCTGAGAAGGCAACCTTGAGCAGACCTTGAAGGAAGGAAGGAAGGAAGGGGTGCATCAGAGGAGACTCTGGGGGCCCGTATCAAGGGCAGAAGAGCAGTGCAAAGGCCCTGGGGCAGGAAGGCACCAACTTGAAGCCAGCACGGTTCAACCTAGCAAGGCTAAGCCATGAAGAGTGGAGTTTGCAACCCTGGCTGCACATGAGAAGCACCCAGCCAGGGAACTATATTATTATTATTATTTAAAATATTGATGGCTAGCTGTGTGTGGTGGCTTATGCCTGTAATCCCAGCACTTAGGGAGGCTGAGGTGGGAGGATTGCTTGAGCTCAGGAGTTAGAGACCAGCTTGACAACATAGTAGACCCTGTCTCTACAAAAAAATTTTTTTTAATTAGCCGGATTTAGTGGTACACACATGTAGTCCCAGATACTCAGGAGGCTGAGATGGAAGGATCACTTCAGCACAGGAGTTCAAGGCTGCAGTGAGCTATGATCACACCACTGCACTCCAGCCTGGGTGATAGAGCAAGGGCGTATTTAAAAAAAAGAAGAAGAAATTGATGGCTGAATCCTACTTCCAGTCCCACTCAATCAGAACACCTCTGAACGCGTCTAAAATGCCCCAGTGATTTTAGTGTGCAGCCTGGGGCTGAGAAACACACATGTCAGGCCTTGTAGATCTCTGGGTTTTGTTCTGAGTGGACAAAGAAGACATTGGACAGTTTCAGCAGGAAAGGGACATGGCCTAATAATTTTTCTTTTAATTACTTAAAGGTGGCCGGGCAGGGTGGCTCACATCTGTAATCCCAGCACTTTGGGAGGCCGAGGCAGGCAGATCACCTGAGGTCGGGAGTTCGAGACCAGCCTGATCAACATGGAGAAACCCCATCTCTACTAAAAATAAAAATTAGCTGGGCATGGTGGCACATGCCTGTAATCCCTGCTACTCAGGAGGCTGAGGCAGTAGAATTGCTTGAACCTGGAAGGTGGAGGTTGCGGTGAGTCAAGATTGTGCCATTGTACTCTAGCCTGGGCAACAAGAGCAAAACTCCATCTCAAGGAAAAAAAAAGAAGAAGAAATTACTTAAAGGCTCTGCAGAAAAGCAGTTTTAGGGGCCCAGGTGAAGGTGGGAAGGCCAGTTGGAGGTCATTGTCATGATTTGAGGTGGCTTGTACCAGGGTGTAGACATGGAAGTGGGGAGAAGCAGCCAGATTCTTGATGTACTTTGAGGTAGACCCTGGGAGGTGAGTCGCCCCTGACTCATCGTTTAAACTCCTGTTCCAAGGCCACCTCCTTCAGGAAGCCTCTGCCAATCCCTGGCAGGCCAGGAGGAAAGGCCCCACAACTCCGGCTACTCTGTCGGAGTCGGTCGGAGTCGATCTCCGCATATCCGGGCTTTATCCTGACTTTCACAGAGATGTTTCCCAGACGGATCAGGAAGACCTCAGTGAGCATCGCTCCATTGCTTCAGGAGGTCTGTCATCTGGAAAATGTACAGCTCTCTCTGGAATCTTCTGCCAGACATTCCCCTGTCAAACATTGAGCCCAAGGGCCTTGTATAAAGGCCCTGCCCAAGGTTATCCAAGAGACCAGAACTTGGGCCAACCTCCAGCATCCTAACTAGTCTGTCGTCTGTTCAGCTCCATGGAGAAACACAGGCGCATCCTTTCGGAGGAGCGGGGCTGTCTGCTGCCATAGCGGAGCTCCAGAGGCAGAAATGCAGGCTGGTGGTGTGAGGCTGGAGAGACTGAGTCAGACCGCGACCCCCACAGCATCAGCGTTTAACTGAGAGCTTCCTGCATACCAGGTACCGAGACAGCCCCATACACCTTATACCTGAGTCCTTCCAGGGCTGCGGGAAGTGGATGCCGTGTGTCCCAATCAGGGCCATGGCGGTGCACAACTCCAGGGGCACCATTCACAGAGCAAAATAGAGCGGCCACTCCCCGCAATGTGAGGTATTGGCTGCTTTCTCCTTCCTCCCTCCCTCTCTCCCTCCCTCTCTCTCTCTCTTCCTCTCTCCCTCTCTCTTTCTCTCTTTCTTTCTTTCCTTCTTTCTTACCGAGTCTCGCTTTGTCACCCAGGCTGGAGTGCATGGTGCGATCTCGGCTCACTGCAACCTCCGCCTCCTGGGTTCAAGCTATCCTCGTGCCTCAGCCTCCCAAGTAGCTGGGATTACAGGTGCACAGCACCACACCTGGCCAATTTTTGTATTTTTAGTAGAGACGGGGTTTCGCCATGTTGGCCAAGCTGGTCTTGAACTCCTGACCTCAGGTGATCTGCCCATCTCAGCCTCCCAAAGTGTTGGGATTACAGGCACGAGCCCACCACGCCTGGCTTCACTGCTTTATGGATCCTGTTTTACACATGGAGAGGAAACATGCTTAGAGACTATGAAGATCATGCTGAAGCTCACACGGCAGGACCAGAACCCAGGTCAGCCCCACCCCGCCCTGCCCTGCCACTGGAGGTCAATGGCGACAGGAGCCTGGGTTCTTGCCAAACTGCAGACCTCACTCCCCACAGTGAGTTCCTTCCTGTTTTCACAAGGATCGGTCTCACTCTCGGGTAACAGCGAGATTTTCCTAGTGCCCCCCACCCCCCACTCCAACCCTGGGCGGACCCTTGGCCTCAGGCAACATCACAGGGCAGCTGCCGGGGGTGCCTGGCATTCAAGCCTTGCTGAGAACATGAAACTGCTGCTCTGGGGACTCGCACTGGTGACCCCAATGTGGCAGCCGCTCTTTCGGCTCTTCAATAATTTAGAGAATGCATACAATTCAGCGGGCAGTTTCATCTCTGGGTTCAGAAACACAATGCCCTGGGGATTGCTTCCAGCGAAGAGTGAAATTCCACTTGTCACAGTGACAGAGGATGTGAGCCTGTTCCTGGAAGGGGCTCTGGTCTCTGGGTGTTTGCGAACATCCTAGAAGACAGGAGGCCGGCAGCCAGCGTCCTGGGAGCTGGAGGGTCTGCCCCAGCTCAGCTGTCCAAAGATGGGCCTTCATGCAAAATCCCTTTCCCCCTGCCTCTTGCTTGTGGGGAAGAGAGAGGTGACTGCACAGACTGTTGTGTGTGGCTCCACATTTGCATTTGATGCCTAGCTGCACCCCTGACCCTGGCCTCCCCCCATGTCAGCTCCTGGGAAAGACCCTTGCACCAGGCCCCAGAGGGTCCATGGGAACTTTCTAGGACACTTGCAGTTCCTAAAACTTGGCAATTGCATTTTTCCCTTAAAAAAAAAAATTATTCTTTGCCGGCTTGGTGGCTTATAGTCCCAGCACTTTGGAAGGCCGTGGCAGGAGGATTGCTTGAGCCCAGGAGTTTGAGATCAGCCTGGGCAACATAGTGAGACCCTGCCTCTACAAAAAATAAAAAACAAAATTAGCCAGGGGTGTGTGCCTGGGATCCCAGCTACTTGGGAGGCTGAGGTGGGAGGATTGCTTGAGCTCATCGGAGTTGAGGTTGCAGTGTGCTATGACACCACTGCCTTCCAACCTGGGTGACAGAGTGAGACCATGTCTCCAAAAAGAACAAAAAAACAAAAATTGTTCTTTAAAAAAATTACACTTGAAAACATGATGTTAAGTTAAATTAGCCAGACACAAAAAGACAAATAATATATGATTGCACTTATCCAAGGTACAGAGAATAAGCAAATTTATAGAGACAGAAGTAGAATGGGGTTTACCAGGAACTGAGGGGCCTGGAAGCAGAGAGTTATCATTTAATGACTACAGCATTTCTGTTTAAGAGATGAAAATGTCTGGAAATGGACAGTGATGGTTGCACAACATTGTGAATGTACTTAATGCCATGGAATTGTACACTTAAAAATGGTGAAAATGGTAAATTCTGTGTTATGTATATTTTATCACAATTTTAAAAGTATGTTTACTGTAAAAACAAAAAACTGGGCGGGGCGCGGTGGCTCATGCCTGTAATCCCAGCACTTTGGGAGGCCGAGACGGGCGGATCATGAGGTCAGGAGATTGAGGCCATCCTGGCTAACAAGGTGAAACCCCGTCTCTACTAAAAACACAAAAAATTAGCCAGGAGTGGTGGCAGGCGCCTGTAGTCCCAGTTACTCGGGAGGCTGAGACAGGAGAATGGCGTGAACCCGGGAGGCGGAGCTTGCAGTGAGCCGAGATCGCGCCACTGCACTCCAGCCTGGGCGACAGAGCCAGACTCTGTCTCAAAAAAAAAAAAAAAAAAAAAAAAAAAAAAAAAAAAAATTGCACAAGTGCACTGGTGCAGTGGCACATGCCTTTAATCCTAGCACTTTGGGAAGCCTGAGGAGGGAGGATCACTTGAGCTCAGGAGTTTGAGACCAGCCTGGGCAAAATGGTGAAACTCCATCTCTACCAAAAAAAGAAAAAAAAAATACAAAAACTAGCGGAGGGTGGTGATACACGCCTGTAGTTTCAGCTACTTGGGAGGCTGGGGTGGGAGGATCACTTGAGCCCAGGAGGTGGAGGCTGCAGTGAGCTGTGATGGCACCACTGTGCTCCAGCTTGGGAGACAAGAGTTAGACCCTGTCTCAAAAAAATAAAAATAGGCTGGGCGGGGTGACTCATGCCTGTAATCTCAGCACTTTGGAAGGCCGAGGTGGGTGGATCACGAGGTCAGGAGTTCAAGACCAGCCTGGCCAACATGGTGAAACCCCATCTCTACTAAAAATACAAAAATTACCCGGGCGTGATAGCAGGTGCCTGTAATCCCAGCTACTCGGGAGGATGAGGCAGGAGAATCACTTGAACCCAGGTGTCAGAGGTTGCAGTGAGCCAAGCTCGCACCACTGCACTCCAGCCTGGGTGACAGACTGAGGCTCTGTCTCAAAAAAATAAAATAAAATAAAATAAAATAAAATAAAATAAAATAAAATAAAATAAAAATCCATAAGTCCATACTGATATAAATAAATTATTGAATAAATAAATAAATGAGGGAGAACAGGCAATCTCTCATCCAGAAGAATTCCAAATCATCTCCATAGAGTCCACCCTCAGGAGGTGGAGCATAGGAACTCCCTCCTCCTTGGCTGTGGATGGCACACAGGGACTTCCTTCCAGGAAGTACCCTACAGAAAGCAGGGGGAAAAAGAGTCGCCTTACAGTGGAGAACCCTGACAAACACTCCCTCAGCCAGGTGGTCAGGGTGAGCCTCAACAGTGATCATACTTCATGTTGTCAGTATGCACCCCAATATGATGGGATGAAAATGGCACTTGACCTCTGGGGTCTTCCTCCCCAAAACCCACAACCCAGTCTAATCGTAAGAAAAACGTCAGACAAATCCTAATTGAGGGACATCTATAAATGTTTTATTTCATTCTGTAAATGTTTCCCGCACACCTCAAAACTGTCAAGGTCATCAAAAACAAAGTCTGAGAAACTGTCACAGCCCAGAGGAACCCAAGGAGACGGTGGAATCTTGGTTGGAATCCCAGAACAGAAAAAGGACGTTAGGTAAAAACTGGAGAAATCTTTGGCCAGGCGCAGTGGCTCACGCCCGTAATCCCAGCACTTTGGGAGGCTGAGGCAGGTGGATCACTTGAGGTCAGTAGTTCAAGACCAGCCTGACCAACATGGTGAAACCGCATCTCTACTAAAAATACAAGAAAAAAATTGGCCCGGTGCGGTGGCTTACCCCTGTAATCCCAGCACTTTGGGAGGCTGAGGCAGGCGTGTCATGAGGTCAGGAGTTTGAGACCAGCCTAAGCAACATGCTGAAACCCCATCTCTACTAAAAATACAAAAAAAAAAAAAAAAAAAAAAAAATTAGCCAGGCATGGTGGCGCGCGCCTGTAATCCCAGCTACTCAGGAGGCTGAGGCAGGAGAATCGCTTGAACCCGGGAGGCAGAGGTTGCAGTGAGCAGAGATGGAGCCACTGCACTCCACCCTGGGAAACAGAGGGAGACTCCATCTCAAAAAAAAAAAAATTAGCTGGGCATGGTGGCATACCCCTGAAATCTCAGCTACTTGGGAGGCTGAGGCAGGAGAATCGCTTGAACCCGGGAGGCAGAGGTTGCAGTGAGCCAAGATCGTGCCACTGCGGTCCAGCCTGGGCAAGAAGAGCGAAAGTCTGTCAAAAAAAGAAAAAAAAGAGAAATCTGAATCAAGTGTGGACTTCAGTTAACAAAGATGTATCAGTATTGGTTCATTACTAATGCCACATGTTCCATGCTGAGTTGTTTTTTTTTTTTTTTTTTTTTTTTTTTTTGAGATGGAGTCTCCTTCTGTCGCCCAGGCTGGAGTGCAGTGGTGCGATCTTGGCTCACTGCAACCTCCGCCTCCCGAGTTCAAGTGATTCTCTGGCCTCAGCCTCCCAAACAGCTGGGATTACAGGTGTGCACCACCACGCCCAGCTAATTTTTGTATTTTTAGTAGAGATGGAGTTTCACCACCATGTTGGTCGGGCTGGTCTTGAATGCCTGACCTCAGGTGATCTGCCCACCTTGGCCTCCCAAAGTGCTGGGATTACAGGCATGAGCCACTGCGCCCCACCTGACGGGAGATTATTACTAGTGCCGGGTAATCATTGCACTCTCCCAGGGCAGGAGCTCCTTTGCCAGAGAAGTCCCTGGTCACCTGAAGGGGGGTACAGGGAGATAAGGAGCCACTTCCCAGCCCTCAGCCCCTCTAGACATGGCAAGGCCCTGGGGACAGAGGCCAGCTTGGATGTCAGGAGAGCTGGTTGTGAAGCTTGTCTCTGCACAGATTTACTCCATGGCCAGGTCCAAATTCCTTTCCCTCCAGAGGCCAGGGACAAAAATAGTCCCGGTGTGAGGGCCTCGCTTAGCTCTCAAGGACCCTCTCAGGGCGCTGGCACCTGCTCTGGCAGCCCAGCTGTTGCTTCTGGTTGGAACTGCCAGCCTTGAAGCCCCAGAGGCTGTTCCCTATAGGACGGAGTGAGTCATCCTGGGATCATTTGCCTGCCAGGAGTGGGTGAGGGAGGAGCAGCCGCCGCCTTCACAGACACCTGGTAGTGTCAGGAGAGGGCATGCACTGCCCTGGTGAGGCTCCTCTGGCTGCCCCCAGGCCCACACCCAAGGATCCCTGCCTCAGAGTAAGTGAGGGCTCTAGCCAGGGTCCCCTCTCTCCCTGCTAAGGGCTGAGTTACTGATGCCCTAAATAAGCAGCCCCTGGGGCGGTAAGAGGCAGGATGAGATGGATTGGAGGGTCCAGCTCCATCTGCGCCCCTCCCTTGGGCTCTCCTTTCCCTGTGCCCAGGCAGGTAGAAGGGATCTTTCTCCACCGCCCGCCCCATTCTGGCTGGGGCACCTAGATATGGGGGAGATGGGAAAGGAGACAGGAACAGTGGGCCCCAAGCAGGAGCAAGGGAGGGAGGTGGGGTCTGGGCGAGGAGCAAAGGAGAGGGCCAGGGTGGTGGTGGGTGGGGGCATCAGAGACAGCAGGGCGTGTGGCCAGGAGCCCGGGCGCCAGGCAGAGCTGCTGCTCCCAGCTCAGGAGCCCCTGTGCCAGCTGGATGCGGGCGGGTGGGCACGGGCAGGGCCACGTGCCAGACATGCACAGAGCGCCCTTTGAGGAGGTGGCAGCTGTCGGTCCAGGCCCCCCACCCCCCCCCCGGCTTGCTGTGGCCCTGCTTGGCCCCTCCAACAATGCCTTGCTGAGCACTGGGCTGCGGACGCTGATGTGCACAGTTGGGAACCCCACTCAAGAGGTGAAGGGGCAACCATACTCTACTGGAGCAGGGAAGGACCCCTCATCACTGCCAGAACAGGGACTTGGGTCTCTCGTGGGAGGCCTGGATTTCCCTCTTTCTCTCATACCTCATACCCCCTCATTGCTGCTGGCCTCTTGGGATCCTCACCGGGACACTCCTGGAGAAAAGATCAAGGCTGCACGCCCCTTGGGGAAAAAGGCTGAAAACCCAGTCGGTGACCTGCTACTGGGGGCTTTTGGGAGCTGGGGGAAGTCAGCCTGCTGCCTGGCTCTGCTTCCTCCATCCAGCCACCGTGGCCTCCTGGCACAGCATCCCTGGCAGGCAGAAGGGCCCGCCCCCCACATGGGCACCCACACAGAGATTCCCTAGGCAGCTGGAGCTTTCTGCCCCCAGGTCCCCGCCATGAGCCCGGGCTGCGGCAAACCAGCCTCATGGAGCTGGCTCCGTCTTTCCTCCCTGGGGTGGGCAGCGCTGACCTCCGGGACAGTGCTCTGGACCCCAGCCCCACTTGCTCTAGATGCTCACCCACCGTCCCCAGGAAGCAGAACAGAGGGGTCGGACCCCTGGTCCTTCCTTTGAGTGGGTGAGGGATCTCAGTGCCTGGGCCTATGAAATGTAACGGGGCATCAGCAAGGCCTGCCTGGCAGGAGTGGAGCGATGGGGACGAACATGCACGTGCCCAGTGGCTGCAGGTGCCATGTGTGGGCACCATGGTAGATGCGAAACAGCTGAAATTGGGGGTGTTTAGCCTGGGGAAAGGAAGTCTCAGGCCCACGAAGGCTCGTCTTCCAGCCTCTGGGAGGACGGTGGGCTGAGGGTGGGCCCAGGAGTGGGGGTTACAGGGACACAGGATCCTCCCTAGAAGCCAGGTCAGATGTCACTGTCAGGGCGACCCCAGGATGAGCTAGACTGTTTCCGGGGTGGGGAGCTCCTCTTCCCTGGGGGTCTCGGGGCTCGCTCTCAGCTGGGGGAGGGCAGAGGGGCTCCGGGAGGCCTGCTATGCTGCCCCGCGATCACCTTCCGCCGGCCGAGCCCTCCCGGTCTGCGCCCGGACACAGGGCCTAGGAGCCCGGCCAGGGCCACAGGGCAGTGTAGTGTTGGGGGAGGGGACTGGTTGGGCGACCCAGAGCTGGTGCGACTGGAGGTGGCCCGCGAGGGATCGGCGAGGAGCGGAGGAGACCGCGCCTCCCCGCCGCGTTGGGCCGACAGAAAAAGGCCTAGGTCCGGGGTCCTCACCTTTAACGCGTCCCTGGCCGCGGAGACGGTGGGGGGGGCGGCGCGGGCGGCGCATGCGCGGCGCGGCTGGAGCGGCCGGACAGTCCGGCGTCCGGGAACGCTCAGGAGCCGGAGGAGCCGGAAAGCGCCGGGACCCCTCGCGGGGCCTCTGAGCGGCGCGGGCGGACCCGAGCCCCCAGCCCGCTGGCGCCGC
The DNA here is from genome assembly GCF_000001405.40 of Homo sapiens. Taxonomy (NCBI): domain Eukaryota; kingdom Metazoa; phylum Chordata; class Mammalia; order Primates; family Hominidae; genus Homo; species Homo sapiens. Next base: position 75,265,867 of record NC_000016.10, on the reverse strand, counting down.
TGCCCGCCAGGCCCCGGGGGCGGCGGCCAAGATGTCCGTGCCTGTGAGTACCGCGCCGCCCGGGACCCCGGGCCGGCTGTCCCCCGCCCGGCTGCGACCTCGCCCCGCCCGCTGCGGGCCTGATGCCGCGTTGGCTCCCGGACTGGGGGTCGCCTCACTGGGGCCTCCTCGGCCCCGGGGGAGAGCGCACCGGCTGGGGGAGGCTCCCCCAAGCCGGCCTCTCTGCCCCCGCCTTTCCATCCTCTTTCAGGAGAGCTGGATCGGGCTGGGGTCCGTACTGTCCCCTCGGGGAGCCCCCCAAGATGGCTAGGTCGGGAAGACTCTTTGTTGGTCCCCGGGAAACCCCTGGGACAGCTGGGCCAGGCAGGAGTCTGTTGCCCGCCAGGACCCCGCACCAGGACGGCTAGGCCTAGCGGGGAGGGGTCTCTGCCGCTCCCGCGACTCCCCTCCGGGACTGCTGGGCCGGATGAGGGGGTGGGAGGCCTGTGCTGTCCCGCAAGACCTCCCTCGGATTGCTGCCCTGCGGCGCTCCCGGGACTCCCCCGGGGTGGCCAGGTTGGGGCGCGGTCTCTGCCAGTCGCCGGAGCCACCCCTCCCCCAGGACGGCTTGGCTGGATGGGAGCCGTGCCTGCCCTCCACGGCGGATGGGCTCACTTTCCTGGGAAGTTTTCCTCTCGCTGCGGAACCCCCGGGGCCCTGACTGGCCGCTTCCTCCCCGCTGGCCGTAGGGAGTTTTCTGTCCGACACCCCCTCTTCCTGGCCGGGCAGCCTGGCTTCGGCAGACCCCCGGGCCATGTTTCCACACTTGGGCACTGGCATCTCTGAGCATCTCAGTCTCACCTCCTGAGAACAGCAAGTGATCCTGGCTACCCCGGGTAACCAGGCCTCAGGTGCAGGCCCCACATGACAGATGGACAGACTGAAGTGGGAGGTGGGAGGCGGACACCCCGGCGTCCTGCCAGGAAGGGACACCATCTGCACCTGGCGAGCTGTGGCCTCCAGCCATCGTTTCCCTGCCTAGTTAGGGGCTTTTCCCTCCAGAGCCCTGTCCACTCTGGCCTTGTTTCTGGAACTGCTCCTCACCCGGAGGACCCCATCCTTTCCGTGAAGCAGGCAGTGGGGGCTTTCTGGCAAGTGGCCTCTTCATTAACTATCCCAGAGTGAGTGCAGATGACCAGAGGGAAGCTGGCCAAGTGCAAAGCATTGTTATTGTGGAATTAAAGAGCCCGCTCCTGCTCGCCTCCAGAAGTGGTAATGTATTTACAGATGAAAAAATGAGGGCTTCCAGACTGTGCTGATGTGAGCCCCGCCATCCGTTCTGGTTCAGAGCATAATCGTCTCGTCTTCAGAAAGAAGGAAGACAGAACATGCCTGCCAAGCCCTTCCTCTCTTCTGTTCTGCTCTCCTGGAAAGTTCTGGACTTCTCTGGCCCAGGGCCTCAGGGGACTGGCCAGCCCTGCTCCTGTGGGCACTGGGCAGAGGGACAAGGCGGACCACCTGAGCCTGCTGGAGGGCCGGTATCCCAGGGCAGTAGTGATTAGGGAATGTCACTCTGGCCACATCCCAGCCTGGGCGGGCCTCTATGGGGAGGTCCCCGTTTGATTTGGTTTGGTTGTCCACAGTCAGAGCCAAGCTCTGGGCATGGAGTCTGGGATGGCACCCTGACCCCTTGCCTTACAGGACTTTGGGCAGCCTTCTTTGGCACTGTGCCTCATCTGTAACAAGAGAGGAACAGCGGGCTGGGTAGGACTTGGACAGATAGGCACTGTCGTGGGGACCTGCAGCCTGGCCACACCATCACGGGCTCTGAGTCATCTCCTACCCTCTCCCTTGTAGTCACAGCCCAGGAGAATTCTGCTGGGGGTGGGCAGAGGTCTTTGCCATCTGCCCCCTACGTGGCTGGCTGGCAGATCACCGTGGCTCTCTCTCCTGGGACCTTGGGCAGTGTGTGAGGTGGTGGGGCCAAGAGGAGAATTCATTTTTGGAACAGTCTTGAAGTGTTCGGAAAATTGCTTTCATGTGCTGAGGAGGCCCTGCGGAGGCTTCCAGACTGAGCTGCCTGCTCAAGCCCTGCCCTTGGAACCCAGAGTGGCGACTGCTCAGGGACACGTCTGGGTTTTAAGCACACCCATCCATTTGGGCAGTCTTTTCCTAGATGGGCTGACGCAGCAGGCACTTTGGCCCACAGAAATTATAAGATGCTTCAGAAGGGGATGGGAGGGGAAGCAGGGTGAGAGATTGGTGGGCTGGTTGTGCGGGTAGCGACCCCCTGAGTGTTGGGGGAGGGGAGATGCCGGGGATCAGCTGGTGTCACCTTGTCATTTGACTCACATGCAGTCCCGGACCCAGAGAGGGGAAGGAGCCAGGGCGTCCCTGCTACCTGCTCAGTGCCCCTTCCTCTGCTCCAGGCATAGAGCAGTGCAGTGCTCGTGTGCTGCCTGGACACCCTGTGGGTATTCCCATGCCTTCCTCTCGCCCAGCGCTCTGGGCCTGACTCTTCCTGCAGCTGAGAGGACACATTTGGAAGGAAATGTGCCACCCACCTCAGACCTCTGGCTGGCATTGGCTTGGGAGTCCATGTTTAGGGGTGGCAGGTGCTGGCCACCCCCAGCCCTGCCAGGTAAGAGGCCAGCTTCCAGCTGCAGAGAGGCCTCCCTGCTGTCTGTTCTGCTTCTTGCTTCCCATCTGTGAAGTGAGTGTGGCCACTCCAGCTCCTCCTGTGCCCCTTCGTTGAGGGATGGCTCCTTTCAGGGATGCCGCCCTGTGTGCTGGGCACTGGGCTCAGGACCTCACAGGCCCACAGAGGGCCTGTGTCTTGCCAGGGTCACCTGGCCAGTGAGAGGTGGAGCCAGGGTGGGAGCCAGATATGGCAGGATCCAAAGCCATAAAATAAGCATCGTCCTGCATGGCCTCTACTTGTGGGGGCTGCAGCCTGTTGAGCGGTGGACAGCAGCCAGCCCTCTACCTGTGGCTTCCCGAAGATGAGTTTGTGTCACCTCTTCTGCGTCCCTGGGAGGCAAAGCACCCTGGGCTCAGAGCAGGTAGCACCCAAGGCTGTGCAGCAGGGTGGGTCTAGCCCCAGCCAGCCCCAGCAGTGGTAGATGGAGATGAGTAGACCAGCCTTAGCATCTGGTTGAAACCTTGGCCAGCAATCCTGGAACTGGCTCTGTGCCAGGCAGTGGTGTGAGTGGGGGAGCTGCCCAAGGAGCCATGAGGCCTGCCCTGGGGTTCATAGCTGGCCTGGCAGCCAGGCAGTGGACAGAGAGAGTGGGATGAGGCAGTGTCCAGGTTCAAAGTCCGCAGCTCAGGCCCCACTGCCCCTGCCGCACCCTCTTCTGCCGCTGGGCCTTGGCTCAGCCTGTCCCTCCCTCTGTAGGAAGTGATCTCCAGCCAGCTGCCTCGTTCACCAGGTCATTCCCATTCACCTCAAGCTCTGCGCCATCATCCATAGGAAGCCTTCCCGGCGCCGTCTGCCATTGTCCATTTGTTGGTGGGGTGATGTGGTTGTGTCAGGCTCCCTCTTCACACTGCAGAACCCATGACTGCTTGCCCCGCTGTCTCTCGTGCCTTCTGGCTGCAGCTTGCCCCTGGCCGCCTGCTGAGTATGTGGCCCCAGGAGTACCGTGGAGCCCCCACAGGCCAGTGGCTGTATCCCCGTGCAGAGCCTGGGATCTCAGCCACTCTCCTCAGAGCCTTGCTTGAGGCTGAAAGGGGTTCCTGGAGAGGCTGCTGCGGGGTGGGGAGAGTGTTTTGGTGGGTCAAGGTCAAGGGCTCTAGAGTGAACAGTGTTGGCTCTGTGCCTTGAGTGAGTTACTGAACCTCCCTGAGCCTCAGTTTCCTCCTCTGTGTCATGGGGATGTTAAGAGCACAGAGCTCCTGGGATTTTGTGAGAATTTGGTGAGGGGTGACCAGAGCTGTTAGAAGGAGGGTGATTAAGTAACAGCAGCTACTGCTGTGGAGATTATTGTCTTCATGTGGCCATGGTTGGCTAGTGCAGTGGCTCAGACCCATTCCTGACTCCTGGGCAGCCAGCGTGGGGAGGAGGCTGGGCTGGACCCAGGCTGATTGGCCTCTGCCCCTAGGGTTCTGTGGCCCTTTCTTTATGGTCAGTGTGGTTTCTGCCAAGGCCTTGGTGGTGGGATGACCCTGGCCTCTCCCCTGCCCGGGCATGGCCTGCAGGACCCTGGCCTCTTGAGCCTTGGATGGTCAGGTCCTTGTCTTCACTCCAACCAGAGAGTGACCTGCATTGGGGCAACCAGCTGGCCCCATCGCATCTATGCAGCTGCTGCCCTGCTCCAAGTGCCCCCAGGAATGAGGCGGCATTGCAGGCCGTGGGAGCCGCTGCAGTGGTGCAGGCCTCTGCTCAGGTGTGGTCTGCAGCAGTCGGGCCAGCACGGGGCAGGCAGGGCCTCTGAGGGAGGCTGGTTCCACCCCTGCCTGGGGATCATGGCTCCTTAAGGGAGGGGCCTACAGCCAGGAGGGTGAGTGGGGGGCCTGGGTGATACCTGCAGACCTCCCCATTTCCTACCACTGGTGCCCTGGTGTTCTGGGGCCCACACCACCTTCCCTCTGTCTGCTTACCTTCACCCCTGGCCTTGGCCTTGGCTTTGCTGCAGCCCTGCGTGTGTCCTCCAGGTCAAGCCCCATTGTTTCTATGGCTCACTCTCAGTCCTTGTGTGCTGGGCCATTGTCTCCCTCTCTGCAGGAAAAAGGAAAAAGAGTTCTGGGGACAGGTTGGGGACCTCGGCAGAAGTGTGGAAGGGATGCTTGCTCTGGTGAGATGGTCACAAGTCGCGGCTCTGAAGTTAATCTCTTCTCCAAGGGGGATTAGAGGCTGGGAAGGTTTTTCAGTCATTTTAATTTATTATTTAAGCCCTACCAAATTCCAAGAAGGATTTGAAGCAGATTATGGCAGAAGACACAAATAGTCTGGGATCATGAAAAGATCTGGAATTATGTAATGTATGGGGAAGGAGGAAGAATTATCCCAGAAAGCCGAGGCTCAGTAGGCATCCAAATTTAACTTGAAGCTCCCTGATGGTCAGGGCAAAAAGAGTAGCATGGTGGGTTTAGGCTTGCAGTATCTATTTTTGGTATTTGTAATGCCAAATGTATTTTTTCTTTGCTTTGTTTTATTTTTTACCAGTCGAAACTCTTATTGAGGTAAATTTTACATGTCGTGAAATGTGCAGATGTTAAACAGTTAGTTGGATGAGGTTTTTTTTTTTTTTTTTGAGATGGAGTCTCACTCTGTCACCCAGGCTGGAGTGCAGTGGCCTGATATCAGCTCACTGCAACCTTTGTCTCCCGGGTTCAAGTGATTCTCTTGCCTCAGCCTCCCAAGTAGCTGGGATTACAGGCATGTGCCACCATGTCCAGCTAATTTTTGTATTTTTAGTAGAGACACGGTTTCACCATGTTGGCCAGGCTGGTCTCGAACGCCTGACCTCATCCGTCTGCCTCCGCCTCCTGAAGTGCTGGGATTACAGGCATGAGCCACCGCGCCTGGCAGTTGGATGAGTTTTGATTAATACAGACCTTCATGTAGCCATCAATCGAATCAAAATAACAAATGTCTCTATCACCCTGGCTTAAGTTTGCCTGTTCTTAAACTTTCTGCAACTGGAAGCCTACAGTAGATGCACTTTGGGGTCTGGCTTTTTCCTTTTTTTCTGAGATGGAATCTCGCTCTGTCACCCAGGCTGGAGTGCAGTGACAGGATCTCGGCTCACTGCAACCTCTTCCTCCCAGGGTCAAGTGATTCTCCTGCCTCAGTCTCCCAAACAGCTGGGATTATAGGTGCCCACCACTATTCCCAGCTAATTTTTGTACTTTTAGTAGAGACAGGGTTTCACCATGTTGGCCAGACTGGTTTCGAACTCCTGACCTCAGGTGATCCACCCGCCTTGGCCTCCCAAAGTGCCAGGATTACAGGCGTGGGCCACTGAGCCAGGCCAGGTCTGGCTTTATTCCTCGAGCATATTGGTTTTATTCTTTTTTTTTTTTTTTTTTTTTTTAGATGGAGTCTCATTCTGTCACCCAAGCTGTAGTGCAGTGGCATGATCTTGGCTCACTGCAACCTCCACCTCCTAGGTTCAAGCGATTCTCCTGCCTCAGCCTCCCAAATAGCTGGGATTACAGGCGCCTGCCACCATGCCCGGCTAATTTTTTGTGTTTTTAGTAGAGATGGGGTTTCACCGTGTTAGCCAGGATGGTCTCAATCTCCTGACCTCGTGATCCGCCCGCTTTCGCCTCCCAAAGGGCTAGGATTACAGGTGTGAGCCACCGCGCCCGGCCAGTTTATTCTTTTTTGTTGCTGAGTAATGTTCCAGTAATGGATGTGCCACAAGATATTTATCCATTCCTTGTGGATGGATATCTGTCTCTACCTTTAGTGTGCTGTGTCTGAGTCTGAGTCTTGCTGTGTTACCCAACCTGGCCTCCTAGACTTAAACGATCCTCCTGCCTCAGCCTCCCCAGTAGCTGGGACTATAGGCATGAGCCACTGAAGCCAGCTTGTGCTGTGTGTTATTAAGTAGCGGAACACTGGCACTATTGTTGGCAAAATACCCATTTAAGTATTTTATAAAACCTGATATCCAATTGTATGCCTTGAGGCATGCCTAGAGATCTGTGCTCCCAAATCCTGGATCTACCAAAGTTGCTTGTTTGCCCAGAAAGTGGTATGACCACACTCCTCCCTGTCCCAGACCTCACCAGGTGTCCTAGAGTTTAAACTGCCTCTTTGCAGGTTATCTGGGAGGTTAAGTGTCTTAGGCTGTAGAGTCATCTGTGTTTCGCCAGGGCCTGTGACCACTCCAGAAGTCCTGGTTGGGAGGTTTCTAAGGAGAGCAGGAGGCGGGAGAGGATGCAGCAGAAGCTACCTGCGTCCCTCCTCCTCCTCCTTCCCAGGCCACGCAGATTCCTGGGCTCCCTCTTTTTTTCCCTGGCCATCTGCCAAGGCACCCCTCCAGGCAGACACTCCTTGCTGCGCCTGCCCCAGCGCTGGAAGCCCTAAGCCCAGGAGGCACACACCACTGAGCCAAGCCTGAGGAGGGTAGAGGGAGACTCCCTGCGTCCCTGGCCCCAGCATCTGGGTTTCTTCTGTGTGCTCCTGCGGCCACACTGGCTCTTCACGCCGAAGGAGTTGGCTTGCCTGTGCTATTTTTACAAATCTTTGCTGTTATTTTTTTCTGCATAATGAGTCTTAGCAAAAGATTCACACATCTGCTCAAATGTCACCTCCGCAGAGAAGCCCCCAAGCACCTTGTGTAGAACAGCCTCCCCCATCCCTCTGCTGTCTGCTTTGCAAGCGTTTACGTTTGTGCCCCTTAACACACACCTTGGAGTGTGAGTTCCCTGAGGACACGGCTGTTCTTTTACACAGCAGTGCTGCCAACAGTTAGACCTCAGTCAGGAGGCGCAGATGCATGAGTGTTGCTTTATAACATGCATAGTGAAAGTGACTGCAACCAGCCACTTCCTACTTGCCTCAGGGCAGTCCAAGAGGAGACCCTGCCTGCCTCCAGTGTTGGCGGGTGGATCTGGGGGCAGCAGAACTCCAAGGAAAGATTTTGCCCCAGTCTCTCAGACAAGGTTTCAGGGAAGGTGAGGGATGCTGAGGGCATCTGAGGAGCGGTGTCTACGCAGGCTGTAGGGAGAGCAGGGAGGGCTTGGTTGCGGGATGGGCTTAGCACATGGGGTAGGCCAAGGGAAGGTGCGCCCTGGTGCCCAGCGGGGTGGGGCCAGTGTGTGATGGCGCAGGGTGTGGGTATGCTGCGGGCAGTGGGACACTAGGGTGCCGCTGTGTGTTTGCCGGCCACCTGTGCCATCAGTCTGATGGCCCCAGGGTGGGCAGGGCTGCTGGTCATGGGTACATTTAACAGATGGGCAAACTGAAACCTGAGCAGTACAGTGACTGGCTGAAGGCCCACGGCGAGTTGGAGTCATTAATATCTGCTCCCTTCCTCTAGTCTAAGCCTGGGCGAGAGCCTGAGCCTGGGTCTCCCAGGGCAGAGGAGCCTTTATCTATAGGCCGGCATAGGCTCCAGTGGGACACCCAGCCTAGCCCCACGATGCTGTCCAAGGAGGGAGAAAAAGCATTGCTTTTCCACCAGGCACAGTGGCTTACGCTTATAATCCCAGCACTTTGGGAAGTCAAGGCGGGAGGATCGCTTGAGCCCCCAGGAGTTGGAGACGAGCCTGGGCAATATAGTGAAACCCCATTTCTACAAAAAATAAAAAAATTAGCCAGGCATGGCGGTGCACACCTGTAGACCCAGCTAGTCAAGAGGCTGAGGTGGGAGGATCGTTTGAGCCCAGGAGGTTGAGGCTGCAGTGAGCTGTGACTGTGCCACTGCACTCCAGCCTCGGTGACAGAGACCTTGTCTTTAAAAAAAGAAAAAAAAGCATTGCTTTCCCTGTGGCTGCCACAGCTCTGTCTTCCCTGTATCCACTCTTTCCGTCACTGCCACCCAGAGCCCCCAGGGTCCCCTCTTGTGATTCCACTGGCCCCTGGCCTGCTGACCCCAGCAGAGTGGCCGGGTGGGTATCTGTGAGTGTGGGCCCCTGTGTTCTATGAAAGCGGCCGGGAGTGGGCAGCAGATGATGTGTGAAGTCACCCCCCTCCGCCCAGTACACTGGGGTTGGTTGCCATGGGAGAGCAGATGGCTGGGCTGGGTTGGGCTGGGGAGGCCTCCTGACCACACCCTCATCCCTGCCCACCCGGCCAGTCAGTGGAGAGCTGGGCAGCCCCCAGCCATGGAGCTTCCTCTCTGAGGACGAGGACAGAGCTTGCCCCTTTGCCCCTCTTTCCCCCTTCCAGCCAGGACTGAGCCCCTCTCTTCCCCCTCCCCCAGGCAGTGCTGAGGGGCTGCCTCTGCCATAGGGCGCAGATTCAGGAGGAGGACCTGGTGGTCAGCAGCGGGGCAGAGTGCACATGGCCCCTCCTCACTGCACACAGGGGTGCCGCTGGTCCAGGAGGACCTGTCTGGGAGGGCCCTGTGCTGGTGCCTGCCCCACCTGCCAGCCCCAGGAGGCTGGGCAGGAGGGGAGAGCTGAGAGAGGAGGGTGCAGAAGAGGAAGGGGTTGCTGGGGTGGGCGGAGAGCCTCTGAACGGCACCCTGGGGCTGCCTTGCTGGCTCACACCGGCCTCGGGCGGCTGTGAGCTGAGCCCCTCTCTGAGGCAGGCACCTACGGCAGGGGCCTCTGCTGCTTGTTAATTTCCAGATAATTTGGAAAGTTGTGCTGCCTCTTCCAGTCCTGTTTCTGACAGGCCTGAAGTGGAGGCGTAGGGCTGGATTTAGTGGGATGCAGGCCAGGACTTGGAGTGCAGGGAGGCCCCACCCCCCCCCATCCGTGCTGTGTCCCTTACCTGGCAGCTCTGCCCACACACCTTGGATACTGCCCCTGCCCCCGGGTCTCTGGGGACTGGCCTTGGGCATGCCAAAGGGGATGACCACTGGAGGGATTTGGCTTCAGGCTATAGGGCCCGCCCACCTTCCCACAGTCAGAGCCACTACTGGTAATGACAAACACTGCCCCGCAGTGGAGGATGGGAAGCCCTTTATGGTAACAGCTCCAGCTTGAGTCCTGAGTGCATGCTCTGCGGTCTGGGGTCACCTGGGGTGCTTACCAGTAGGCACACGCCTGGGTTATGAGGTGGAAGGTGCGAGCTCTGCTGGCCATGGGAGCTGCGTGGGGCATTGCCCCTCTCTCTGCCTCCAGGTAGCCGTCGTTCCGTCCTGGTCCCAGGGCAGCAGTGAGGAATGACTGGTGTTGGGGTGTGGGCTGTCCGTTCTGTGTGTGACAGTAGGTTCACCTCCGTGCTATCCACAAAGGTTCCGTGCCCTCGCCTGGGTTTTGTTTTTGTTTTTTTGAGACGTAGTTTCGCTCTCTCGCCCAGGCTGGAGTGCAATGGCACCATCTTGGCTCACTGCAACCTCCGCCTCCCGGGTTCAAGTGATTCTCCAGCCTCAGCCTCCTGAGTAGCTGGGATTACAGGCATGTGCCACCACGCCCGGCTAATTTTGTATTTTTAGTAGAGACGGGGTTTCACCATGTTGGTCAGGCTGGTCTTGAACTCTTGACCTCAGATGATCTGCCCGCCTTGGCCTCCCAAAGTGCTGGGATTACAGGCGTGAGCCACTGTGCCCAGCTGTTTTTTGTTTTTTTTTTTGAGATGGAGCCTTGCTCTATCGCCCAGGCTGGAGTACAGTGGCGTGATCTCAGCTCACTGCTTCACCTCCTGGTTCAAGCAATTATCCTGCCTCAGCCTCCTGAGTAGCTGGGATTACAGGTGCCCGCCACCACGGCCAGCTAATTTTTGTATTTTTAGTAGAGACGGAGTTTCGCCATGTTGGACAGGCTAGTCTCGACCTCCTAAAGTGCTGAGATTACAGGCGTGAGCCACCTTGCCCAGCCTTGCCTTGGTTTTGAGCTTGCCACTGTGAGTGTCCAGCCTAGGGGGATGGTGTCAGCTCTCATTGGCCCTCCAGAGATACCGTTTCTTCCTGTTCCTGGGGCTGGCAGTGCTCACCTCCGGCCTCAGGAAATCCTCTCCTGCTGCCGCTCCCAGAGCTGGCCATCAACCGAGTCCACCCTCCCTGCTGCTGGGAGGCCGAGGCTTCAGGAGGGGAGGGGGCTGTGTGCCTTTACACTGTGCAAACTGGTTTTAGCCTGCTCTTTTCACTTTAGTTTGTTGTAAGCATTTTCTTGCATTATTTCAGTCTTTGGAAGAGGCCATCTAATAGCTGCAAGCTATTCTACTGAGGCGCTGTGGTTTGTCTCACCGGTCCCCTAGAATTAGCATTGATAGGTGAGCCTGTTTTGCTCCATGCTTTGCTGTCATAAATGCTGCAGTGGACATTGGTGAGCATTGAGCAAGAAAAGTTCTGTGCAGTGGGTCTGTCCTGAAGGCAGATCTCAGAAAGCCCAAAGAGCAGGAACCCTATCCCAGGCTTATCTTTCCACTTGGGTCCAGTATAACCCCCTCCACTCCAGACACTTAGTGTCCTGGTGTGCTGGGTCCACCTGTTTTCTGTACAAACAGCTATTCCAGGCCCTGAGGGGTTGGAGACATCCCTTCCAGCCTGTGAGCTCATCTTCAACCTGGCTGGAGGTGCCAGGCCACTCCTGGGATGACACAACTGTCTGGGAGGGCCCTGTGCTGGTGCCCCGGCCACATATCTGCAGCTGTCTCCCTTGGTCTGGCAACAACCTCTCCCAGCTCCTCCTTATTCAGGGCGTCTCTCCTTGCTGCCAGTCCCACTGTGTGTATACGCATGCGTGTGTGCTGTGTGTATGCAAGTGTGTGCCTCTGCACTTAGGCGTGACTTAACCACCCCCATCCTCCAGACTGGGGCAGCCTCAGATTTCTTCACCCAGGCCAGCCTATCCCATGAGGGCCACCTCTGAGGTCCCACCCAGTCAACAAATGTTTACTGCACCCCTTCTCACCAATGGGGCTAAACTTAGTGGGGTGGGGGTGGTGCTGGCCCCAGTGCTGAGCTCAGTTTTACTGGGGAGGAAGGTGCTTAGGTCTCAGTTGCCTGTCCTTTTGCAGTCTGAGTGTGACAGGGGTGTTTGGCTTTCTGAGCCTGGAGTGCTGCTGTCCCTGTCCCTAGATTCCCTTCCTGCTGCAGGGTGGGCTGAGGTCTAGCAGCCCCATTTCTTCCCTGGCCCTGTCCCTTCTGTGCCCCGAAATGTGTGGGATGGGGCAGTGGTTGGTAAACTGGGTCTCGGTCTCTTCATGTGAAAAATGGGGCTAGGCTGGGTGCAGTGGCTCACGCCTATAATCCCAGCACTTTGGGAGGCTGAGGTGGGTGAATCACTTGAGGTCAGGAGTTCGAGACCAGCCTGACCAATATGGTGAAACCCCATCTCAAAAAAAAAAAAAATTGGGGCTAACGGTGAGCCTGTTTTGCAGGATTGCTGTGTGCACAAAATAAATGCATGGGCATAGGGCCCCTGGCACTGGCTGGGCGCAGAGGCTGTGCTGGGTATGTGGGGCTGCATCCCTGTCCTTGACAGCGGAGGTCCGGGAGGCTGGACTGGGGGTGGGGTGAGGTTCTGCCCCCATATACCCCGGCCAGAGCCTGGCCAGTGGGTGCTCCTCCCCCACCCCCCAGCTACATCCCCATCAACACTGTGGGGCTTAACTTCTGGGGCCTTGTTTCCAAAGCGGAAATGCCATTCTGGGAGGCACAGGCTTTTGGGGGAGGGAATTTAAGTGGAAAAGGAGCAAATTTTTGAAATGCCTGTGTCGGAGCCTGTTTCCCTTGCTGCCTCCTGCTCACACCAGCAGCCCCACCCCCAGTGCTGTTCTAATGCAGCTACTGGGGGAGGAGGGTCTCATCCCCCAAGGTTCCAGCCATCCACCTCCTCTCTGCACCGCCCTCCTTGGCCAACTAGGATGGAGCAGGGGCCAGCTCCCTTGAGGGCCAGGCCTTTTGTGTCCTTGCCCGTCCCTGCAGAGACTGCTGCCTGGGGCCCTGCCAGCAGGGCACTGCCTGCCCATGAGGCCTGGTCTCCCCTCCCCACAGAAGTGGAGGCCCAGGGATGACCTCAGGCTCCTGAGGGTCCCGCTGGTTCAGACCTGCTCTCTGGGAAGCTGGTGTGCCAGCCAGGCTGAGGAGTGGGTGGCTGGACAGGGTCAGGGTGCAGGAGGGGCCCGGCACAGCTCTTGGGAACAAGCAGGAGGAGATGCTCCAGGCAGCTTCCCTGAAGGCTGGCTCCTCTTCTGAGGCGAGGCGGGCTGTGTCGGGGAGGCACAGGGTGTTGGCTAGCTGTTCTGTTCCTCCTGAGGACTCTGGGTCATGCTCTGTCTCATCCCACTGCTCCTTCCTCACCCGCTGTGCTGTGAGTTCTGGCCAATGCTTCCCAAGCCAAATATTGAAGAAATGCAGACGTCCAGTTTTTTGGGAGGGGTGGGACACAGGAGTCTGTTTTTTAACTAGCTCCCCAGAGCACCTGAGCAGCAAATCATGGGCTGTCCTAGCCCCTTTTCAGATGAGAAAGGAGCCCAGAGAGGGGAGAGGGCCTGCCAAGGTGGCACATCTGGCCAGGCGCTGCGTAGGCTGAGCCCTGGGGGTCAGACAGAGGGGCAGCTGCAGGCCCACCTGGGCTTGTGTCTTCCATAGGCCATGCTTGAGAATTCTCTGCTGCGTGAAGCCGGGTCTACCCCGCTGCTTCCCTGCCACCAGGGCTGCCTCGTGGCATCCCATTGCTCAGCCAGTGGCCCAGGATTGTTGACTGAGGGTCCTGTCTGGTCTGGACCAGGCTCGGTCCTATCATCTCCCTGCAGATTGTGCCTCCCTGGCCTGGCCCAGGGGCTCTGGCACCCTGGTTCTGCTGCATGGGGTGACAGTCACTGACCTGCAACCGAGCAAGGGGCAACTCAGGAGAGCCAAGGTTGTCTCCACTCGGTTTCCCCCGAGTGATTCTTCCTTCTATCTCCCTCATTCCCCCAGTGCCGCTCTCCTACCCCATGTCGCTGAAGCAGATGAGTTGGAGCAGGACTCAGGAGGGTACTAGGCCCAGGTTTTAGGCTGAACCTAGGAATGAGTAATGAGAGGAGGCAGATCAGCTGGAGGACCAGCCCGAGTCCCCAGATGTCGGCACAATGCAGGGGAAGGTAGGTGCTGCCCGTGAAAAGCGCTGGGTCGAGAGCTCGCCAGCCTCCCTGCTTGAGGCTTCATTTCCTGGGGTCCTTACACGGTGGGACCGTCTACAGTCGGAGCTGTGGTGGTGATGATTCGTCTCCTACAGGCTGGGGCACGCCCCCTCCCCTTTCCCTCTAGATTCAGATTTGAGTCCCACGGCCCATGGACACGCGATGAATGCCCTGGGGTTGGTTAGCGGGAAAGACAAGTCGACTTGAGGCCATGTCTCGGCTCTGGAGGAAGAAGGCAAACCGGGCAGCCTTCCCAGAAGTGGAGGAGTTTGCGTAGGCCTTCGGTGCGTTCTCGCCTGGGTGGAAGGCGGGGACGTGCATTTGTTGGAGAGCGGTGTCCTGCGCCCTAGGCTGGAAGCCTGGCCTCGGGCAGGGGCCTGGAGCCTCGGGGTTGGAGGTGGGGGGCGGGGCGGGGGGCGGCCCCTACTGGGCGGGCTTCTGTCTGCGCGCCCGCGCCCCCGACAGGCGGCTTATTTGCATGGAGAGCGGCGGCGGCCAATGGGCGCGCGCGGCCGGGCATGCTGGGATCGGGCTGGGCCGGCTGGGCCGTGGCGGCAGGCGGAGAGCGGCTGGACCGGCTCTGGGTGGCCGAGGCGGCAGCTGCGCGGCGGCACCGGGGCGGCTGCGGCGCGCTCGGAGCCCCGAGGGCACGCGGCCCGGGCAGCTCGGTGTGCGCCCCCGCGAGAGCCGGGGCCCCAGGCCCGCCGGACACCATGAACCACCTGGTGAGGGCGCCAGGTGGGGCCGGGCCGCGTACGGGCTTGGAGGCGGCAGCGGGCTGGAAGGGGTTAAGCGAGCGGCATTTCCTGCCGGACCTGCGGGGCCTGGGAACCGCCGGCCGGGGTCCGCGGCCCTGGGATCTCCTTCTGCCCTGGCCGGGAAGCCGGGAGGCAGGAACCGCGGGGGCTCCGGAGCCTGTGCGCCTCGGGTGCGTTGGCGGGGCCGGGCGCGGGGGCCGCCAGCCGGTAGGAGGGTTCCTGTGTCGGGAAAGTGGCTGGCGGGGCCCGCGCTCCCCGGCCGACGGCCGCCTGCTGTGTCACCTTGGGCCTCTGCGCCCTGCCTCCGAGCCTCAGTTTCCTCGGCTGCGAGGAGGGGCCGTTGAGCCTCTGGCGGGTGGTCCGGCTGGTGTGGCGTGGGGACTGCCCACCGGCTCCCGGAGAGGGAGGAGCTCCGGGGGACCGAGGCCGGGCGGGCAAGTGCGTGGCGCCAGCGGGGAAGGCTGCGCAGCCGGAGCACCCGGCTCCAGTTAATGATTCACTCCGGCCGCCGGCGCGGGGTTCCGGGAGCGGAGCGGGAGTGGGGGCGGGCGCGCCGCGGGCTTTGCAGCCCCGCACGCCGAGCGCCGGTGGAAGCCGGGTCCTGGCCACAGGAGTCCTAGCCGCACGCGAGTGTCGCGGGAGGGGGCCAGGGCCGGGTTCTGCAGTGTGGACATGAAGGCTTTGGAGTCCATGGTTGGGGGACCCGCAAGAGCTAGAGCAGGGTCGGAGCTCCCTCTCGAGGGTCCGAGAGGCTGATCGCTGGACCGAGGTGAGGGAGTTGGGAAAGCGGAGATTTGCCTAGGGGTGCGGGGTGAGGGGCTTACGGCCTGGAAGATGTTGGGGTTTCGAGTTCCAGATCGGGGACAGCAGCTCCTTTTCTACCACAAGGCTCCCGTTCCCTCCTGAGAGTCCCTGGTTTCCTTTCCCACACCCCTCCCGGGGCCCGCCGCAGCTTTGGTCACCTTCTCAGAATGACCATGGGTTGATCTCTTCTTTGCTAGTGAGATGTTTCCCATCGCCCTGGGCCGGGACACGCCCCCTCTTGTGCCCATTCCTTTCCCTCGGTGGAGAGTTGGGTGGTGGGGGCTGGCCGGCCTGTGAGAGCAGGTGTCGGGGTGCCTGGAGAATCGGGGCCCAGGTACGGGGGTGGCGGGGCTGTGGGGAAAAGAGCTTTGGGGAGGAGCTGCTGACACTTCCTCCTGGCACTGCTTGCCCGGGAGCTGGGTGGAGGCAGGGCAGGGCAGGGCAGTCCCAGGTTCTGCCAGGAAAGTCACCTTGGGCTGGGGCAGGAGGCTTGGAGCTTCTGGCCGTTACTGTTTGTCTGAGCAGGAGGGTGAGCACTGTGTACTGGTACCATGGCCCCAGGTCTAGGCGAGGGATGGAAATAAGGACAGTGCCACTAGGGCCTCCTGTCTGTACAGGAGGGGCCCTGAGACAGCTCCTCAAACCCCTTTCCCATTATACGGATGGTGCAGATGGGGACACTGAGGTACAGAGAGACAGTCAGTTGTCCTCAGAATTGGATCCAGAACCTCGTCTTCTGGCATGGCCCCCCAGTGCAGCACCACATGTGGCCTCCGAATTCCCAGTCTGGGATTGGGGGAGCTCTGGTCCTTGGGGGACCACCATGCTCTTTTGGAGTTGTCAACTTGGTAGGAACCCTCTGGTTCCAACGCTGTGCCTTTGCGGCCCTCTCCTGGCATCTGCTGTCCCTTTAGGAGGTCCTACCACCCTTTTCTTCTGAGCCTGGACAACTCCTTCCCTTGCCCCCAGGAGCCCACAGCCGGCTAAACCAACTGGTCAGCTAGAACCAACCAGCAGGGGAGGTGCGCTCCAGGGGGGCTTCTAAGAGGAGGCAGTTTTGGAGTCAGAGGTGAAGTGTGGGGAGTGGGATTGGGTGATAG
The DNA here is from genome assembly GCF_000001405.40 of Homo sapiens. Lineage (NCBI taxonomy): Eukaryota > Metazoa > Chordata > Mammalia > Primates > Hominidae > Homo > Homo sapiens. The sequence continues at coordinate 75,249,533 of NC_000016.10, read as the reverse complement.
GGAAGTTTCTCCAGCAAAGACACTGGGCAAGCCTCTTCCTTGGCCCCCAGATAAAGGGCTGCAGGGTGGTCTCCGTGTAAGAGGGTGGGGCTCTGCCCTCTGTCAGGCCCTTCCTGGCCCTCCGAGCACAGGAGAGGCCCTGGCTCCACCTGTGTCTTGCTTCCCTGACTTCCTCCCACCTCTACATTCTAGCCTGGGGCAGAAGTAGGGTGGAGGGGTGGGTCTAGCCTCCTTGATGACACAGTTGGGGTTGGAGGTGGGGGCTACCCCTATTCTGGGCCTGGTGCTGTCCCTGAAGTCAGGGGTCAGCCTCACACCGAGCTCTCTGCCAAAACCCCGGATCACAAGCATGAGCTCCAGCAGGTCCGCTTGAGTGAACACCGCTGATCCTGCCTGCAGGGGTATAGGCCTGGGGCCTGCCAGCCGTCCGCACTGTCTGTGGGGTGTTTTGGGTTGCAGGTTCCATGTCCTGAAGCAGGAGAGCCCTCCCCATGCCACCTCCTCTGCCCAGCCTCTTAGGGACAGTGCCTGGGATGCCCTGGCTGGAGTGAGGACTGGGGTGTGCTTTCAGCCCATAGCTGGCCCTGGGCATAAAGGCATCTGCTGTGGTGCTGCAGCCAAGGCCAGGCTGTGCTCTGTGCTTGTGTCGGGGAGCCCTTGGCAGTGGCCACCCCACAGGTGGCTTTTTATTCCCTCCTGCTGCTGAGTGTCACGCGTGGGGCTGAGGGCCTGCACGCCTTCCCGGCCTCATCCTCTCCGACGATTCACGCCCTCCTAAGGCTGGCAGGATAGGAGCCATGCTCCCCTGGGGTGGCTCTGGAACGTGGGCCCCGTGCACAGGCTATGTAGTCTGCTCACACCCTTGCTGCCTGCCACCCGGGCACCCAGGACTTGAGCCCAGACCCTGGCCACCCTGTTGTTGTGGGAGTATTAGGGGAAGTTGCCACTAAGGCTGGCAGGTCCTGGAGTTCCACCCAGGATGGGGACATGGGGGAGGGAAGAGGAGGTGCCCCTCAGAGCCTGAGGCCAGGACCAAGTGGGGTGATCAGGACCCCTCCAGGTGGGTCCCGGGTGCGGATGGCCAGTTGGGCGCATGCTTATTGGGCCTGCATCCGTTGGCCACGGAGGCTCTTTGGGACAAGCAAATAGAATGCCCCAGAAATAAACTTGGCCCAAGTTTGTGATGGTTCTGGGTATGAAAGAAGTCAGTGTTTCCCAAGTGCCTGCTATGTGCGAGGCTCTGTGCTGGGGCGGGTGCATGTGTGCGTTGGGGGCGTGGACAGGAGGGGTGGGAAAGGCCTGTGACATTTCCTCTGGTGGTTTCCACGAACCCAGGCGTCACCCCTCGGTGGAGATAAAGTGGAGCCACCCAGCTCCACCGTGTCTCAGCCTGGGGTCGGCCTCTGCTGCTTCTGGACTCAGTGACCCTGGGCTGTCAGGGAGCTTCTGAGCCTTGGTTTTCCTGTCTAGTAAGATGGAGGTAATCGTGTCTTATGGGGTTGTTTTGAGGGTTAAATGAGCTGGTGGCTGTGTGGGAAAGAGCTCTGCCTCCCGCAGGGAGGAACTGTGCTGTTCTTATTATTGTGAACTTAGTGACAAGTGTGGCACTATTACCCATTTCCTTGTCTGCCCCCAACCCTGGGGTCTTGGGCAGAGAACAGGAGTTCTTGCCATTTTCTCCCAGCTCCCACCTTGTGCTGGCTTGCGGGTGCTGAGGTCATATTTGCTGGGTGAAAGGGTGCAGGCCAGATATGAGCCAGGCCTGGCAGAGAGGGTTTTGGTCAGCAGTGATACCTGCAGTGTTCTCTGCAGTTGGTTTGGGCTGGCCCTGCTCCTGAGAACTCCTGGGTTGTCCCTTCAGGCAACCAGGGAAGGCTCCTTGGAGCAGCAGCATCTCCCCTTACCACTCGCCGACACCAGCTTCCGCCTGACCCAGAGAAGGAGTTTGGGGACAGCCACAGCACGTCCAGGGCTCCCAAGGCAGCTGGCAGAGCCAATGAGGAGACCCCAACACCCATCCGACGGCTGCAGCTCTCCCTGACGTGTGTCACCCGCAGCCCTGGTCCCAGCCGCTGTGCTTCTCAGGGCCTGCCTGCCCAGCCCGGGTGGATATGGTGCCCAGGCGGGCCCCGGGGACACAATGAGGGCCATTCTCAGAGCCAGGCAGAGCGTGTGGGGCAGTCCTGTCAGTCCTATGTGCAACAGCTGGGATATTGTTTAGGGAGTGCTGGCATCAGGCTGGGGCTCTCCTCCTCTGGCCCTGCCCTTTGGGATGAGCAAGCCCCCAAAGGCCTTCCTGGGTTCCTCTGGTGCACGTGCCCTGGAGTTACCCTTCTGAAGGAGGTAGACTTGTCCTCCTGTCCTGGGTGCCTGGGGTGCAGGGGTGTGAATTGGGCTATGTCAAGATATGCTGGGCAGTACTGTGAGGTGGGGGCAGAGGGGAGAAGGTGTCCCAGGAGGAGCCTTCCTGGAGGGGATGATAGTCCAGCATGTTCTGAAGTGGGAGTAGGGTGCGGCAGGAGTAGGGTACCAGAGAATGAGTGAGTCAGGCAGCAGCCTCCACTGCGCCTTGGACACAGGTGGCTGACAGTGTCCACCTGGACTGGCTTTGCACCCCTTCTGAGGTCACAGTTGTGTCCCTTGAAAACTTGGGCAGGAGCACCTGACTGGCCCAGCTTGGGTCATGCCCTAGGCCCAGCAGTGCGGGAGGCCAGGAAAGTAGGCTTGGGGAGGCTGGCCTCTCCTCCAGTTTGAAGCATGGCAGGGGTTCCGGGGGAGGCTGCTGGGGGGCCTGCGAGCATGTCCAGAGCAGGAATGCTTGGGGTGGTGTGTGCTTTGCTCGTCTGGGCTTATCTGGCCGTGGGGAAGCTGGTTGTGCGGATGACGTTCACTGAGCTGTGCACGCATCATCCATGGAGTCTGCGGTGTGAGTCCTTTTGCCGCTCCAGGGTCACAGCCTGCCTCCCTGCTCCAGCCCCCTGGCTGAGGCCCTTCCTCTGCCCCATGCTCTTCTCAGACAGGAATCCTGTGGAATGTCATCTCTTTGGGGAGGCCGTCTCTGACCCTGTATGCAAAGGCCTTCTCCCACATTATTTTTGGCACCCCACTTTCTTCCCCGTGAAAGCAAATTGTTTGGTGTCTTTCTGTCCCACTACAGTATAGGCCCGGTTCAGACAGAGGCCTTGTCCACTAGGCCTGCGCTATCTCTGCGGAGCCCAGCCAAAGCAGGGGCCAGGCGAATCTTTTGTTAAAAGAACAATGCGCGCTGGGCACAGTGGCTCACGCCTGTAATCCCAGCACTTTGGGAGTCCGAAGCTGGAGGATCACTTGAGCCCAAGAGTTTGAGACCACCCTGGGCAACATAAGGAGAACCCATCTCTACACAAAATTAGCTGGGCGTGGTGGTGTATGCCTGTAGTCCTAGCTACTTGGGAGGCTAAGGTGGGAGGTGGCTGAGGTGGGAGGATCACTTGAGCCTGGGAGGTTGTTGCAGTGAGAGCCATGATCGCGCTACTGGGCAATAGAGCAGAACCCAGTCTCAAAAAAAAAAAAAAAAAAAAAAAAAAAAAGAACAATCCTATGAAATGAGGGCTGTCATCCAGCAGAGAGGATCTAGATGCTCAGAGAGGCTAAGGGATTTGCCCAAAGTCCCACAGCCGGGCCCAGGTCTGAGTCTGCCTAGTGAGGAAGAAGGAGTGCATGTCCTTAGGGAACAGAACAGGAGGCAGAGAGGCCCGGAGAGGCGGGGGCCCTGGCCAGCTGGAGTGGTCGGTTGTGTACCAGCAGCGTCCAGAGCTCAGGCTGGGCGGGGGCACACCAGCTGACGCAGGCGGGGAAGCTCCTGGTGCCAGGCGCCTGGTGCCACGTGCCCAGCCTGTGAGATGCTTCCCAGCCTGGCTTCAGCGGCCCCAGACTGGGCTGTGGCCGATCAGTGAGCTCATGCCTGGCAGGGCTGGGCTGTGAGGCCAGAGGCCCCAGCCGCTCACCTGGGCCGGGCTTTCCCTCCCTGCAGGGCCCTTCCCTCCACAGAGCCCCCGGCCTCCCTGCCTGTGCTCCCTCAGCCTCTCTGAGTGCCTGGCCCTGCCTGATGGGGCCTCTGCCAGCCTTTCCTGGGCCACCCTCCTAGGAGGTGAGGGGCCTTCGCGGGGCGGTCCCCTCTGTCTAAACCCCCACCTTCTCTGACTTGGCTGGAGGGGAATTTTCCTGTGACTCACTCTGCTGGCACTTCCTGTGGTCACCAGGGCAGGGGCTGGGGGACCCGGAGGGGCAGCTCTGTGGTGTGTAGGGTCACTGGGGAAGGGTGGCCCGCCCCCGATGGGCTGTGATTCCCAGAGGCAGGCTGCAGACCATATTTGGGAAATGCTTGTCTTGCTGGCCGCCTGGGATGGGGGCCCTGAGCCCGGTGGGCTGCAGGACAGCCCCCGCCCTCCCGCTCCTCTGTGGGGCTCTGGCCCCTAGACCTGCCGCACTGCCTGTCCCGTCCTGCCTCAGAGCCTGGGACATAGTCCACCGTTTTCTTTTTTTTTCTTTTTGTGTAGTTTTTCAGCCCCAAAGCAAGAAACACTCATTCCTGAAAAACAGGAAGAGAAACTATCTCCATTGTCTCAGACATCTCTGGTGTCTTCCTGACCCTCTCTTGTCTTTACGTTTCACAGGACATTTTCTTGAGATGTGCTTTTCACTTGAGTGCCTTTTTCATTTTGTTGTAATCATGGTGTGGACAGTGTTGCAGCCATCCAGGGCCTCTGCCCTTGTGCTCACCTTGGCTCCAATATGACTCCACCTGGGCCTGCCCTCTCCTAGCTGCCCCCTGGCCCCTCCCTTGGGCCTTGCTCCTCCTGGCTCTCCACACTCCAGCCTCTGGCCCTTTTAGGGACTGGAGGCTCCTAGCTGCTCTGGAGAAATGGGCTCCCTGCTGATGATGTCCACCCAGGGCAAGTGAACCATGGGGTCTGAATGTCTGATCCTGGGACCTGGGGCAACTACTGCCTACCCAGGCCGCTGCCTGGTATGCCATCGCCCTCTGATGCCGGCCAGGGAGATGGCGCTCAGAGGGGCACTGTCCAGCCCCTGCTCATATAGGGGAGGAGGGTGGGCCCTAGGGACTTGAAAGAGGCCTCACCCCCACTCCTCTGCCCCAAGGCACAGGCTCCTGCTTCCTGTTTCTGCCCAAGGGGGCGTGGCCCTTTCTTCCTTGTTTCACTCCTTGCAGATGGAGTCCAGAAAGTGGGACTTGGGCCCAAGTGGGGATGGTCACACAGCTACTGGCTGGCCAGAACCCAGGTCCCATTTCCGAGTCAGAGTCTCGACCAGGCTGCACATCTAAGACGCCAGGAGACTCTGAGGAGGGACCTTGCAGGGCAGCCCAGAGCTGAGGCCAGGCTGGTGGGGTGGCTGGAGCCCAGTGCCGGTCACTGTCCAGCCAGCCTGGCACTGTTCTCACACCCGGCTTCCCTGTGTGTGAAGTCTGGGGCCCCTGTGGAACCCATGCAGCCCTCTGCTGCCCTAGGAGGGGCCGCAGCCCTGGCCTTGTCTCACCCCGTGCCTCCCTCACACCTGCCTTTTGCTGCAACCGCCCACACCCTCCAGCCAGGGATCCTCTGTCTCTCTGGGCCCATCCTGCGCCTGGCACCTCGATGGGGCAGCAGCGGCAGGGGCGAGGATGCATGAGTGTGTGGTGGGAAACTGCGAGGCCTCCCTGCCTGGGCTCTAGTGTCCCAGCGAGGCTCCGCCCCTGCCCTCGCCACGGCACTCATGCCTCTGATCCCACAGCCTCCTCCAAGTCCCTCTCGGACTGCTTGGCTCCTGGGCCACATGGAGCACGTACCCGGCTCTGCAAGGGTTTGCTGAGGGCGACGGGGCCAGGACAGGGAGGGTGTGCCTCCTGTTTCTTTCCCAGCCTTGGGGAAGGTGTTTGAAGTTTCTAAATTAATTACTGACTTTTTGGATTTGGGGTAGATAGACTTTGTTAAGGAAGCTCTGTCTTATTGTTGTTCATTTTTTTATCCTAAGAAGCTGTTCTTTTTGTCAGATTATTTTCGTGCACCTCGAGAGAGAACCATTTGCTATTTGTTTTAACTTGGCAGCTTTGTCGTGATTACTGCCGCTCTCCTTGTGTTGGTCCAGGTAGCAGAGTGGCCTTGGGTGGGGCTTTTAGGGATATCTTGAGGGTCATCCCTGGAGTTTTGGTGGTGACAGTGGTCAAGAGGATTTTGAGGTGCTATACAGGTGCAGTTGAAAGAAAGGCCAGGATCAGCTGGGCCTTTCTGCTGGGGAACAGGTGGGGACAGTGGAGGCAAAGGCACAATGATCTCGCCAAACTCCACTGAGTTCTTTTCCTAGTATCAAAGCTGGGCACCTCCCCAGAGCAGGGCAGGAGCTGGGGAGCCCCTGACGCCCCATGCACATCCTTCTGTTCTCACACCTGTGTCCTCTCTCCCCAGAACGTGCTGGCCAAAGCGCTCTATGACAATGTGGCCGAGTCCCCGGATGAGCTCTCCTTCCGCAAGGGTGACATCATGACGGTGCTGGAGCAGGACACGCAGGGCCTGGACGGCTGGTGGCTCTGCTCGCTGCATGGGCGCCAGGGCATCGTGCCTGGGAACCGCCTCAAGATCTTGGTGGGCATGTATGATAAGAAGCCAGCAGGGCCTGGCCCCGGCCCTCCCGCCACCCCGGCCCAGCCTCAGCCTGGCCTCCATGCCCCAGCGCCTCCGGCCTCCCAGTACACGCCCATGCTCCCCAACACCTACCAGCCCCAGCCAGACAGCGTCTACCTGGTGCCCACTCCCAGCAAGGCTCAGCAAGGCCTCTACCAAGTCCCGGGTCCCAGCCCTCAGTTCCAGTCTCCCCCAGCCAAGCAGACATCCACCTTCTCGAAGCAGACACCCCATCACCCGTTTCCCAGCCCGGCCACAGACCTGTACCAGGTGCCCCCAGGGCCTGGAGGCCCTGCCCAGGATATTTACCAGGTGCCACCTTCTGCCGGGATGGGGCATGACATCTACCAGGTCCCCCCGTCCATGGACACACGCAGCTGGGAGGGCACGAAGCCCCCGGCAAAGGTAAGGCTGTCCTGGCACAGTTGTGCAGCCACACAGGTATAGCCCAGGCCCTGGTTTGTGGGCACAGAAGGGTCCAGCCACCCTCAATCACCGGCATTCCAGGAGTGGCTGTGTGTTTGGTCTGGGGTCAAAGTGGGAAGTGAGTGTTTGGGGGGTGTTCATTTGTCCGGGGAAGATGGATGTGAATGGACCCAGAGGGGAGATGCTCCGCTGGCCTCAGCCAAGCCGACCCGAGTGGTGGTGTCACCAACCACAGGGAGCAGCCTGTTGAGGCGTTCCAGTGGGCAGGCGGGGCTTGGCACATGGGGTCGGCAGTTGCTGGGCCCCCGCAAGGGAGAGGCCAGCCACTTCATGCTCAGGCTCCCCTGTGCCATCTGGGTTTACGTGTCAGCCTCTAGATGGGGTTCCGGCACATCTTCTGGCCGCCCCTGCCTCCACAGGCCAACCCCTCTCCACTTATGGAACATGCTAGGGGCCAGCGGGTGCGTATGGTGATCTGGATGTGACTCCTGGGAGGACGCTGCCCCTGAGATTGCTAGAGGAGGACTGCCCTGAGAGCCTCCTGGGCTCTTGCTGATGGGATGCTGGGCCTGGGGACAAGACCTCTGGCCTCCAGACCCTGAGCCCGCTTCCCAAGTCCACAGGGCCCCTGCCTCCCAAGCTCACCTGCCTGTAGGAAGGAGTCAGCACTAGACACTCAGCCCAGGGCTGAGGTGGAGACCTCATTGGTGCCAGCTGGGCAGCGAGTCAGCTGGGAGTTACCCCCACCCCCGCCCATGGGTGGCCTGGTACCCAGGAGGCATGGCCGGAGGTCGTTGGCGGGTGGGGGACTCCATGGACATGGGCCACCAAGCCTGGCCACCAGGGGAACCTGGGTCACTGGCTCCCACTTCCTGCTCTACCTGCTCCTTCAGCCATCTGGTCAGAGGCGAGCCTGGCTGGCGTGGGGTGCCTGGGTGGGGGTGCTCCCAAACTGGCTTTAGCAAGAGGAGCAGGGTCCTGTTATCCCCTGGGGAGGCGGCAGGGAGCAGTGTCCTGTAGGGGAGCCTCAGGCCACAGTCCAGGTATACCCACACCCCACACAGATGAACACACGTGCATGATGCCTGTACCCCACAGATACGAACACCCATGCACACACCATATGCACGAACACACACATGCGCTACATGAATGTGCGTGAATACATGCACATATCTGCATCCCATACCCCATAAATGGACACACGTATACGCCCACACATGCGCACATCATATGCATGAACACGCACACACCCAAACCCCATATGTGTAAACACACGTGCATACTCACCCCACACACAGACACGTGTACGTCCACACATACAAAGCGTGTGCACCCACCAGTATCCCACAAACGTACAAATGTATGTGCGTATGCACACGCACACACAGTCCACACTGCACATGCCCCAAGGTCAGGCACATCCCCACCCCTCCTCTCCCGCCTTTGCAGTGAAGCTTGTCCTGGTGCGGCTGGAAGCCCTGTGGGCTGGGGAGCAGCAGCGAGACCCCCAGACAGAGCCCGGCCTCGAGGCTGTGTTTTGGCAGCTGTTCTGTCTCCGTCTCCGGCAGGGGGCCTGCTCTCAATTGCATCAGGGGCTCAGCCAGCTGGGTCCTTCTCTGCCCATGCCCACTGGTAGAGCTGCCCAGACCTGTGCCCCAAGGGCCCTGACCTGGCTGATGGCCCAGGAAGGAGAGCCCTGTGTCCTGGGCCTGGCTGCTCTCCCCCAGGAAACCTCCCCCAGTCTTGATTGTGTCTGCTTGTATTTTATGATCACAAAAGCAATGCTTGTTTGCTGTAGAAAATGCATAATGTATGGGAAAGTCTGGAGATGAAATTTTCCAATCGCGGTAATCACTGGGAAATTCTGGCATATTTTGTCTAGTATCTGCCCTGTGTTTCACAGATTTATACATGCAGTTTTGCATTTCAAAGTTGTAAATCCAACATTAGATATCAAAAGCATTTTGTTGAATTCTTAAAGCTTGTCCCTGAGCCGCCTTGGACTTTGCTGGGTTGCCCCCTCTGCTGGGGCGGGCCCTGGGCAGTTTCCGATTGCTCATGCCTTCATTACGGTGGCACGGCGGTAACACCTGGCTGCGGGACATCTGTGTCTGAACCTCCAGGTGCTCCCCTCCAAGCCTCAGGCCTGCCCCTCAAATGCCTGGGAAACTGAGTCTCCCAGTTCCAGGGTAGTGGTTGGCTGGGCTGAGAAGGAGCCCTTGCCAGGACTTCACGTGGGCGGGAGGGACACTGGCTCTCAGGAAGCCAAGAGGGTGAGTGACAAGGATGGTGGCCAGGAGGGTCAGAACCCTGGGCCCTGGAGCAGGGTCCAGTGGTTGCTAAGGTGGGAGCCTGGTGGCCCGTATGGCTGAGGGAGAGGTGAGGGCCACACTGGCACCGAGACTCTTTGGGCCGGGTGTGGGCTGTAGGAATCTGAGGGCAGAGGCTCTTTCATGGTCAGATGGGACCCCCGGGGGAAGGCGTCTGTGGGAGGTCGCTCAGGTAGTGCCCCTGGTCAGTGTCTAAGGAGACAGCCATGGCGTGAGGTCAGGCGTGCACGTGGTCCTGTCGGGCCTGTGTTTCACCCTCCTCGCCCTAGAAGCTTCATCTTGCCCCAGGCTCCCCTGTGCTGGGACCTCAGGCTGGGGTGCCTGGAGCTGGGGAGGGAGGGGAGCGGGCTATGGTGGTGGCCCCTCAGGCCACCATGACCCAGGTCGGGTGAGCCCCTCATGCTGGGGTGTGTCCTGGTGGCCGTGGTCGCAGCGCTCCTGTGGTGCTCCATTTCCCAAGGAGGAAACGAGGCTCCTGGATTGGGACCTGGGGGTGCCAGAGCCGGGAGCCAACCCAGGTCAGGGGCGACACCCATTTTGCAGAAGGGGGAGACCAGCCACTGAGCTCCAGGGCGGGGGCCCACTTTGTCCCCTTCCTCCGACCTGACACCTGCCTCTGGGGCCCTTACCGGGAGGCTGGGATGTATTCCTGAGTTCGCTTGTCCCCCCGCTTGATGCCTGATAGTAGGGGAGGAGAGGGGCGGCACCCTGGCCCTGGGGCTGCCTGGGTTCTGTGCGTGCACCTGGCAGTGGGCCTGTGCTGTGTTTTCTCTGCATTGTATGAGGCATGTGTGTCAGAGACCGTGTGGGTCTTATGTCAGTGACTGTGCCTCTGTTCTCTCCTCCTGGGCTCTGGCTGTGTTCCCCTAACCCCCGGGGGACCTCCACGGCCTGCTAGTGGGGTCTCAGGTGTGCAGCAGGGTGGCCTGTGATTAGCAGTGGGGCTGAGTCATTCCCCTAAAGAGCTTTTCCCCCTGGTGGCTGCGTTGCTCTGTTTTTCTAACAGAAACATTTGGTCACTGTGGCTGCCTACTGCCACCCGACTCAGCTCCAAGAGTGGCAGGCGGCCATTTGCCTGGGGAGGCAGGCCTGGGTCCAGCTGCACCCCTGGGCCTCACCGCGTGAGGTTGGGATGGCCACCGGCAGGGTGCTTTTGGAGGATGCTCATCCCTCCTGCTGGTGCTGGGTCCTGGCTGAGCCTTGAGGCTGGGTCCCCACCTGCCTTTGGGAGGCTGGGAGGCCTGGAGAAGCCTCAGGCCGTGCCTCGAGGCCCAGCCAACCTGCCACGTCCCTCCGCCCCGCCTGCCCCGCTGTTGGCAGGTCCCTGCATCTAAAAATAGTTCTGGAGGAGACTCAAGTCTGGGGCGCGTGGAGGGAGATGAGTCTGGAGAGGCAGCCGCCAAATCCACTCCCAGACGCACTGGAAGGGGGCGGGGACACCCCACGGAGGCCCCCAGCCGGGACTCTGCTACCAGGCGTGCTGGAGACCTAGTGGGCCCAGTTCTGCTGCGCTGCGGGGGGCTCTGCCAGGCCTGCGGCTGCTGGGGGGTGCTGGCGCCTCTGCCACCCCCATGCTCAGCGCCCCCCTCACAGCACCCTCAGCAAGCAGGGCTGGCTGCCTGCCTGCATTGGGAGGGCCTCTAGGGGTTCAGGGGCACTGGGCCCGGGGGAGGGGCTGCTTTGGCGCTGCTGCCCTGGGGGATGTGCGGGGAGGCCCTGAGTCAACCCTGTCCCAGACATCCCCTTTGATGAAGGAACAAAAGGTCTTTCAGTGGAGAGAGCTGAACAGGGAGCCTGGTGGTGGAGGCGTGTGGGCGCAGTGTGCCCGGGGGCTGGAGAATCCCACCAGGGAGGCCTTGACCTCCCCAAGGCAGGGAGACCTTCAGGGAAGGAGGCTGCCTGGCATGGCCCCTACCCGCTTCAGGCTGGTGCTGGTGAGGGGTCCTGTGGCCCTGGGCAGGCCATTGTGCTGCCTGCCTCTTCACCCACTGTGCGGGCCTTGGCTTCCCTGGGCTCTGGGTCATGGTAAGAGCACCTGGGGAGGGGAGGGCTGGCCCTGGACCCACTTCCCCCACTAGGCCTCATCCTTTCAGGTCGCTGGGGATCTTACCTGCTGCAGGCAGCTCCCCCGGGGCAGGCGCGGCAGGGAGGGGGCCTTGGTCCCAGCTGCTGCGCCCCCCAGCACACACCCAACCTGCCCCTCTGGCCCTGTCCTCCAGAGTCTCCCCATGCTGTGCTGTGGGGCAGGGGGTGCTAGGCTCTATCTGGTCCTGGGCCGGATGCAGTCCCCTGCTGGGCCAACCCTTCTGAGGAGGCTACAGCTAGGTGGTGTGGGCAGCAGACTCCCAGGCCTCCGACGTGGCCTCTTGTCCTGTGGGGCTAGGCGCCCCAGTAACGGGGGGTTCCTTGCCTGTGGGTAGTGCCCTCCAGAGCCAGGGCCTCAGCCCCTCACCCCACCGGTGTCATCAGCTCATACCCATGCTCCTCTGTGGAGCCTTCTGGGTCAGCAGGCTGTAGAGACGTTGGTGTCCTGGCCCAGGACGAGGCAGCTCTGAATAAAACCCAGAGTTCTTGCCGTACCTGGCACTGCGTTCTGCTAGAGGAAGGTCAGATGGTGCAGAGGGGGTGAGAACTGGCATCCTTGGGGAGCCCCGTCCCTTCCACCTGGTGTGCCCTGCCCACCTCCTAAAAGGACGTGGCTCCCAGGTGTGAGTGGAGCCTCCCTAAGGGCTGGTTTGAGGGCAGCAGTGAAGTCGGCTCTCTGCCCCCAGGTGGTGGTGCCCACCCGCGTGGGGCAGGGCTATGTATACGAGGCCGCCCAGCCGGAGCAGGACGAGTACGACATCCCGCGACACCTGCTGGCCCCGGGGCCACAGGACATCTATGATGTGCCCCCGGTTCGGGGGCTGCTTCCCAGCCAGTATGGCCAGGAGGTAGGTGTGGGGTGCGCAGCGGTGGGAGGGCAGGGCGGCAAGTCTGTGCCTCTGCTTGGCCCTGGGCCGAGAGCTGCATCTTCTCAGCCCCGGCCAGGCCTGGGGACGGTGCTGCGGGGTTCCCACCTTTCCTATTCCCCCAAGTGGCCCTGGCGCCGTTAACCCTGCACTGTTTCTGCCCCAGGTGTATGACACACCCCCCATGGCTGTCAAGGGTCCCAATGGCCGAGACCCGTTGCTGGAGGTGTATGACGTGCCCCCCAGTGTGGAGAAGGGCCTGCCACCGTCCAACCACCACGCAGTGAGCAAATGCCAGGGCAATGCCAGGGCCAGGCTGAGGCTGTGGGGTGTCTGGGTGTGTGCACAGGGGTGCTGACCAGTGTCTGCAGGGCTGGGGGTGGCGGGCAGGAAGAGACTGGCTCCAGACCCTGGTTCTGGATGGTTGACAGATGAGGAAATCAAGCTGTCTTCTGAGCCTCAGGTTCTTTGTCGGCAGAACCGCCTGTTGCGAGGCCTTCTCCATGAGCTCCTGAGAGGGTATCCGCAAGGTGACCACGGGATGTGTCATCTCACCTGGGATACTTCCAAGAGTGAAGGGGGGACTAGTAATTATGTGGGGGCATCAGGGACAAACCAGCACTGTCCTGGGCAAACCAGAATTTGGTCCCCTGATAATACACACAGAGCTCAGTCGCACACCTGCTGCAGAGTAGAAAGTTCACACGTGGTGGTGGTGCTGGGTGGTAACAGTGATGGTGGTGATGAGGTGGCAGCGGCGGTGATGGTGATGAAATCATGATATGATGGTGGTGGCAGTGGCAGTATCACAGCTAACCTTTCAGTGAGTGTCTGCAGTGACACAATTATGTGAATTAACACATGCAATTCTTTGGGAGGAAGCTCTCCCACCTTCAGGCACAGGGGTGGTCACCTGGCTCCAGAGCCGGCTCGTCCCAGAGCTGTCATGGATAGGAATTGTGAAGGATGTGTGTGCTAGGGCTGCGAGTGTGTGTGCGCGTGTGTGTGCCTGTGTGCGTGCCTCTGCATTTGTATGTGTGCCTGTGTGTGTGCGCGTGCCTCTGTGTGTGTGTCTGTATGTGTGTACGTGTGTGTGTGTGTGTGGCTGGGTGCTGCCCCCAGTCCCTGGGGTGGGCAGATGGACAGATGGACAGTCTTGACCACCGCTTGTCCCCCAGGTCTACGACGTTCCTCCATCGGTGAGCAAGGATGTGCCCGATGGCCCACTGCTGCGTGAGGAGACCTACGATGTGCCCCCCGCCTTCGCCAAGGCCAAGCCCTTTGACCCGGCCCGCACCCCACTGGTACTGGCTGCGCCCCCTCCAGACTCCCCGCCGGCCGAGGACGTGTATGACGTGCCGCCCCCGGCTCCTGACCTCTACGACGTGCCCCCTGGCTTGCGGCGGCCTGGCCCGGGCACCCTGTACGATGTGCCCCGTGAACGGGTGCTTCCTCCTGAGGTGGCTGATGGTGGCGTGGTCGACAGTGGTGTGTATGCGGTGCCTCCCCCAGCTGAACGTGAAGCCCCGGCAGAGGGCAAGCGCCTGTCGGCCTCCAGCACCGGCAGCACACGCAGCAGCCAGTCTGCGTCCTCCTTGGAGGTGGCAGGGCCGGGCCGGGAACCCCTGGAGCTGGAAGTTGCTGTGGAGGCCCTGGCACGGCTGCAGCAGGGTGTGAGCGCCACCGTTGCCCACCTTCTGGACCTGGCAGGCAGCGCCGGTGCGACTGGGAGCTGGCGTAGCCCCTCTGAGCCACAGGAGCCGCTGGTGCAGGACCTGCAGGCTGCTGTGGCCGCTGTCCAGAGTGCCGTCCACGAGCTGTTGGAGTTTGCCCGCAGCGCGGTGGGCAATGCTGCCCACACATCTGACCGTGCCCTGCATGCCAAGCTTAGCCGGCAGCTGCAGAAGATGGAGGACGTGCACCAGACGCTGGTGGCACATGGTCAGGCCCTCGACGCTGGCCGGGGAGGCTCTGGAGCCACCCTTGAGGACCTGGACCGGCTGGTGGCCTGCTCGCGGGCTGTGCCCGAGGACGCCAAGCAGCTGGCCTCCTTCCTGCACGGCAATGCCTCACTGCTCTTCAGACGGACCAAGGCCACTGCCCCGGGGCCTGAGGGGGGTGGCACCCTGCACCCCAACCCCACTGACAAGACCAGCAGCATCCAGTCACGACCCCTGCCCTCACCCCCTAAGTTCACCTCCCAGGACTCGCCAGATGGGCAGTACGAGAACAGCGAGGGGGGCTGGATGGAGGACTATGACTACGTCCACCTACAGGTGGGTGCCGCCTGCCCAGCCCCGGCTCCTCTTCTGCCACGCTGGGCTCCTGTGCTTAGGGGGAGATTTGTTCTCAGCTGGGGCCTGGTCCCTGGCAAGGCCCTGCACCCTCCTCTCACTTTGACCTCCCTCACCCCACATTGGCCCCATGTGCTAGGGTGGCCATGTCATCGAGCCCTTCGTTGAGTCCCTCGGGCTGGTATCTCTGGTGACCAGCAGCGGTGACTCTGCTGTTCTGTGTGGGGAGACAGATCTGCAGAAATGTGCACACACACAAGGATGCTCTGAGCGTGGGGGAGCAGCAGGAGGTGGTGGGAGGTGGCTGGGACTGCTCCTCCCAGGCTGGCCCCTGGAGCAGAGGCCTGGGTGCTAGCCGGGTGGGAGTCCTGGTAAGGAACATTCCAGGCTGAGCTGGGCCAGAGAGGCATCCAGGGGCAGGGACCAGGTGGCCAGGCCTTTAGGCCAAGGGGGAGGGATTGGGTGTGATTCCTGGTGTTGGAGCCTGGGAAGGCAGGGTGGAGCTTGCGGACTTTCTGCGGGTACCCCACCCTCTGCCCAGTCTCTTCCTGAGCTGGCAGGCGGTGAAAGGGGCTGCCAGGGTTGCTTCCTAGGAAGCCACCTTCTCTGTGTGTCCCCGCATGTGCCAGCCTGGGGGGGCTGTGTCCCACATATGCCAGCCTGGGGGAGTGTGTGTGTGTGTGTGTGTGTGTGTGTGTGTGTGTGTCTGTCTGCCTGCCCCTGCACGTGCCAGTCTGTGTGTGTGTTCACGTGTGCTTGTGTGTGTGTGTGTGTCCACGTGTGCTAGTGTGTGTGTGCGTCCACGTGTGCGTGTGTGTGCGCGCACACGCAGCACCACCTGGTGGCCACTCAGCTCACTGCGCCCGCCACAGGGCTGGCCTGTGCTTCTGGCTCAGAAAACTGGCCTCAGCGCAGCCCCTGTCTCTGCCCTCCAGGGGAAGGAGGAGTTTGAGAAGACCCAGAAGGAGCTGCTGGAAAAGGGCAGCATCACGCGGCAGGGCAAGAGCCAGCTGGAGTTGCAGCAGGTGAGGCCCCGGAGCAGAGCAAGGCCCAGCTTTGCCCGCTGACCCCCTGAGCCCCCAGCTCTTGCCCTGCAGGGCCGACCCCGGGTCCCCAGCTTCTCATGTTGTCTGACAGTGCTCAGAGCTGGGCCCGGCCTGCCACCCCCCTGCCTCCTGACCATCTTCATCTTTTCACTTGGTTTATTTTAAAGTTTTCAAGAGTAATTGTTGGAGACATTTAGGGAATTAGAGAGTGGGGTGAGAGCAGAAAATAGACCCCTCACAGCTGCCATAGGCTCAGCACGGGGCTGGCTCTGCCCTGCTCCTTCCTCCAAGCTGCTCCCTGCATGGCCGGGATGGTGTCCTGTGGGCATTCGACTCTTCTGTCCCAGCATCTGCCATGGCGTTAAGCATTCTTGTGGATTCTTTCAAAGACCACTTAGCGTCTATTGAATGTTTGTATTGTACCCACACTTCCTTAGTATTTTTTTTTTTTTGACACAGAATCTTGTTCTGTCACACAGGCTAGAGTACAGTGATGCGATCTCAACTCACTGCAGCCTCAACCTTCTGGGCTCAAGCGATTCTCCTGCCTCAGCCTCCCCAGTAGTTGGGATTACAGGCGCCTGCCACCACACCTGGCTGATTTTTATATTTTTTATAGAGACAAAGGTTTCACCACATTGCCCAGGCTGGTCTCAAACACCTGGGCTCAAACGATCCACCTGCCTTGGCCTCCCAAAGTGCTGGGATTATAGTGTGAGCCACCACATCTGGCCCCTTATTATAAATATACTGCTGTGTTTATATGCAGACATGTTAATAGAATTTTCCTCATATTTTGAATCAGTTCTTCAGGGTAGGAAAGAGGTATGTAAAAAAACACTAAGGGAGCTTTATTCTGATTATGAAGATAATTTTAAAAGTGAAAATACAGGATAGCACGAAGTGAACATAAAAATATCACCCGTCAAATCTCCCTCGCCTACCTTCTGGGCACCAAGGAGGTGGCAGAGGCAGGGGCCTGAGACCCACGACACACAGCAGTGAGGCTGCAGCCGCCTCATGAGAGCTCGGTGAGAATCACTGAAAAGTGGAAGATGCCTGGGAAGTACCTGGCACATGGAGACACTCAGGAGAGGCTAGACATTGACATCTCAGAACGGTGGCAGGGTGGCAGGGGGTGGGGGCTGAGAAATTACCTAATGGGTACATTGTACCCACATAACAAAACTGCACCTGCACCCCTGTTAAATCTACTAAAGAAAACACCCAAGAAAAGAATAAATGTCACACCTGTAATCCTAACACTTTAGGAGGCTGAGGCAGGAGGATCACTTGAGGCCAAGGGTTTGAGACCAGCCAGGCCACGTAGTGAGACCCAAGTCTGTATACATTAATACAAATTGTGGCCAGGCACAGTGGCTCACACTTGTAATCCCAGCACATTGGGAGGCCAAGGCGGGCAGATCACTTGAGGTCACGAGTTTGAGACCAGCCTGGTCAACATGGCAAAACCCCATCTCTACTAAAAATACAAAAATTGGCCAGCATAGTGGCACACGCCTGTAGTCCCAGCTACTTGGGAAGCTGAGGCAGGAGAATCATTTGAACCCAGGAGGCGGAGCTTGCAGTGAGCCGAGATTGCGCCACTGCACTCCAGCCTGGGCGACAGGGTGAGATTCCGTCTCAAAAAAAATAAAATAAAATTGTTTTAAAAACCTCCTGGGTGCCGAGGCGGGCGGATCACCTGAGGTCGGGAGTTCGAGACCAGCCTGACCAACATGGAGAAACCCCATCTCTACTAAAAATACAAAACAATTAGCTGGGCATGGTGGCACATGCCTGTAATCCCAGCTACTTGGGAGGCTGAGGCAGGAGAATCGCTTGAACCCAGGAGGCGGAGGTTGCGGTGAGCCGAGATCGCACCACTGCACTCTAGCCTGGGCAACAAGAGCGAAACTCCGTCTCAAAAACAAAAAACCTCCTGAAATATCAACAATATATAGGTCTATATCTCTGTCTAGAGAGAGAACTCTGGGATCGCCGTGTTTTCAGAAGTGGTCGTGTACTTTGTCCGTCCTCTGTGTGCCTCCAGCACTGACTTCACCAGTCCCCTGCTGTTGGACACTTAGGCTGTTCCCAGAGTTTTACTTTTGTGAACAGTGCTGTGATGAATACTAGTCTTTGCACGTATCTGATGAATCACTTAGATAACTTGCTAGAAGCTGGATTAAAGGGCAAGAATATATGTGAAGAACTTTAAAGATGTAGAATTCCAAGGCCAAGGACATAAAGTCCATGTTAAATGCAAGTCCATGAAGACTTACTGATGAGAACATCTGTTGCCCCATTTTTGTATCGGTGAAGAATCTGAAATCTCCACCCACAAAGTGTCTAATAGGAGAGTATTGATTCAATAAAGTATGGACATTTATGCAGTGGGATATTATATAACTATGAAGAGTTGTCAAAGAATAAAAAGGGCTGGGTGCAGTGGCTCACGCTTGTAATCCCATCACTTTGGGAGACAGAGGCGGGAGGATCATCTGAGGTCAGGAGTTTGAGACCAGCTTGGCCAACATGGTGAAACCCCATCTTTACCAAAAATACAAAAATTAGCCAGGGGTGGTGGCGCAGGCCTGTAATCCCAGCTGAAGCAGGAGAATCGCTTGAACCCAGGAGGCAGAGGTTGCAGCGAGCCGAGATCGTGCCACTTCACTTCAGCCTGGGCGATAGAGCAAGACTCCATTTAAAAAAAAAAAAAAAAAGATTAGCCTGGGTGACAGATCAAGACTCCTTCTTTATAAAAATAAAAATAGTATTGAAAAAAAAAAAACCCCACAAAGCTTGTTGCCTGTGCTCTGTCAGGGCTCACTGCAGCCTGGACTTCCCAGACTCAAGTGATTCACCTGCCTCAGCCTCCCAAAGTGCTGGGATCACAGGCATGAGCCACCTCACCCTGCCTCATCAGAGCTTTTCAAAGAAAAAAAGCGGAGTATGTATCTCACTGGCTAAGGGAACGGAGAGATGGAGGATTTCACCAAGTGGCTGCCTAAGGGGGACAGTGCGAGGTTCTAAGTGTTAGGAAGGGGAGGTTTCCTATTGGTTTTGCTCATTGTGGCTTGGATCTTTGCGCCTAGGGTGGCACAGAGCTTACCAGTCCTGAGTCTGGGTGTGGCTGGTCACTTCCGGAGCCAGAGCGGCTCTAGTGAGGACACATTGTCCCCTTCAGC
This sequence comes from Homo sapiens, assembly GCF_000001405.40. Lineage (NCBI taxonomy): Eukaryota > Metazoa > Chordata > Mammalia > Primates > Hominidae > Homo > Homo sapiens. Next base: position 75,230,633 of record NC_000016.10, on the reverse strand, counting down.
TGACTCCTAGGCACGGGAGTGGAAATGTTAACTTTCGTGTGTGGTTCTGGAAGATGATTTAGCAGAGGTTCTATTTAGGGGCATTGGATTACAGGTGACATCTTCGTTTTTTCTGTTTGATATATTTGAATCTTTTTATAATGTGTATGTTACTTTTGAACTAAGGGGAAAATTTTTTTAACCTTCCATTTTGAAATATTTATAGATTCACAGGAAGTTGCAAAGATAGGGTCGAGGGGTCCCCAGTGCCCTTCAGCCATTTTCCCCAGTGCCACGTCTCAAGTCACGTGGGACAGTACCCAAGCCAGGACGGTGACCCCCCGACCCCAGGCAGCCACTTTTCTGTTGTCCATCTTGTCATTTCAAAAATGTTCAGGGCACGGAGTCTGACCTTTTGAGACTGGTGGAAGGGTAACTGAACAACCTCCAGAAGGCTTGCCATGGTTCCTGGTCCCGTCCCCGGGAGAGGAGACTGCCCGTTTCCCTGCAGTCCCATGCACTCTGAGTAGCGGCCCTTTTAGAGAAGCCCAGCCCAGGGTGCCCAGGTCTCGGCCTGTAGTTCCAACTCACCCGAGAGCCTAACCCTGCTCCTGCTTCCCTCCTGCCCCAGCTGAAGCAGTTTGAACGACTGGAACAGGAGGTGTCACGGCCCATAGACCACGACCTGGCCAACTGGACGCCAGCCCAACCCCTGGCCCCGGGGCGAACAGGCGGCCTGGGGCCCTCGGACCGGCAGCTGCTGCTCTTCTACCTGGAGCAGTGTGAGGCCAACCTGACCACACTGACCAACGCCGTGGACGCCTTCTTTACCGCCGTGGCCACCAACCAGCCGCCCAAGATCTTTGTGGCGCACAGCAAGTTCGTCATCCTCAGCGCCCACAAGCTGGTGTTCATCGGGGACACACTGTCACGGCAGGCCAAGGCTGCTGACGTGCGCAGCCAGGTGACCCACTACAGCAACCTGCTGTGCGACCTCCTGCGCGGCATCGTGGCCACCACCAAGGCCGCTGCCTTGCAGTACCCATCGCCTTCCGCGGCCCAGGACATGGTGGAGAGGGTCAAGGAGCTGGGCCACAGCACCCAGCAGTTCCGCCGCGTCCTAGGCCAGCTGGCAGCCGCCTGAGGGTGGTGACCCCAGGAGGGAGGCAGGGGAGGGGTGCGGCGGTCCCAGCTCCCTGGCTCCCATGTCAAGAGTCGCTGTGCCACAGGCTTAGGGACAGGACCCCAGCTCTGCGTCGGTCCTGGTGCCCTGGATGCCCAGGAATCTGTATATATTTATGGCCGGGCAGGGTGTGGGGCCATGCCTCCTCAGGAGCCGAAGCCCAGGGGCCGGCCAGTGGCCTTCCCCAGCATGCACCACGGGCCCGGGTTGGGTCACCAGACGGGGCTGGAGTGTGAGGGTCCTGCAGCCTGCAGGACCTCGTGCCACCCCGAGGGCTGAGCCTGGTCCCACGAGGGTGCCGTGTCCCCTGACAGGGCCAGTGCAGTTTGGTGTGTCCTCCGCCTTACCAGGAGAAGAACCTGAAGAACTATTTTTCGTTATTGGTTTTCCAATCATTTGACTAAGAGTCTCCATTTAAATAAAGTTTTTAAAAGGAAGAGCAGCTGCCTGAGGGTGGCAGATGAGAGCAGCCCGGGGTGGGTGACGGTTCTGGGGAAGGCACCCGGGGGCAAGGGCCATGCGTGGCATCTCCCGGGAGGGCAGAGGAGGAGTGGGTCTCTCTAGAAGAAAACCAAGGAACGCCGAGGCTGGGTGTCTCCTGGAGGCGGGGTGAGGCCTGCAGCTGGCCACAAGGCCCTGGGAGCCAGGGCAGAGCCTGGGCCCAAGAAAGGGGGCAGTTTCAGAGCTGCAGGGTCTGGGGCCCAGAAAGCACAGCCTGGGCATGGCCCCTGCAACCCTAGGGAGCTGCCACAGTGAGCACCTGCCCATGCCCACAGCTGGCATCTGGAGTGAGGGCAGATTGGGGCAGGAACAGCTGCACAAGGGGACGGGTTCCTGTGAGCCGAGGGCACCGCTGGGGGCTGCATCCAGAGCTCTGCTTAAAAGAATCTCATCCCAGCCTGCGGAACTCCCGAAGTGCACATGGAATTATACCTGGACCTGGCATCTGAGTTGGGAGGGAGGGGCTTGGAGAAGACCCTTGCCCTGGGCAAGTGTGTCCCCCTTCGTGGCTCCCCCACCCAGCAGCCCGCAGCCCAGATGGAAGCTTCAGGGTGCTTGGAACCCCTGGTGCTGCTCCCAGCCCTGACCGTTCTGCATATGAACATGGGCCTTGGTTTCCCCATCTGTATGAAGAAGGGAGTAGGGCTGGGTGATTCGCAAGCCCTCCTGATCTTACCTCTACAGAGGTTGTCCCCGTGACAGCATCTGTCCCCCCACCTCAGCCACATCATGCTCAGCCCACCTGCCTTGGTGAGGACACAGAGGTAAAGGTGTATGCAGTTGCTCTCAATGGCTTTATTTGTGTTTTACACAGATGCGGGGTAGGGGGGGTGGTCTCGGCCTCCACGCCTTCCCAGGCATGAATTTCATGATGCGGGCATCCACGCCTGGTGACAACAGGAGGTGCTGGTGCTGCTCCAGGACACGATGCCCTCCAGAGTCCAGGCTCCATCCTGGCAGGCAAGGGCTGTCGGAGTCACCCTGCAGGAAGGAGAGGAGGTGTCTCCAGGCCTGAACTGGGTGCCAGGGCCTGGGAGACCCTAACCTGGCGGAGTCCAGGGAGGGGTGCGGAGAAATGGCAAGTGTGGGTGCAGGGGCTGTGCCAGGGTCCTGAGGCCTGGGTTCACGTGGCAGCCCCAGCTCTGCCATGCACACTCCTGGAGGGAGCTGGGGCAAGTGGCTTTCATCCATGCCGGGGCGCCATTCATCCCATGAGCTGACGCTTCCAGCTCAGAGGGCTGGGAAGAGGAGGAAGTCCCCAGGCAGCCTCGCCTGCCTGGTTCAGGAAGCTGTGAGCCTGAGTCCTGGCCCTTGTAAGGCCTAGGGAAGGAGGGCAGAGAGGAGTGGGGAGCCCAGGCCTCCATGAGTGGACTGGATAGTGCTGGGGTACATTGAGAAAGGAACAGGAATGGGACTGGACAGGTGAGTCTATGGAGACGGATGGAGAATAGCCCGTGGCACGTGGTGATTTTTAATGATTATCTGTCCACGTTTTTCTACAATGAGCAAAACTTTACCATCGAAGACACCTGTCAGGGTCCTTTCAGGAGCTTTACTACTTGGGAAGGAAAAAGCTGGGAGAGGCAGGTGCCCATGGGCCCTGGCAGCCAAGGGTGCAGGGCAAGGCCCAGGCCAGCTGGGCAGGGGCCCTTGTGCCCACTCACCTCCTCTCCCAGAGGTGGGTGTGTCCCATCGTGGTGTCACGAGCCACCTCCTCTCCCTGGCTGTGTGGCCTTAGCGTTAGCCATCCTCAGCACCTGGATGGCCTCCGGGTGAGAGCCAAGGTCAGACGCCCTGGCCACCACACGATCCCGGCCACCACGCGGTGGCTCTTCCTGGAGAGTGAGGGTGGCAGGCGGTGCCTGGGCTCATGGGGGTGCCTGGGAAGTGAGCCAGTCAGGGTGAGCCCTGCTTGCCCCTCAATCTCATGGTGATCTCAGGGCATCCCTTTTTCAGGGTCTAAATTTCCCCACCTGCACAGTGAGGGTACGGGACCTCCCAGGTTTCCCCAAGCTGCCGTCTGGGTGGCCTGCGAGGGTGGAGGTGGGGTGCACGGCCTGGGGTGGGTGTCACCTGCAGAGGCGGCTCTGCCTGTGGCCGGGGGATGGGGGTGCTGGTTCCCCAGCCTGCAGTTCATTTCCGACCCTTTTCCTGTTGGTTGCAGGGTGTAGTTGGGGTTGGGAAGGGGGATGAGTGTCATTCCCTGACACCTGGTGGGCCCCAACTCCTCAAGCTCAAGCCTCACCTGACCCCTGGTGGGCAGCGGTGACCACCCAGTCCTCGCTGATGTGGTAGCCCCCGCAGAAGTGGAAGCCAGCTTTGTACTGGGAGGATAGGAGGACTGGCAACTCCCACAAGGGCAGAAGGGACCCGAGGGGCGAGGGCTGTGTAATCCTAGCACTTTGGGAGGCTGAGGCAGGAGGATCACTTGAGGCCAAACTTCAAGGCCAGTCGGGCCGCATAGTGAGACCCAAGTCTCTATTTATATATTAATAAAAATTGTTTTAAACTTCCCCCCAACTCTAGCCTGCCCACCACCCAGGGTCCCCCCCACCACATGGGCAGGACCTCTCTGATCTGCAGGGACACCTGCCAGGCCTCGGAGCTGGAGTTGGCATCCTCCCCAGAACAGCCGGCAGTTGATGGTGTCCTGAGGTGCCACTGCAGTGCCCTCAGCCCCCTCCCCTGACCGTTGTGTACCCAAGGGAGTGTCTGTCCCCTTCTGAGCCCAGGGTGCTGGGACATGGTGGCTGTATCTCCTTGGGTCCCTGTGCTCTTGAGGACTCTGAGTCAGTGGCTGGGGTGGATTGGGGTGTGGGGCCCGGGGGCACATAAACCCAGGAGGCCGCCCAAGTCCAGAGGGTGCAGGGGCTGGGGGTGAGGGGTGGGCAAAAGGCGTGGATGCAGGAGCCCCTCAGGAGGCAGAATCGTAGGGTGTGGAGGGTCTGAGGGTGCGGGGGCTAAGGAAGGGAGGAAACAGATGCCCCAAGCACGGCCGAGGGGGTGGGGGTAGCGGCCAGAGGGGCGGGGGCCAGCTGGCAGGGTGTGAGGAGGAAGGGGAGGACGATCTGGCCACGGAGGATGTGGTGCCTTGATGAAACATGGCACGGCGGGCTTTTTGCTTCTGGGCATTTGGGGCTGGGGATGGGCATGTTTGACCTGGGGCTCCCGGCCTGCCTGAGCCTCGAACTTTTAAGAGTCATTGCCATAGGGCTGGGCGCGGTGGCTCAGGCCTGTAATCGCAGCACTTTGGGAGGCCAAGGCGGGCGGATGACGAGGTCAGGAGATCGAGACCATCCTGGTTAACACGGTGAAACCCCGTCTCTACTAAAAAAATACAAAACAATTAGCCGGGCATGGTGGCGGGCGCCTGTAGTCCCAGCTACTTGGAAGGTGAGATCGCACCACTGCACCCCAGCCTGGGCGACAGAGTGAGACTCTGTCTCAAAAAAAAAAAAAAAAAAGTCACTGCCAGGGGGAAGCCAGTGATCCAGAGAAAGGCCATGGGATGTCAGAGGGTCCCCATACTGTCCCCTGAGCCCACCAATCACGGCCCACCTCGACACCACCCACCTCATCACCAGTCCTTGCGTTGATAACGCTCCTGGCTCCAGCGTATGTCTGGCAGCCCTAGGAGTGGCCGTGGGAAGATTCCTTGGAGCCACAGGTCTGTGGGGCCAGAGTGAGCTCATCCCCCCACAGCCCCCACGCTGCCCACGCCCTCCTGCAGGGCCCAGAGCAAGAGAGCAAGGGTGGGTGGCAAGAACCTGTCGCCTGGGGGCAGGTGCTGAGGATGGGGGCCAAGGTCCACCCGGTCCCCACCAGCCAGATCCCCCGTCTGTCTCTGCACCCCTTTTCATCTGCCCGTGTGTTCCTGGCCACTCTCTGGGAAGCAGGAGCCTGAGTGGTGGGAGAGGGGACTAAGGAAGGGTCCTCCCAGAGGCCGCCCATGCCTAGCCCAGCCCAGTCCAGCCCAGTGGGGGCCCAGGTTCCGGAGTGGAGTGAGGCCTTGGAGGCCCCAAAACAGAAGACGGACAGCGCCGACGTGTGTTCCATGGGTTTACTGAGGCTCTGTGGGGAGCAGGGTCGGAGGGAGCCGCGGGCTCAGTTGGCAGCCAGGATCTTCTGCACCCAAGGTATGAGCTTGGTGACACGGGCGTACACGCCAGGGCTGGAGGTGGAGCAGGTGTCGCTGCCCCAGGACACAATGCCCACCAGGGTCCAGGCTCCATCCTTTTGGCAGACCAGGGGGCCGCCAGAGTCGCCCTGTGGGAGAGGGAGAAGGGGGCTTGGATCTGGCAGCCGAGACAGACTGGTCCCAGGGGCCACTGGACATTGTTCCCAGAGTCCAGTCCAGGACCCCACACACAGCAAAGGCTCAGCATGTGCTGTTGCGTGGGTTATGAAAGACCCTAGTAGCTGCTTATGTGGTTCATGCCCCTGGAAGCCTGAGCCAGCCCTGGAATGGGACCCTTTAATGGCAGCTCAGTAAAGCTGGTTTGACCAATAGGAGGAAGAGCATGGTGGGGCTGGCCAAGGGGTCCGTGTGAGGGAGGGAGGGCTGCTGGAGCCCGCTGTCCTGCTGGGATCCACGGTCCAGATTGTGCACTGCACAACTCCAAGAGCCATTGGCTCTGACATTGGCCATGGAATTTTGCAACAAGGCGACTCTGACACCCAGGAAGGAGTGGGGTTAGTAGATGAGAGCAGAGAGGGGTGGAAAGCCCAGACCTCCCCTGCACCCCGCTCGCCTGGCCAGGGCCTGGGCAGGGCCAGCCTCACCATGCAGGAGGAGACGCCACTGGCCCCGGCACAGATCATCACGTCGGTGATCCTCCTGCCCCAGGACTTCTTGCATTCGGCATTGGACAGGAGGGGCAGGGCTGCCTGCTGCAGCTTGTCAGGGGTCTTGTTGGCTGCAGGACAGGAGGAGGGTCAGGGCCCCTGGGCTCACTCAGCCAAGAGTGGAGGGAGAGACCCGGGGCCGACACGCCTGCCCTACCCTGCACCATCACCACGATGTTGGGTACGGCCCCTGGAGCCTCAGAAGCGCCTGTGGGACAAGGGGGCCTCGGCCCTGCCCGGGTGGGAGCCCCACGCTGCGACTCCAGGCAGGTCAGCCAGGGCAGGGCTCACCCGGCCGGGCGCTGCTCAGAAGCTCCCTGTGCAGGCTCCTCATGATCCGACCTGGATTTTATTTGCATTTGGGGGATTTTAAATTCAGAAGATTTTCAATAACGAACGGGCAGTTAGGAGCGTGTTGGAATTTAGAGCCAAACGGTCACGGGGGGACTCCACGGCCAGGCAGCCCAGACCCCAGAGGCAGCCCCGCGGCCCCTCACCGTTGTACTTGGTCTTGCCCCAGCCTGTGGTGGCACACAGTGTCCCCGCGGGGAAGTCGTCGTCGGCGCTGGGCAGGCACACGGCGGACACTGTCTGGGAGAAGCGGGCAGGTGTGGCCAGCTTCAGCAGGGTGATGTCATTGTTCACGGTCAGAATGCTGAACTTGGGGTTCTTGAAGACCTGGGGGTGGGGGCCAGAGTGCCGGGGTGAGGCCCTGGGAGGAGGCAGGACCTGCAGGCTTCGAGGACAGACTCCTTCCCTGGTGCCCGTTAAGGAGCAGTCCATCCCCAGGGCCGGAATGGGAATCTCGAGGCCGGCCCGGCCCCACTGGGCGCCTGTCCCTGAAGCAGCCGAGGGGTCTCCCCCCGTGCCCACGGCCCTGCCCTCTGCTGCACGGGGCCTGGGTACCTTGGCGATCTTCAGGACCTGGATGTTCTCCTCGTCAGAGCCCTGGTCAAACTCCCCAGCCACGACCACGTCGGAGGTCCTGGGCAGAGCGTTGTGGGTGAGAGAACATGCCCTGCTCCCCTCCCACCCGACCGGTGCTGGAAGCGGAGCCCAAGGCTGCCCGGTCCTCACCTGACCCCGCAGTGGGCAGCGGTGACCACCCAGTCCTCGCTGATGAGGGAGCCCCCGCAGAAGTGGAAGCCGGTTTTGTCCTGTGAGCAAGATGGGGAGGGTCAGCACCTCCCACCCGGGGGCACCCCCAGCCTGGCCCCTACCCAGGGTGCCCCCCACCTTGCAGAACCCCCTCACCTGCAGGGACACCTGCCAGGGCCAGGAGCCGGGGACGGCGTCCTCCCCATTCACGATCCTGGACAGGCCGCTGAGCACAGGGTGGATGGCGGGGACCCCGCAGCCTGGGGGGGAGTGGGGTGAATAAGGGCTGAGGCCCCAAACCCACCTGGGCCTCACCTGCCTGCGTGCAGCTCTCCCGGTTCTACCCCAGTCCACTGAAGCCAGCTCAGGACCTCCCTGGCACATGCCGCCTCCGCCTCCCTGGTCCCCAAGTCTCTAGGCTCAAACGTTCCCAACTCTCGGCCTGCTGGCTCCAGTCATCCTTCCAGGATGCAGAGCGTCATGTCTCCTCCTACCTGGGGCCTGTCCAGCCTGAAGAAGCAGAAAACAGGCCGGGCTGTAAGACTGCCTGGGCTCAGCCTCGAGGACACACTTTCCTTGCCGTGTGACCCTAGACCGGGCAGGGCAGCACTCAGGCCTTGGTGTCCTCAGCTATAAAAAGGGCAGCAGAACCACGTGAGCTCCACTGGCCCACGTGCCTTTGTTAGACTGGTGGCGAGAGGGGAAGTGGGAAGAAAATCTGATAACCCCAAGTCCACCAGGAATCTGGGGCTCTGACAATTTGCAGACGGGAGAGTGAAATGGCACCGTGGACCCTGGGTGGGCAGGTTGAATTCCACAATTTCAGGAAACATTGTGTAAAGTTTGGGTTTCTCTTTTTTTTTTTTCCAGTTAGGGTCTTGCTCTGTCACCCTGGCTGGAGTGCCGTGGTGTCATCATGGCCCACTGCAACCTCAAATTCCTTTTTTTTTTTTTTTTTTTTTTCTTTTTGAGACAGTCTTGCTCTGTTGCCCAGGCTGGAGTACAGTGGCACAATCTTGGCTCACTGCAAGCTCCGCCTCCTGGGTTCACGCCATTCTCCTGCCTCAGCCTCCCGAGTAGCTGGGACTACAGGTGCCCGCCACCAAGCCCAGCTAATTTTTGTATTTTTAGTAGAGACGGGGTTTCACCGTGTTAGCCAGGATGGTCTCGATCTCCTGACCTTGTGATCCACCCGCCTCGGCCTCCCAAAGTGCTGGGATTACAGGCGTGAGCCACCGTGCCCAGCCTTGCAACCTCAAATTCCCGGGCTGAAGCAATCCTATTGCCTTGATCTCCCAACATGCTGAGATCACAGGCATGAGCCCCCATATATCCGGTCTTGGTTTCTTATTTAATAAAACTGGACTTTGGCCAGCACAGTGGCTCACGCCTGTAATCCTAACACTTTGAGAGGCCAAGCGGGGTGGATCACCTGAGGTTGGGAATTTAAGACCAGCCTGGCCAACATAGTAAAACCCCATCTCTACTAAAAATACAAAAATTAGCCGGGCATGGTGGCACAGGCCTACAATCCCAGCTACTTGGGAGGCTGAGGCAGGAGAATCGCTTGAACCTGGGGGACAGAGGTTGCAGTAAGCTGAGATCGTGCCACTGCACTCCAGCCTGGGTGACAGAGCCAAACTCCATCTCAAGAAAAAATCAAAACAAACACAGCTGGACTTTACTTCCACACCATAAAATGGCACATTGGAAGCAGAAAACAAAACAATGAAAATAGTCAGGTGTTCCACACACGCCCACCATGCCTCTGCTATGTCAGGACCAGATTCTCGACTCCTGTGCGCGGGCCAACCCAACAAACTGGGCTTTACATTTGAGCACACCCGCGTCCCTCAGACCAGCTGTCCCCTTCTGGGGTCATATTCGCCTGCTTACAAGGCAGCCCCTGCGTCTCCTGCCCACAGGAACACAGGCAGGCAAGGTGCCTCCCTGACGTTTCAGAGCATCAAAAACTGGTATTGTAATAGCAAAAAAATGAGAAAGAGCACGTTGGAAGGCCGAGGCAGGTGGATCACAAGGTCAGGAGTTCAAGACCAGCCTGGCCAATATGATGAAACCCTGTCTCTACTAAAAATACAAAAATTAGCTGGGGTGGTGGCTCATGCCTGTAGTTCCAGCTACTCAGGAGGCTGAGGCAGGAGAAATGCTTGAACCTGGGAGGTGGAGGTTGCAGTGAGCCGAAATCATGCCACTGCACTCCAGCCAGGGCGACAAGTGTGAAACTCCATCTAAAAAAATAAATAAATAAATAAGAGAACTAGATGGTGGCATACTCACACAACAGAGCACGCATTATAAAAATGCAGGTGAATGAGCTGAAACTCCACGTCAACATGCAGGAAGTGAGAAGATTTGAGTAGGGAAAAAGCACATTGTTGTAGAATGGAGGTAGAATGGAGTATTAGTTACATCAGCCAGGCACAGTGGCTCACACCTGTAATCCAGCACCCTGGGAGGTTGAGGTGAGCAGATCACTCGAGCACAGGATTTCGAGACCAGCCTGGACAACATAATAAGACCCCAGGTCGGGCATGGGGGCTCACGCCTGTAATCCCATCACTTTGGGAGGCTGAGGTGGGCGGATCACTGGAGGTTAGGAGTTCAAGACCAGCCTGACCAATATGGTGAAACCCCATCTCTATTAAAAATACAAAAATTAGCCAGGTGTGGTGATGCATGCCTGTAATCCCAGCTACTCAGTAGGCTGAGGCAGGAGAAATGCTTGAACCCAGGAGGCGGAGGTTGCAGTGAGCCAAGATCACGCCACTGCACTCCAGCCTGGGTGACAAGAGTGAAACTCTGTCTCAAAGAAAAGAAAAAAAAATAACAAAAAAAACCTCCATCTCTACAAAACAAAACAAGTTTTTAAACTTAGCGTGCCTGTAGCGCCAGCTACTCGGGAGGCTATAGTGGGAGGATCACTCGAGCCCTTGAGTTTGAGGCTGCAAACTCACACTACTGCACTCCAGCCTGGGTGACAGAGTGAGACCCTGTCTCAAAACCAAAACCAAAACCAAAACCAAAAACAGGATAGAATACCGTTCCATTGATGTAACCTTTTTGAAACCTTATGTATAGATGTATAAAAATATGTAGTACAATTGTATAAGCTCACACTGCAATTATTCATAGAAAGTTCAGAATCAAGCTCACATTCCAGAGAGGGAAGGAGGGAGAAAAGGGAAGCCTGAGTACAATCTGTTTTAGAAATATCTGAAGCAAATGTGCAAAAAGATTTGCTGAATTCTGACAGTAGATACAAGGATGTCATATTCTTTTCTGTATTTTCTTTTACTATTTCTCTTTTAAAAAATAGAAAACACGGCTGGGCACAGTAGCTCATGCCTGTAATCCCAGCACTTTGGGAGGCCGAGGCGGGGGCATCACCTGAGGTCAGGAGTTCAAGACCAGCCTGGCCAACGTGGTGAAAGCCCGTCTCTACTAAAAATTAGCCAGGGTTGGTGGTCCATGCCTGTAGTCCCAGCTGCTCGGGAAGCTGAGGCAGGAAGATCATTTGAACCCAGGAGATGGAGGTTGCAGTAAGTGGAGATTGCACCATTGCACTCCAGCCTCGGCAATAGGAGTGAAATTCTGTCTCGAAAAAAAAAAAAGAAAGAAAGGAAGAAAATGCTTGACAAGTACCCAGCACAATAAAAACCCCGGTGGAGGCCTTGGGAGGTCTCCTGGGGCCACACCTTACCCTGCACAAGGCACCCCCACCCCAGCCACTTCTGGAGCCTCAGACCATGGCAGAGACCAGCATCGTCCTTCCCACTCCTGGAGCAGGTTGTGTGGGCTCAGAAAGCCCCAGAATGCACCCTCTCCTGAGCCCTCAGGTTACCTGTGCTGGGGATGAGGCCCCAGGGGGCAGAGCAGGGGACTCAGATCCCCCTCTCAGCCAGGCTCAGGGCTCCCTCAGGACAGACCCCTCGGGCACCAGCACTCACCAAAGGCGGCCCCCACAAGGGAGAAGCAGGAGAGGAGCCAGAGGGAAGCCATGCCGCTGCCTCAGAAGGTGTGGGGCCTGCCAGCTGCGGGGCCCCTTTTACCACCTTGGGGGGGCAGGGAGCCCAGCCCCCCCCGCTCCCCCAGCCAGGGAGGCCTGAGCCCACCCTCCCTGTTACCCAGGGACCTTGGGCAATAAGTGGAGACAGAGCCCCGCCTGGCTCTCTACCAGACAACCCCAGTCCCTGGGAAAGGGGCAGCTGCGCTGACATCACCGGTCAGCCTTGGGGACATGATCCCACAGAGCCAGCTGTGAGCTGCAGTATCCCTGCCAGGAGACGGCACCAGGCTCTTCTGTTCCCAGAGGGGAAGTGGAGGCAGTTCCACCCCAGGGCTCGTGGAGGACCAGCTGCTGTCATGGAACCAGGTCTCCGGGAACTCAGGCTCTCAGTGAAGGGTGTTTCCGCCTAACACTGTCCTAGAAGCAAAGGGTGACTCAGGGCATCGTGGATTCTCCAGAGTGTCACTGCAAGTCACCAGTGAAGCCAAGCCACTTCTGACTGTGGCGAGGGTCTGGGTGACAAGGACCAACCCGCTGGTGGCCGTAACAGGTGGGCAAAGCCACTGACACGCGTCCCACCTGTGCTGTAGAACCCAACAGAATTCACTTTTTCTGCAATGACTCATGATATAAGGAACTAATCATTTCATAAAGTTTCAGTTTCTTACAAAATGGAACTTGGATTCCGCACCATAAAATGACACAGAAAACAAACTTTTTAAGATGGAGTCTCACTCTGTCACCCAGGCCGGAGTGCAGTGGCGCAATTTCAGCTCACTGCAGCCTCCTCTTCCCGGGTTCAACTGATTCTCCTGCCTCAGCCTCCCAAGTAGCTGGGATTACAGGTGCCCACCACACCCAGCTATTTTTTTTTTTTTTTGAGATGGGGTCTTGCTCTGCTGCCTAGGCTGGAGTGCAGTGGCACAATCTTGGCTCACTGCAGCCTCCACCTCCCAGGTTCAAGCAATTCTCCCACCTCAGCCTCTTGAGTAGCTGGGATTACAGGCATAGCACCAAACCTGGCTAATTTTTATATTTTTAGTAGAGACGGGGTTTCACCATGTTGGCCAGGCTGGTCCCAAACTCCTGATCTCGGGTGATCCACCTTCCTCGGCCTCCCAAAGTGCTGGGATTACAGGCGTTAGCCACCGCACTTGGCCAATTGTTGTATTTTTAGTAGAGACAGGGTTTTACCACGTTGGCCAGGCTCCTCTTGAGCTCCCGGCCTCAGGTGATCCTGTGGCCTTGGCCTCCTAAAGTGCTGAAATTACAGGCGTGAGTCACTGCGCCTGTCTGAAAATAAATTTTGAGGAAGCAGAAAAACTTTTTTCATTGTCACAAAACAAGGAGGAAAGACAGGTGTGGGTGACAGGTCGGTGACTGGGCAGAAAGTGAAGGCCAAGGGATCCTCAGCACCCTGTGGGCAGATATTCAGGGGACAGAGCCCGCAGCATCCCTGCCCTTATGGGCCTGAGACGCTCATGACAGACACACACGACACAGATGAGCATGTAATATAGTGACCACAGTCACCTGGGGCAAGGCTGGACAGGACAGGCTGTACTGCATTTCCGGACGATGAGGGTATGAAAGTAAGACACAGTGGGTGGATGGTGTTTCCATGGAAGGCCTTGGGCTCTGTGGTCAGCGGGCCAGGTCACCTTGGCATTTAGAATATCCCCTCCCCACTCCCACCGCTGCTGGAGAATGCACAACTATAAAGCAAAACTAAACTTATATACTAAAGAGAAAATTTCAAAAGTTCACATCACCATGTTACCCTTTTTTTTTCTTTTTCCCCTGAGACAGAGTCTTGCTCTGTCGCCTAGGCTGGAGTGCAGGGGTGTGACCTCAGCTCACTGCAACCTTTGCCTCCCAGGTTGAAGCGATTCTCCTGCCTCAGTCCCCCCAAGTAGCTGGGATTACAGGCGTCTGCCACCATGCCCAGCTAATTTTTGTATTTTTAGTAGAGATGGGGTTTTGCCATGTTGGCCAGGATGATCTCCAACTCCTGACCTCAAGCGATCCAGCCACCTCGGCCTCCGAAAGTGCTGGGATTACAGGCGTGAGCCAGCACACCAGGCTGATAGCTACAATTTAAAGAAACAGAAAATAACAAGTGTGGGATGTGGAAAAACTGGAACCCTCATACATTGCTGCTGGGAATGTAAAATGGTGAAGCTGCTATGCAAACAGTTCGGCATGGCTGGGCACAGTGGCTCACGCCTGGAATCTTGGCACTGTGGGAGGCCAAGGTGGGAGGATCACTTAAGCCAAGGAGTCCAACACCAGCCTGGGCAACAAAGTGAGACCCCATCTCTACAAAAAAATTTAAAAAAAACAACATTAGCTGGGCATGGTGGCGTGGTGGCATAGTCCCGGCTACTCAAGAGGATGAAGTAGGAGGATAACTTGAGCCTGGGAGATCGAGGCTGCAGTGAGCCGAGATCCAGCCTAGGCAGCGGAGCAAGGCCTTGTCTCAAAAAAAAGAGTAAAAAGAAGTGCAAAGAAAACAGTTTGGCAATTCCACAAAATAAACAGAGTTACCTCATGACCTGACAATTCCACTCCCCCTAAATAAAAGGACTTAAGCAGACACTCGCACACCAGTGTTCACAGCAGCACTATTCCCAACAGCCAAAAGACAGAAATCACCCCTGTTGTTCATCAGCAGAGGAATGAGTAAGACATGAGCTCTCCACAGGACTATTATTCAGTCATAAGAAGGAATGAAGCAGGCCTGGTGTGGGGGCTCACACCTGTAATCCCTGCACTGTGGGAGGCCAGGAGTTTGAGGACCAGCCTTGGCAACAAACACCCCGTCTCTACAAAAATTTTTTTCTTAAATCAGCTGGGTGTGGTGGTATGTGCCTGTGGTCCCAGCTACATGGGAGTCTGAGGCAGGAAGATCGCTTGAGCGCAGGTGGTCAAGGCTGAAGTGAGCTGTGTCTGTGCCACTGCATTCCAGCCTGGGCAACAGGGCGAGACCCTGTCTCAAACACAAACACAAAAACAAAACAAAATGAATCAGGTACTGATATACGCCAAAAGATGGATTTTTTTTTTTTGAGACAGAGTTTTGCTCTTGTTGCCCAGGCTGGAGTGCAGTGGTGCAATCTTGGCTCCCTGCAACCTCCGGCTCCCGGGTTCAAACAATTCTCCTGCCTCAGCCTCCGGAGCAGCTGGGATTACAGGGATCTGCCACCACACCCACCTAATTTTGTATTTTTAGTAGAGACGGGTTTCACCATGTTGGCCAGGATGGTCTCAAAATCTCTTGACTTTGTGAACCACCCGCCTCGGCCTCCCAAAATGCTGGGATTACAGGCGTGAGCCACCACACCCAGCCGAATCTAAAATGATGTCTGCTACCTGAAAATAAGCAATACAAAGACAATTATTGCATGATTCCATTTATATGAAACCTTTTTTTGAAAAACTTTTTTGTGAGCCACCACGCCTGGCTGACTTGGAGTGTCTCATCTTTATTTACTTTATTCTTGAAACAGAGTCTCACTCTGTCGCCCAGGCTGGAGTGCAGTGGCATGATCTCGGCTCAACTGCAACCTCCACCTCCCAGATTCACCCCATTCTCCTGCCTCAGCCTCCTGAGTAGCTGGGATTACAGGCATGCGCCACCACACCCAGCTAATAAATGAAACTTTATTTTTATTTATTTATTTTTGAGACAGAGTCTCGCTCTGTCGCCTAGGCTGGAGGGCAGTGGCATCATCTCGGTTCACTGCAAGCTCTGCCTCCCAGGTTCACGCCATTCTCCTGCCTCAGCCTCCCAAGTAGCTGGGACTACAGGCGCCCACCACCACGCCCGGCTAATTTTTTGTGTTTTTAGTAGAGACGGGGTTTCACCATGTTAGCCAAGATGGTCTCGATCTCCTGACCTCGTGATCTGCCCGCCTCAGCCTCCCAAAGTGCTGGGATTACAGGCATGAGCCACCACACCCGGCCATGAAACATTCTTAATAGGCAAATTCATAAAGACAAAAACTAGGTTAGAGGCCCACAGGCACTGAGGGGAGAGAGGAATGCAGAGTTATTGTTCACTGGGTACAGAATTTTGTAAATAGTGGTGATGCTCGCACAAATTCTGAATGTAATTAGTATTGTAGAATGTAATTAGCGCCACTAATTGTACACTTAAAAATGGTTAAAATGGGCTGGGCACGGTGGCTCACACCTGTAATTCCAGCACTTTGGAAGGCCAAGGCAGGCTGATCACCTGAGGTCAGGATTTCGAGACCAGCCGCCGGACCAACATGGAGAAACCCCATCTCTGCTAAAAATACAAAAATCAACCGGGTGTGGTGGCATGCACCTGTAATCCCAGCTACTCAGGAGGCTGAGGCAGGAGAATTGCTTGAACCTGGGAGGCGGAGGTTGCGGTAACTGAGATTGCACCATTGCACTCTAGCCTGGGCAACAAGAGTGAAACTCCGTCTAAAAAAAAAAAAACGGTTAAAACAGCGAATTTTATGTTACCTATATTTTACCATAATTAAATAAAATCAGTGGAATAAACCAAAATCCATCAAATTGCACACTTTACATGGGCGAATTGTATGGTATGTGAATTACACATAACAGCTCTTAACAGCTCGGTAAAGCTGTTAAGTATTATGGAGTCAGAAGTCTTCGTCCAATGGCTATGGAGAGCAAATTCAGGCAAAAGGAGAAGCTGAAGGAAGGGAATATTCAGCCTAGAGCGTGGCTGACAATCAGAAGGCGTTGGAGGAGCCCCCATCTCCCGGGGGCCACAGGACAGACGTGGCTGAGGACAAGCCAGGGGCCTGTCAGAGGTAGAGGTGCAAGACCTGTTAGGACAGACGCAGTGGCTCACACCTATACTCCCAGCACTTTGGGAGGCCAGGCAGGCAGATCACCTGAGGTCAGAAGTTCAAGACCAGCCTGGCCAACGTGGCAAAACCCCATTGCTACAAAAAACATAAAAATTAGCTGGGTGTAGTGCACATGCCTGTAATCCCAGCTACTCAGGAGGCTGAGGCAGGAGAATCGCTTGAACCCGGGAGGCGGAGGTTGCAGTGAACCGAGATCGCGCCACTACACTGCACCCTGGACGACAGAGTGAGACCCTGTCTCAAAAAAAAAAAAAAAATTGTTAAATACACTATGCCCAACCCCACCGTGCTCCCTAAGCTAAGGAACTACACAACAGGCGTGGGCACCCTGAGACACAGGGCAAGGGCTTTTAGGCAGACAGAACAAGGATAAAGAACCCGGAACCCAAATCTCCCCCAGACTCCCTCGCCCACACGGGCATCCCCTTACTGCGGCTGAGGGAGCCGACCTGTCTCTCCATCAGAGCTCTCAGTGATAACCAGGGTGGTGGCCTCACAAGAGAATGCCAATTCTCCGTAGAACCCACCCCACCAATCCCCACCACCTCCAAGAGCAGATCCTGCCGTCAACTGAGAAATGGCCCCAGCTCTTTGCAACTCCCGGTACCCACGCCTGTGCCACAAAACTCTGCATGGAAGGGGAGAGACTGAATACACACGCGAACAGGGGACAGACCGCCTAAAAAACCAGAACTCTGCCCGCTGCGCAGCAACAAGCCCAGGGCTCCAAACAGCAGCAGCCCCACCGGCCAGCCCTAAAAAGCCACACACGCCCTGACAGTCACAGAAGACGCCCACTCGGAGTTCGGAGCGCGCCTGAAGGCCTCCTGAGGCCCTGAGTGCTGCGGGACAGAATACCTCAGACTGGGTCATTTATAGTGGATAGAAATGTATTTTCTCACAGTTCTGAAGGCTGCAAGTCCAAAGTCAACAGGCAGGGTGGGCGACCCTGGCCACAGGCTGATGTCTTGAACTCCATATCTTCACCTGGTGGAAGGTGGAAGGGCAAAGAGAGACGCGAGGGGGGTTGCTTGCCTTTTATTAATATAATGGCATTAATCCCACCTGGGAAGCAGAGCCCCACCCCCCCCATCCCACACGCTAATCACCACTTACAGGTCCCACCTGTTAATACAAACAATGCGGCCAGGTGCAGTGACTCAAACCTGTAACTCCAGTGCTTTGGGAGGTCAAGGCAGGCGGATCACTTGAGCCCAGGAGTTCAAGATGAGCCTGGGTAACATGTTGAAACCTCATCTCTGCAAAAATAAATAATTAGCCAGGGTGGTGGCGTGTACCTGTGGTCCCAGCTACTCGGGAGGCTGAGATGGGAGAGTCGCTTGAGCCCAGGAGGTCAAGGCTATATAGTAAGCTGTGATCGCACCACTGCACTCCGGCCTGGACCAACAAAGCAAGACCCTGACTCTTAAAAAAAAAAAACACACACAAAACACAAAAAACTAATAACATTTCCATACAAGTGTCAGTAGGACAAACACGCAGACCACACAGCAGCCTGCCTCCCACTTCCCCACACCAATAGCCACCAGCCAGGACACAGCGAGCCTTCCCCTTCCCTCCATGAAGCTTTCCCTCCACCCTGCCGGCCTTGGCGTCTTAGTCAATGCAAGTGACAGAGGCCGACTCCCTTGCTGTGGCAAGCTCTGAATAAGCAGCCCCCGCTGGTTCCCATTTGGGCAGATGTCACTGATCTCCACAAGGGCTGAGCGCCTGCTGGACATCCGGCGCCCACACTCGCTGTCCTCCTGGGTCAGGAAACGCCCCCCAGCCCATCTCCCCACTATTGCTAGCCAGGCATCAACATGGAGCAGGGGGACAATTGTTTTCTAAGCAAGCTGCATGGGATCTCGTTGGCTCAGGGAGCACCCTGTGCTTTCTCTAAAAAAACATTCCCCCAGCCTCATTTGGTGAGGGACAAAACCCAGCGGAAAGGGTTTAGGCAAAGAACCATTCCATTAAATCGCTCCACTTGGTAAGTTTAGACAAGCCCACTGGTGCTGTGAGAAAGGTCCTGGCCAGGCACAGTGGCTCACACCTGTAATCCTAGCAGTTTGGGCAGCCGAAGCGGGCAGATTGCTTGAACCCAGGAGTCTGAGACCAGCCTAGGCGACATAGGGAGATCTTGTCTCTACAAAAAAATACAAAAATTAGCCAGGCATGGTGGCCCACACCTGTAGTCCCAGCTAACTGGGAGGCTGGACCTGGGAGGTCAAGCCTGTGCTGAGCCGTGATCGTGCCACTGTACTCCAGCCTGGGTGACAGAGTGAGACCCTGTCTCAAAAAAAAAAAAAAAGAGAAGGGTCTCACCTCCTAACCCACTGTGTACCAGCTCCCAAGTCCTCTGCCTTTCGGAAGGGGGCAAGGGAATTTTATGAAGGTGCCTCTCAGAAGGGCAGATGCTCAGAGGGGGCTGCAGACTCAGATCCTGCTTTGCTTTGCTTTGCTATGAAGGAAAAGTAGATGGCCACTGAGAAAACACTTTGACAGTTTCCATAAACACAGGCCCAGCCTACGACCCTGCTGTTCTACTCATATATTTTGTTTGAGACGGAGTCCTGCTCTGCCACCCAGGCTGGAGTGCCATGGCTTGGTCGACTCACCACGACCTCCGCCTCCCGGGTTCAAGCAATTCTCCCACCTCAGCTTCCCGAGTAGCTGGGAATACAGGCACACATCAGCATGCCCGGCTACTATTTGTATTTTTAGTAGAGACAGGGTTTCACTATGTTGGCCAGGCTGGTCTTGAACTCTTGACCCCAAGTGAGCTGCCCACCTCAGCCTCCCAAAGTGCTGGGATTGCAGGCGTGAGCCACCGTGCCTGGCCTACTCCTAGGTGTTTGCCCAAGAGAAATGAACACACATCTGCATAAAGACTTGCCTTTGGATGTTTTAATATATGTTTTATTTATTATAGCAGCTTTATTCATAATAGATCAAAACTACAGAACAGATAGACAAACTGTAGTGCATTCCAGCAATAAAAAGGAAGAGACTGCTGCTCTCTGCAACAGCGTGGGTGAACTCCAAAGACCAGATGCTGAGTGAAAGCAGCCGGATTTCCAGAAACACCTGGGTTCTGTTCACATGAAATTCCAGAACCCGAAAACTAACTGATGGGCAGGATTCAGAGTTTCAGTTCCGTGAGATGAGTGGCCGCACGGCACTGTGGACGTGCTTAGCGCTGAATGGTACACTTAAAAACAGGTGCGGGCCGGGCATGGTGGCTCAAGCCTGTAATCCCAGCACTTTGGGAGGCCGGGGTGGGCGGATCACGAGGTCAGGAGGTCGAGACCATCCTGGCTAACACAGTGAAACGCCATCTATACTGAAATATACAAAAAAATTAGCTGGGCGTGGTGGCGGGCGCCTATAGTCCCAGCTACTCAGGAGGCTGAGGCAGGAGCATGGCATGAACCCGGGAGGCAGAGCTTGCAGTGAGCCAAGATCAT
This sequence comes from Homo sapiens, assembly GCF_000001405.40. Classification (NCBI taxonomy): domain Eukaryota; kingdom Metazoa; phylum Chordata; class Mammalia; order Primates; family Hominidae; genus Homo; species Homo sapiens. The sequence continues at coordinate 75,210,656 of NC_000016.10, read as the reverse complement.
GCCACTTCACTCCAGCCTGGGCGACAGAGTGAGACTCTATCTCAAAAGCAAACAAACAAGCAAAGAAACAACGGGTGCAATGGTCAATTTTGTTATGTGTATTACCACAATTTAAAGTTGGTTTTGTGTGTGTGTGTGAGACAAGGTCTGGCTCTGTCCCCCAGGCTGGAGTGCAGTGGCGTGATCTCAGCTCACTGCAACCTCCTCCTCCCGGGCTCAAGCCATGCTCTTACCTTAGCATCCCCAGTACCTGGGATTACAGGTGCCAGCTACCATGCCTGGCTTTTTTTTTTTTTTTTTTTTTTTTTAGCGACAGGTCTCACTATGCTGCCCAGGCTGGTCTTGAACTCCTGAGCTAAAGGGATCCTCTCCCCTTGGCCTCCCAAAGCGCAAGGATTACAACCATGAGCCACTGCACCTGGCTGCTAACAGTTTTTAAAATTTAACAATAACGACAACATCCCCTGGTGCGATGACTCACACCTGTAATCCCAGCACTTTAGGAGGCTGAGGTGGGAGGATTGCTTGAGCTGAGGAGGCTGAGGCTGCAGTGAGCCGTGATCATGCCACTGCACTACAGCCTGGGCATCAGAACCAGCCTCTTTCAACCAAAACCAAAACCTAACCTCCGGGTAAAGAAATCAGAACAGTGGTTGCTTCTGGAGGTGGGGGATTGACTGCCAAGGGGCTGTGAAGGAAATGGTCTCTGCCTTGAGGCAGGTGGTGGGTACAGAGGTGCCTGGATCCTCACAAGTTATCAACCTATATCCACTTCGTTGTTTGTTTGGTTGTTTGTTTGTTTGTTTGTTTTTGTTTTTTTGAGACAGGCTCTCACCCTGTCGCCCAGGCTGGAGTCCAGTGGCATGATCACCGCTCACTTGCAGCCTCCACCTCCTACGCTCAAGTGATCCTCCCATCTCAGTTTCCCAAGTCCCAGCCTGGATCTGGGACTCCATGCCTGCGCCATCACACCTGACTAATTTATTTTTTGTACAGACGGGGTCTCACCATGTTGCCCAGGCTGGTCTTGAACTCCTGGGCTCAAGTGAGCCTCCTGCCTCGGCCTCCCAAAGTGCTGGGATCACAGGCATGAGCTACTGCACCTGGCTTTATATACATTTTAAGTGAGGGCATTTCAAGGTAAGTAAAGGAAGAGGTGGCCAGGAGGCTGCAGCACGTGGGGACCCCCAGCTCATCCCTCCCGCTCCCACTCTGGCCAAGGCCACGGTTCTGCCTCCCCGATCCACCAGGGCCCCGGCTCACGCGTGTGTCCTGACTCATCTGTCCTGAGTGTCCCCGGGCTCCTTCCTCGCCGTTCGGGTCCAGATCCCATGGGGACTGGAGGGCAGTGTGGGGGAGGGGTCCCTTCCCCAGGAGCAGTGGAGTGGGAACACCTGTGCGTGCCTGTCCCCGACCACTGCTGCAGCTGCACGGTTCCCACAAGCCTCTGTAGCCTTTGCGGGGTTGGGGACATGGCGGGTGACGTCCTGGCCAGCGGTTAGCTCCTAAGGCCACACAGCTGGGGCCACAGGTCACTCAGGCCAGGTGAGGGCTTGCGCCCTTTCCCCCATCTGCCCCAGCCAGCTTATAGCTAGGGGCTGCCCCTGAGGCTCTAGTACCGTCTCCTTAGGGCCCTCCTGGGCCCGCCCCCTCGACTTCTGAGCTCTTCGCTGCCCTAGGGACGCAGACCTCTTTGGGTCCTGCGACCCCAGGTTCGTTTCCTCTCCTCCGAGGGTGCTCTGGACTGCTCCCACAAACTCCTAGGCTGTTTGCTTAAATCTCCCCTTCAGAGTGAGGCCCTCCTGGCCTCAGTATCAGTAATAATAATGAGAAGAAGAACTCTTTAGCTGCTGGTGTGTGTATTTTACTTATTTTAAAAATTGACTCTCTTCCCTAAACTCTCCAGCCTCCTCCCGGCTGTCAGCTGCCACACGCAGGAATTTGTTGGTTTTGTTCAGCTGTTCCCGTGGGCCTGGTGGGCACTGGCTGGCAGGAAGAGCCCATGTGCATGCAGAGGTGGGTGCGTCTCATCCCGACCAGGCCATGCTCCGTCCTGCTGGTGCCCGCCAACCCCTCTGTCCTCAGACAATCTTCTAGAATGAGCGAAGGGCCTGAACAGGTGATTCACTCAAGAAAGAGGAATGTAGGGGCCCCGCCAGCGTGGATTGCATGCTTGGCCTGGTCCTGGTGCTCAAGAAGGCTCTTCCTTTTGTCATGGGACCCATACTCTAAGCATCCTCAATTACATACAGGATCAGAGAGGGCAAGTCATTTGCCCACGGCTCCACAGCTGCCTGACCCCACAACCCGTGCTGTAAACACACATGCTGCAGGCATCAGTGTGGTGGAATTGAAAACAGCCACGAGGCACCTTTTCCTGTGCATTTTGGGGAACTTGCCCTCCATCTGGCAGCCTCAATCCAAAATTTCTCCCTCCCCCGTTTCCCAGTTGCTGAGAAAGGGCTCCACCACCCATGCTGCCACCCGCACGAGGAACCAGGTGTCCCCGCCCATGCTCTGCCCTGAGGCTCAGCCTCCATCAGTTCTCATCAGGGCGATGCCAGGCCCCCAGGCCGGGCCCTAGGCCCAGTCTTGCCCTCTGATGCCACCTGCTCAGCTCCAGGGCCCAGGTGTGCTGGCGCCTGTGTGCAGGGGTGGCCCAGTGTGAGGACAGCAGGTAGCTACCCCTCCCCTGTACACAGCCCAAGTGACCAACACAGATGTCGACTGGGCCTTCACTGAGCCTTCTTAGCCATCCCCTGGGACCCGGCGAGCACCCGCACCCCAGCCTCTGGCTACACCATGGGGCACAGGCCTGCTCCCCCAGCCTCTCCTCTACTTGGTCACATTGCCCATTGGGTTTTTTTCTTTTTTTTTGTTTTTTTTCCTTTTTTGAGACAGTCTCACTGTCACAAGGCTGGAGTGTAGTGGCGCAATCTCGTCTCACTGCAACCTCCGCCTCCCGGGTTCACACCATTCTCCTGCCTCAGCCTCCCAAGTAGCTGGGAATACAGGTGTGCGCCACCACGCCTGGCTAATTTTTTGTATTTTTAGTAGAGACGGAGTTTCACCATGTTGGCCAGGATGGTCTTGATCTCTTGACCTCGTGATCCATCCGCCTCAGCCTCCCAAAGTGCTGGGATTACAGGCGTGAGCCACCATGCCCGGCCTGCCCAGGGGTTTTCAAACCATGAAAAGATCAAGTGAATTCTTTGCAGAGCACAAGAGACTCAGCTGGGGCTCAAACCCGGGGATGCTGGACTCAGCCCCTGGAGGCCCCTGCCCAAGCCTGGGCCTGGAGGAGAAAGGCAATGGTCGAAGGCCACCTGGGTTAGCCCGGCTCAGCTAAGGCCACAGCTGCTGCCATCCCAGGCTTCCTGGCCAGCCCTGCACCGACACATCTTGCCCACTCCCAGGGAAGGGATTATCGCCCCAAGGTCTCCAGATAACAGCAGGCACACAGGGCTATAACGGGGACCGGCAGACAGGCGTCCTACACCCCTGCCAGCGGCACCATGGCTTTCCTCTGGCTCCTCTCCTGCTGGGCCCTCCTGGGTACCACCTTCGGTGAGTGCCAGGCCCTGCGGAGGCCGAAGGGTTTTCTCCTCTCACTCCCAGCCCCGAGGCCAGCAAGAGGCAGCAGGGTCCCAGCTCCCAGTTCAGCTGTGCACCGCAGTGTGGGCCTGGGCGAGTCACCGGCTCCATCTCTGCCGTGGGCGCTGAGAGGTCAATGCCTCCCTCCCAGGCTCAGCTGCCGCCTCTGAGCTCAGGAGATGGGGAGTCCCGCTCCCCTTCCTCACCCCCAGCAGACCTGAGGCTCTCAGGGGAGGAGGCGGGGGGAGGAGGCAGGTGTCCGGGGGCTGCCCTGAGGCCTTCGGGAAACCCCCAAACAGTCAGCGGCCCCAGCACAGGTTTGGGTGGTGAATGTGTGGGCAGCTGGGGCTTGGCACCGTTCAGTCCAAACCTTTCAGAACCTCGAGCCTCACCCTCTTAAACTCCTGCTCACGGAGCACTTCCCGGGTGCCAGGCGCAGAGCTGGCGCTCTGCCTGCTCACTCTACCAAACCTGTGAGGTCAGAAACAGCGTGATCCCCACTTTGCTGATGGGGACACTGAGTGGCTTAGCTGGGCAGGGAGGGAGCCAGGTTCAAACCCACAGAGTCTGGCCTCCCAGACTGAGCGCCGGGGCTGCCGCCCACCGCACGCTCCACCTGTGTGACTTCTCCGAACTGAGGTGGGGCCAACACCCCATTCCTCAGCAGCCCACAGCCCAGTTCATTGGACTCAGTTGTACCTGGGGATTCCAGCTCTGCGGAGAGGAGAGCCAGGGCCAACTTCTCAGAGAAGGGGATGTGGGAGCCAGTCTAGGTCCCAGAGACTGGAAAAGAGTTGGGAGTGAGAGGAGGCTGGAGCATTAGGACCTGGGTGGGTGGTACCCACCCCTCAGCCCACTCCCGCCCCCAGGCTGCGGGGTCCCCGCCATCCACCCTGTGCTCAGCGGCCTGTCCAGGATCGTGAATGGGGAGGACGCCGTCCCCGGCTCCTGGCCCTGGCAGGTGTCCCTGCAGGTGAGGGGGTTCTGCAAGGTGGGGGGCACCCTGGGTAGGGGCCAGGCTGGGGGTGCCCCCGGGTGGGAGGTGCTGACCCTCCCCATCTTGCTCACAGGACAAAACCGGCTTCCACTTCTGCGGGGGCTCCCTCATCAGCGAGGACTGGGTGGTCACCGCTGCCCACTGCGGGGTCAGGTGAGGACCGGGCAGCCTTGGGCTCCGCTTCCAGCACCGGTCGGGTGGGAGGGGAGCAGGGCATGTTCTCTCACCCACAACGCTCTGCCCAGGACCTCCGACGTGGTCGTGGCTGGGGAGTTTGACCAGGGCTCTGACGAGGAGAACATCCAGGTCCTGAAGATCGCCAAGGTACCCAGGCCCCGTGCAGCAGAGGGCAGGGCCGTGGGCACGGGGGGAGACCCCTCGGCTGCTTCAGGGACAGGCGCCCAGTGGGGCCGGGCCGGCCTCGTGATTCCCATTCCGGCCCTGGGGATGGACTGCTCCTTAACGGGCACCAGGGAAGGAGTCTGTCCTCGAAGCCTGCAGGTCCTGCCTCCTCCCAGGGCCTCACCCCGGCACTCTGGCCCCCACCCCCAGGTCTTCAAGAACCCCAAGTTCAGCATTCTGACCGTGAACAATGACATCACCCTGCTGAAGCTGGCCACACCTGCCCGCTTCTCCCAGACAGTGTCCGCCGTGTGCCTGCCCAGCGCCGACGACGACTTCCCCGCGGGGACACTGTGTGCCACCACAGGCTGGGGCAAGACCAAGTACAACGGTGAGGGGCCGCGGGGCTGCCTCTGGGGTCTGGGCTGCCTGGCCGTGGAGTCCCCCCGTGACCGTTTGGCTCTAAATTCCAACACGCTCCTAACTGCCCGTTCGTTATTGAAAATCTTCTGAATTTAAAATCCCCCAAATGCAAATAAAATCCAGGTCGGATCATGAGGAGCCTGCACAGGGAGCTTCTGAGCAGCGCCCGGCCGGGTGAGCCCTGCCCTGGCTGACCTGCCTGGAGTCGCAGCGTGGGGCTCCCACCCGGGCAGGGCCGAGGCCCCCTTGTCCCACAGGCGCTTCTGAGGCTCCAGGGGCCGTACCCAACATCGTGGTGATGGTGCAGGGTAGGGCAGGCGTGTCGGCCCCGGGTCTCTCCCTCCACTCTTGGCTGAGTGAGCCCAGGGGCCCTGACCCTCCTCCTGTCCTGCAGCCAACAAGACCCCTGACAAGCTGCAGCAGGCAGCCCTGCCCCTCCTGTCCAATGCCGAATGCAAGAAGTCCTGGGGCAGGAGGATCACCGACGTGATGATCTGTGCCGGGGCCAGTGGCGTCTCCTCCTGCATGGTGAGGCTGGCCCTGCCCAGGCCCTGGCCAGGCGAGCGGGGTGCAGGGGAGGTCTGGGCTTTCCACCCCTCTCTGCTCTCATCTACTAACCCCACACCCTCCTGGGGCCCAGTGAGGGCCAGGCCTTGGGGTCACAGCCGCCCATGAGGGTTCCTCCAGGCCATGCAGCTGAGGCTGCCCCTGGGGACTTCCTTGCAGCCCTGTGAGCTGGAGGTTTGGAGAGATGGATGGTGCCCCGGCTTAGAGAGGGAAGCCACCTGCCCCAGCTCCCTCCAAGAGTGCATGGCAGAGTGGGGGCTGCCATGTGAACCCAGATCTCAGGACCCCGGCACAGCCCCTATGCCCATGCTTACCATTTCTCCGCACCCCTCCCTAGACTCCACCAGGTCAGGGTCCCCTAGGCCCTGGCACCCCTTTCAGGCCTAGAGATACTTCCTCTCCTTCCTGCAGGGTGACTCTGGAGGCCCCCTGGTCTGCCAGAAGGACGGAGCCTGGACCCTGGTGGGCATTGTGTCCTGGGGCAGCCGCACCTGCTCTACCACCACGCCCGCTGTGTACGCCCGTGTCGCCAAGCTCATACCCTGGGTGCAGAAGATCCTGGCCGCCAACTGAGCCCGCAGCTCCTGCCACCCCTGCCTTAAGATTTCCCATTAAATGCATCTGTTTAGAAGCCCTGACTGCACTGCCTGTGTCTGTGTGGCCCAGGGGAGGTGGGCTTGAAGTTGTCCTTGTCACCCACAAAGGGGCAGCACTACCGTTCCCTTTCCAGGCTGCAGTTAATGTTGGCAACCCAGCCTTCTCAGGAAGCTGAGGTCTTCATATCTCTTGCCTGCTCACGGCTCCACCCTGGGTTTAGAATTTAGGCCCTACCTGCTGAAGCTAGCTTGACCCGTGGGGCTTTCTGGAAGGCAGCAGTCCTTGGCCAGGCTCTGCAATCCATAGCCCCCTGGAGTTGTCACTGGGACCACTGCTGACCCACACACTCCAGGTGCCTTTCTCTGCCTTTAGTCCCCCATGTCCAGTGCTCAGGAATGTGCATGCAAGCATCACCCCCTCCCCCGTCAGACCCCAGCCCCTCACACCTTCTGCATCCACTGCTGGGAGCTGGCGCCACTGTCCTCTCAGCTCCCACACTCTTCCCCGCCTCCCTCTCTGCATTTTCTGTGACCCTGCAGTTAGACTTTTTTTTTTTTTTTTTTTTTTTTTTTTGAGACAGAGTCTTGTTCTGCTGCCTAGGCTGGAGTGCAGTGACATCTTGGCTCACGGCAACCTCTGCCTCCTGGGTTCAAGCCATTCTTCTGCCTCAGCCTCTCAAGTAACTGGGATTATAGGCACTCACTACCACGCCCGGCTAATTGTTGTATTTTCAGTAGAGATGGGGTTTCACTATGTTGTTCAGACTGGTCTCAAATTCCTGACCTCAGGTGATCTGCCTGCCTCGGCCTCCGAAAGTGCTGGGATCATAGGCATGAGCCACCGCGCTCGGCCTCTGCAGTTAGATCTTGAGGCTTCCTCACGCTCAGCTTCCATCACTTCGGCCAGGCCATGGAGGGGGCCGGTTCCTTTCCCAGGATGTGTCCGGATTGGCGGTCTCTCTCTCTCTGGAAACTTTTAGTCTTTCCTTTAATGCAGTGAAAATTTTGTTGGAGAAAATTCTCCTGTTGTTCCACTGTCTGAAAAGATATTTATTCATTTTGATCTTGTAAAAGTTGCCTGTCACTCTGAAAAATAATTTTTGTTGAGACGTGCATGTGGGTATGTACATGGATATTTGGACTTGGAAGGTGTTTCAGTGTCTCCTGGCTTCTGTTGATTCGTGGAGAAGTCAGTGATTTACTGTTGCTTTTTAAAAAGGTTTAATGGATTTTCTTTGGATGCTTTTAAGATTTTACCTTTGATTTTCGTTGGTTTACCAAGATGCTTAGTTTCTTAGTTTCCTTGACTCAGCCTGCATGGGGTTCTTAGACAGTCTTTTTTAGAGTCTTGCTTTCTTGCCCAGGCAGGAGTGCAGAGGTTCGCTCTCAGCTCACTGTAACATCCATCTCTCAGGTTCAAGTGAGTCTCGTGTCTCGGCCTCCCAGGTAGCTTGGAGTACAGGCCTATGCTACCATGCCCGGCTAACTTATTTTATTATTTTTTTTTTGAGATGGAGTTTTGCTCTTGTTGCCCAGGCTGGAGTGCAATGGCGCTTTCTCGGCTCACTGCAACCTCCACCTCCTGGGTTCAAGAGATTCTCCTGCTTTAGCCTCTTCAGTAGCTGGCATTGTAGGCGTGAGCCCCCACACCCAGCTATTTTTTGTATTTTTAGTAGAGAGGAGGTTTCACCATGTTGGTCAGGTTGGTCTCAAACTCCTGACCTCAGGTGATCCACCCGCCTCGGCGTCCTCAAGTGCTGGGATTAGGCGTGAGCCACCGCGCCCAGCCTCTGAGTGCTTTTTATCATGAAGGGTGTTGGATCTTGTCAAAGGCCTTTTCTGCATCAATTTAAGTGATCACGTGATTTTCCCCTTTCATTCAATTAATGCATATTACGCTGATGGATTTTCTTGTTATTTCCTATAGCGCTTGGCATGCTGGGATAACTCCCACTTCATCATGGTGTATAATCCTTTTAATATGCTGTCGGGTTCAGTTTGCTAGTACTTTATTGAAGGTTTTTGCATCTATATTCATGAGAGATACTGGTTGGTAATTTTCTTCTGATGTTTTTATCTGGCTTTTGTATCAGGGTAATGCTGGCTTCCTAATCTGTATGTATCCATTTGTGATTTTTTAACATCACAAATTTAGATACTCAGCTCAGTAATTTTCAGTGTGTTCTTTTCTCATAAAAGTATTTCAGGAGGCAAGCTTTCCTCCAAACACTGCTTTCATTGTATTTTTTTTTTTTTTTTTTTTGAGATGGAGTCTTGCTCTTATGCTCAGACTAGAATGCAGTGGCATGATTTCTGCTCACTGCAACCTCTCCTGAGTTCAAGTGATTCTCCCTCCTCAGCCTCCCAAATAGCTGGGATTACAGGTGTCCACCACCATGCCTGGCTAATTTTTGTATTTTTAGTAAGAACAGGGTTTCACCATGTTGGCCAGGCTGGTCTCAAACTCCTGACCTCAACTGATCCACCTACCTCGGCTTCCTAAAGTGCTGAGATTACAGGTGTGAGCCACCACACCTGGCCTTTTTTATTGCAATTTGATACACACTTTATAGTTCTAAGTCTTTTTCATTTCCTCCCCTGTACAGTGCCTCGGCATGACCCACTTTATCCTGAGGGCACCTGCAGGCCAGGGGCAGGCACCCATTGCCCCAAAGCCCTGGAGCTGGGTCGGAAGCAGAGCAGAACCCTGGTGCTCACTTCCTGTTTTTTCCTTGCACAGCCGAGTTCACAGCCTTCTGCCTTGGGCCACAGCTCTAGCCTCCCCACGTAACCACAGGTTCCGATCTTTGCTTCTTCTCCCAGGTCTTCCTGTCTCTTGATGTTTCCCTCTAAAGATCCATCATGGGCTGGGAATGGTGGCTTACGCCTGTAATCCTAGCACTTTTGGGGGCCGAGGAGGGCAGATCATGAGGTCAGGAAATTGAGACCATCCTGGCCAACATGGTGAAACCCCATTGCTATTAAAATACAAAAATTAGCCAGGTGTGGTAGTGGGTGTCTGTAGTCCCAGCTACTCAGGAGGCTGAGGCAGGAGAATCGCTTGAACCCAGGAGGCAGAGGTTGCAGTGAGGCGAGATCTTGCCACTGCACTCCAGCCTGGTGACAGAGTGAGACTCCATCTAAAAAAAATCTATCATGGCTGGTCCTGGGGGGCAGCCAACATTCCACACTAACCCGGCATCTTGGCAGGAATGGAATGGGCTCCCTCCTGCATTTTCTACTTCACTGGCTTTCCTAATACCTTTCTCTGCCCGTGCACTGTCAGCCGTTCTGATGATGCGTCTAATAGGTTGGAATTAAGGTTATAGATGGAATTTAATTATAAGGACATGAAGAGAAATTAACTTGGAGAATGGATGTGTGAAGAGGGGAAAAGCAAAATGAGAGAGAGCTTGGGCACAGGAGTGGGATCCAAAGTCGACTATTAAAAATAGTATCAAGCCGGCCGGGCGCAGGGGCTCACACCTGTAATCCCAGCACTTTGGGAGGCAGAGGCAGGCGGATCATCTGAGGTCAGGAGTTCGAGTCCAGCCTGGCCAACATGGTGAAACCCCCATCTCTACCAAAAATACAAAAATTAGCCAGGCGTGGTGGCACATGCCTGTAATCCCAGCTACGCAGGAGGCAGAGGCACAAGAATTGCTTGAACCCAGGAGGCAAGAGGTTGCAATGAGCCAAGATGGTGCCACTGCACTCTTGCCTGGGCAACAGAGTGAGACTGTCTCAAAAAAAAAAAAAAAAGCAGAGGCGGGTGGATTGTTTGAGGCCAGGAGTTTGAGACTAGCCTGGGCAACATAGTGAGACTCCTTTAAAAAAAAGAAAAAGTAGCTGGGTGCAGCGGGTGGCACCTGTAATGTGCTGCTCAGGAGGCTGGGGCATGAGGATCACTTGAGCCCAGGAGTTCGAGGCTGCAGTGAGCTATGATCACACCACTGCACTGCAGCATGGGTGACAGAGCAAGACCCTGTCACCCTGTCTTTCTCTGTGTGTGTGTGTGTGTATTTTTTTTTCTTTTTTTGAGATGGAGTCTTACTCTGTTGCCCAGGCTGGAGTGCAGTGGTGCAATCTCAGCTCACTGCAACCTCTTCCTCCCAGGTTCAAGCAATTCTCCTGCCTCAGCCTCCTGAGTTGCTGGGATTACAGGTGCATGCCACCATGCCCAGCTAATTTTTGTATTTTTAGTGGAGACATGTATTTCACCATGTTGGTCAAGCTGGTCTCGAACTCCTGACCTCAGGCGATCCACCCACCTCGGCCTCCCAAAGTGCTGGGATTACAGGTGTGAGCCACCGCGCTGGGTGTCTCTATATATAATTAGAGCCACCGCGCCCAGTCTCTCTCTATATAATTAAGAGCCAGGTTTCTTAAGGAAACTCCCAGCTCAGTGAGGGAGAACTGCTCTTAAACACAGAGGAAATTACATGTATTTTATTATGTCAACAACCATCTACATACAAATAAATGTGAGGCGTAAGTAATATAAAAATGGAATAGCAAGCACAAACCTGGCTAAGGGACTTTTTCACTTGCTGGTGAAATCTGCGTCTGTCCCCCGCTCCACCCACCGGCCTCCCAAGAGTCTGAAAACCACCCGGTATAAGGCTGCCACCTGGTGGCCAATATGAAAACTGCATATAGCTATGCCTTACTGTTCCTAACCCAGCGTTGTTTCAAAGAAATACAAAAGAAATACAAGGCGAGCCAAATGGATGATTTTAAATTTTCTGGTAGCCCTACTGAAAAAGTAAAAAGAGGCCGGGCACGGTGGCTCACGCCTGTAATCCCAGCACCTTTGGGAGGCTGAGGCGGGCGGATCGCTTGAGCCCAGGAGTTCGAGACCAGTCTGGGCAACATAGTGAGACCCTCTTCTCTACAAAAAAAAAATGCAAAAATTAGCTGGGTGTGGTGGTGAGACCCTGTCTCTTAAAAAAAAAAAAAAAAAAAAGAGGGACTGGCGCGGTGGCTCACGCCTGTAATCCCAGCACTTTAGGGGGCCGAGACAGGCGGATCACGAGGTCAGGAGATGAGACCATCCTGGCTAACACGATGAAACCACGATGAAACCCCGTCTCTACTAAAAATACAAAACAATTAGCCGGGTGTGGTGGCGGGCACCTGTAGTCCCAGCTACTCAGGAGGCGGAGGCAGGAGAATAGCATGAACCCGGGAGGCGGAGCTTACAGTGAGCTGAGATCTCGCCACTGCACTCCAGCCTGGGCGACAGAGCAAGACTCCGTCTCAAAAAAAAAAAAAAAAGAAAAAAGAATTTTAATAATATATTTTATTTAACCCAATATATCTACATATTTCAACATGTAATCAGTATTTTAAAATTATTAATGATATATTTTACACTCTTACACTCTTTCAAACCTAGTGTGTAATTTGCACTTCCATCACATCTCCACCTGGATGCTACATTTTCATGAGAAATACTCGATCTGCATTTACATCTTGTAAAACTTACAGTTGAAAAGGTAGACTCACACCCAAATTGTCCCAAATATGCTTAAAAGCTTCCAATTATGTGTTATATTGACAAGTACAGTTAAGCAAAAGGCTGAGTTTAATCAGGGGTCGCACTTGATTTAATCTCAGCTTAAAAACAGATTCCTCCTCGGGCGGGGGTTCCCCCACCCTTGGTCTGAGTTAGACCACGTTAAACAGTGCACGCGCCTCTCCCCGCCCATCGGGTGATCTGGCTTTCTACTAACAGAAACGTCTGGAGCAGTCGCAAGAGAATCCTGTCTCGGACCAGCCTGCATCTGTACCTAATCTAGTGGTTGCGTGATTAGCCACCCAGATTCCCTCCAGGACTGCAGGCCGACCTCCCCACGCGCTGCTGTGGACAGCAGACAGTCCGCAGCTGCCGTCCTCTTTGGGAGTTTCCTCAGCTGAAGAGCATCATCTTGACCTCGGGTCCTGCCTCCTTTCTGGGCAGCTGCATCCAGTGATTGGTCAGTAGGGTTTTTTAAAGGTCCAGTCTTTTCACCCAAACTTGGGACGATGTTGAGGCTCTATCTTCCTCTGCCCAACATTGCTCTTTCCCTACCCCTACGAGTCTTCGGTTCCAAAGGTATTGCTCCTGGGGTACCAGTAAACTTCTGTGTGGTCATCTTTATCTCAGAGTCTACTTCCTGTGGGGAGCTCCAGCTATGATCGTGTGTGCCGGGAGTGAGCTGCAAAATGCGGATGCTGAGGTGGGATTCTGGAGCTGGACTGCTGACTACCAGGCTGGCAGTGAGGACCTCTTCATGGTTGGTAGAGGAAGCGTAGATAGGTCGGGCACACGGTAGCAATGAGGTTGTGAAAGCTTCCACTGCTGATGAAATGCAATGGTATTCTGGGGAACACTATCCACTAGTGGGTGCCCTGTGTCAGGAGTTTGAGGTATGAGGGGAGAGAATACCTATAGAACGTAGGGCCAGGAGCAGCGGCTCGCGCCTGCAATCCCAGCACTTTGGGAGGCTGAGGTAAGAGAATTGCTGGAGCCTAAGAGTTCAAGACCAGCTTGGGCAACATAGCAAGACCCACGTCCCCATAAAAAATAAAAATTAGCCAGGTGTGGTGGTGTAGTCCCTGCTACTTGGGAGGCTGAGGCAGAAGGATCTCTTGAGCCTGGGAGGTCGAGGTTGCAGTGAGCTGTGATGATGCCGCTGCACTTCAGCCTGGGTGACAGAGCAAGACCCTGTCTCACAAACCCAAAAACCACAGTTAAACTAGGTGGTTGCTGCTAAACACAAAGACTTTGGGAAATGACAAAAGCTGAGAATGATTAACAGGCAATTAACAGCTAAGGGTGAAAGCCACCTTAGGAACACATAAAGAGGTTTTTATCTCTTGCAGCTGCAAGGTAGAGAAAGCTGAGGACTAGACCCAGGATTTAGTTGTAAGATCAGCCAAGCTCCCAAGAAGGTTAAATGCTCCACCTAGACAGGCTGCTGTGCCAGATGCAGGGCTCTGATGCATGAGATGCAGACATCTGGGTTGATGTACTCCCAAAACCTCAAATCCCCCGAGCCCGTAAGCCCGGAGTGCACAGAAGTGGCCCCACTCTTCCCACCGGGGCGAGAGTACCTTCCTCACAGGAGACGGAGGCTTCCCTCCTGCAGGACATTAACCCCAGCATCTCTCTCCTTTCCAGTCCTGGCCATGATGGCACCAGGCCTGGTAAGAGAGGAAAAGGACCTTGTACCAAGGGAGCTGCAGAATGGAGCCAAAAAGCGCTTGCAGGGACGGGGCACACGTGATGAGAACTGGGTGCTGAGAGAGCTGAACCAAGGGGAAAGCCCATGAAGCTGGAGAAAGGTGGGGGTATCAGTTCGGGAGGACTCTCCTAGGATACAGGACTTAATGCCTTGCTCAGGACCCTAGGGAATGGGCCACCGTGCTGCCGGATGGCTCCTAGAAGCAGGCAGAAGGCAGAGCACACTAAGCAAAGGAGAGGTGCTGGCGCTGCTATAAGATGGTGGAAAGAGGCGTTAAAAGGCTCAGAGGTGGGCAGTTGTGTGGACAAGCCCTGTGAGGCAGAACGCCCATGGGAAGGCCCGGAAGATTCATTCGTCTACGAAAGCAGGAATGTGACCATGCTGGTGAGAGGGCAGGCACAGCTAAGCTCATGGGGTGCTCCCCTCTAGAAGTCAGGGAGAAGGTGGGAGATGCTGCTATGGAACAGGCTGCTGGGCAGTGAGGGTGCTGGGAGCCTGAGATCATAAGACCAGGCAATGCCGACAGCTGGGGGCCTGCCCTGTGGCCCTATGGAGATGCCTAAGAGTTGGTCACACGGGCAAAACCAATGGCATTGCTCAAACTGTGCAAGCAGAGTCATGATGGGTGACGGGGGCTGGGTGGCCTCCATGAAACCATCTGGCTTTCTGTGGCACCGGAAGTTTGTCTCGGGCTGCTTTTCCCTTGACCTGAGGCTGGTGCTGCCCCTGTGTGCTCCCACAGGGCACCTGAGCTTCCTCTGTTGGAAACTAATTACTCCCAGTTGGACTCATCTGTTCACCCGACAGTCTTCAAGCTCGATGGTGGGCTTCGAGGCAGGAGCTGTTTCTCAGTGTCTCGTGAAGCAATAAGCTTAATCGCCCACAGGGCTTCTCCGAGTGCGAGCACCTGGGGAACCTTGTTAGCAATGCAGATTCCCAGGCTCCACGCCAGCGTACAGATTCAGAAATGGCATGGACAGGGCCCGGCCTTTAGTGTATTATACCTTCCAGGTGATTCTGATGCATGCTCAAGTGTAAGAATCTGATACACAGGAGTTCAGCAGCTGCTGGGAGAATGAGTCCCCGGGGTAGAGGGATGGGAAGGATATATTAAAAAAGAGAGGAGGTTAAGAGAAACGTCACCTCATTTTTGACCAGTAGTGGGGAAGTATTAGCTCAGGGAAGGCAGCACAGCTGTGAAGCTGTGTCACATCTGAAGACTGCTCCCTGGTAGGAGTCGGAATGCTGCCATGGAACATGCCAGAAGGTAGGAAATACAGTATCCGTTAAAGACCTTAGGTTTTAGGATCTGCAACTCTGGGTCCAAATCCTTTCTCTGCCATGGACCTGTCCCCATTCTATCCATTCCTGCTTCGCAGCCCCACCGAGGTCTGGGCTGTCTTTACCTTGGGCAAATCTTTCATTTTTTTTTCCAGAGACAGCGTCTTGCTCTGTTACCCAGGCTGGAGTACAGTGGTGCTATCATAGCTCACTGCAGCCTCAAACTCCTGGGCTCAAGCAATCCTCCCATCTCAGCCTCCTGAGTAGTTGGAACTCCGTGCACACACCACCATGCCTAGCTAGTTTTTCTGTTAAACTTTTTCTGAAGAGATGGGGTCTGGCGATGTTGCCCAGGCTGGACTAGAACTCCTGGCCCCAAGTAATCCTGGTGCCCCAGCCTCCAAAATTGCTGGGATTATAGGTATGACCCACTGTGCCCAGTCCACCTGTGTCTTTATATTTAAAATGACTCTTGTACTACATATAATTTGGCTTTGCCTTTGAATCTTTATCCCTTTGACAATTTCTGCGTTTTATTATGGTTGTTTTAGGTCTACCATTTTACTCTTCACTTTGTTCTCCCACTCCCTCCCCTATTTTGGCTCCTCTTCTTTCTTGCCCTCTTTTGTGTTAAAAATACTTTTTTTTGAGAGAAGTCTTGCTCTGTCACCCAGGCTGGAGTGTAGTGGCATGATCTTGGCTCACTGCAACCTCCGCCTCCTAGGTTCAAGCAATTCTCCTGCCTCAGCCTTCTGAGTAGCTGAAATGACAGGCACCCACCACCACTCCCAGCTAATTTTTGTATTTTTAGTAGAGATGGGGTTTCATGTTGGCCAGGCTGGTCTTGAACTCCTGACCTCAAGTGATCTGCCTGCCTGTCTCGGCCTCCCGAAGTGCTGGGATTGCAGGTGTGAGCCACTGCACTGGGCCTAAAAATGTTTGATTTCAGTTTTAATTTATCTACTAGTGTTTTGGATATACTGTTCCTTTTTTTCTTCAGTGGTTGCTCTAATACAGCCTTAACTTCTCGTATTCTTAGTATTGTAGCACATCACGCACCTTGAAAATTCTTTAACCTCTCTGAACTTCAGTTACTTCATTTATAAGACGAGAATGGTGACTTTCTCTCATGGGTTATCTGACTGCCGAATGAGAGAACTCAAGCCGCGTACACGGCCAAGGGCAGAAAAGCAATGCCTGTTGACTGTCATGGCTGATCCTAGTCCCGTCACTACTGTCAGAATGTGGTTCCAGTCATCAGCACTGGGCCTCCTGAGACCACACGGAGCCACCACTGAGCATCCCCAGCGGCTGACCCACTGCAGGGGGTCATTTGTCTACCTGCTGTGATCACCCATTCTGCTAAATGGCTGCCCCTCAGAGACACTGGTGTCTCACCAGGGCACCCCTCAGCTGCCCTTTCCTTGCCCAGGCCTGGCCATCCTGTGCCCCTTCTGCAGGCTGCTCCTGGGCCGGTAGACCCAAACCACCTGACGCAGCCAGGCCCCACACGCCATGGCCTGCTCCCAGTCACAGAAAAAGTCTGGCTTGATTTTTACCACTGCAGTCCTCCCTGTGCCCTTCAGATGCCTGGACTCTGCCTGTCCAAACCTCCATCTGCTGCCCATTCTTCTCACTCGCAGTGATGGCTTTAGCAATCTGCAGGGACACAGGCCTCCAGGGACACTGTCTTCTCACACTCAGCATCAGCCCCACAGAGTGGAAGTGCCAGCCCTCCCGGGGGCGGCCTGTGCAACCACTCCAAGTGGGTTTTGGGGAATGTGATTCTGGGCCTTTCTTTTCTTTGTGTGTGTGTGTGGTGTTGGTTTTTTTTTTTTTTTAAAGACAGAGTCTCACGTTGTCTCCCAGGCTGGTGTGGAGTGGTAGGAACATGGTTCTCGACCTCCTGGGCTCAAGCAATCCTCCCACCGCAGATTCCTGAATAGCTGGAGGCCAAGTAGGTGAGTCCCAACTTCAGACTTAGAAATAAAGACATAACCCAATACGCAGTTCAGTTATGAAAAATATCCATGGAAATGGAAAAAGATCTCTAAAATATCAGGATAAAAATGGGCTGTATGGCCAAATACAGTGAGCATGGACTCAGAGTTGAACAGGAAGAAGTCTCAACTGGAAATACACCTCATGAGCTGGGTTTTGTTCTTGGCATTGCTGCTTTCGGCTGGCTGCCTCACCAGTAGGATAAAAACCACTGCCTCCTAGGCTTGTGTGAGGATTAAATGAAGTACAGTTACATCTTGAGATACGCCCAGACTGCAAGAATTTGTCTTTAAGAGGAGCTTCACTTAAAAGCACTGTGGTTTATGAGGATTACAAGGCACTTCAAAAGAGCGCTGATCTTCCGTCGCAGGGTTTCACCATGGCCTGGGGCCCTAAGGAGCACTTGAAGCGTGCTGCAGTGCCGAAGCATTGGATGCTCGACAAACTAAAGGGTATATTTGCACCTCGTCCATCGACAGGTCCCCACAAGCTGAGGGAATGTCTTCCGCTGATCGTCTTCCTCAGGAATAGACTCAAGTATGCATTGACCGGAGATGACGTAAAGGAGATATGTATGCAATGCTTCATTAAAATTGATGGCAAGGTTCGAGTGGCTATCACATACCCTGCTGGATTCACGGATGTCATCGGCATCAAGACAGGTGAGCATTTCTGCCTGGTCTGTGACCCAAGGGCTGTGTTGCTGTTGATCGCGTTACAGTCGAAGAGGCAAAGTACAACCTGTGCAAAGTGAGGAAGGTGACTATGGGGATGAAGGGAATCCAACGCCTGGTGACTCATGATACTGGAACTATCCACTACCCAGATCCTGTCATCAAGGTGAACAATACTGTGCAGATTGATTTAGGGACTGGCAAGATAATCAACTTTATCAAATTCCACACAGGCAATGCGTGTATGGTGATTGGCGGAGCCAGCCTCCGTCATGTTGGTGTGACCAACAGGGAAGGACATCCTGGTTCTTTAAATGTGGGGCATGTGAGGGATGCCAATGGCAACAGCTTTGCCCTGAGGCTTTCCAACATTTTTGTCACTGGCAATGGCAGTAAACCTTGGATTTCCCTGCCCAGGGAAAAGGGCACCCGACTTACTATTGCTGAAAAGAGAGAGAAGAGGCTGGCCACCAAACAGCAGTGGCTAAATTGCAGTAGCAGCGTATCTCTCTCTTTTTTTTTTTTTCCTCTCAAATAGTGAATTCTTGTTTCTAAAAAAAAAAAAAAAGTTCTGATTTGAGGCTAGGCGTGGCGGCTCACTCCTGTAAACCCAGCACTTTGGGACACAGAGGTGGGTGGATCACTTGAGGGTCAGGAATTAGAGACCAGTCTGGCCAACATGGTGAAACCTCGTCTCTACTAAAAATAGCCAGGTGCAGTGGTGCGCTCTTGCAATCCCAGCTACTTTGGGGGCTGAGGCAGGAGAATCTTTTGAACCTGGGAGGGGGAGGTTGCAGTGAGCTGAGATCACGCCACTGCACTCCAGCCTGGGCGACAGAGCGAGACTCCATCTCCAAAAAAAAAAAAGATGTGATCTGGATTTTTAGAGCCTTGGGAACATGCAGCTAATGAGAGTAACCCCTGTGGTCACCTTCCTAGTTGTAGAGTGGGATGTGCGAACTTCTCAGCATTTGTAACTTGCTACCTTGTAGGGACAACCCTGGCACTCCTTCCATTGTTTCCATTGACTTTTCTGCCTCTACTACTTTACCTTTTTGTATAAAGGCTTCTCTTATGTGAAGGATGGATGTCAAATATGCTTTCTTTGATAGTATAGTCTCAAGGGTACAATGCAGCTCTGAAAGAGCTGGAGAAGTGTAGTGATATAGTTCGATGTTCGTCTCTGTCCAAGTCTCATGCTGAGATGCCATCCCCAATGTCGGAGTTGGGGGCTGGTGGGAGGTGTTTGGGTCATGAGGGAGGACACCTCATGGCATGGTGCTGTCCTCAAGATACTTCTTGGGAGAGCTGGTTATTTGAAAGCGTGTGGCACCCCCTCCCCCTGCTCCTAATTTTGTCATGTGATGTGCCTGCTCCCCCTTCACCTTCCGCCATAATTGCTAGTTTCCCGAGGCCTCCCGAGAAGCTGAGCAGGTGTCTGCAGAACCATGAGCCGATTAAATCTCTTTTCTCGGCCAGGTGTGGTGGCTCTAGCCTGTATTCCCAGCAGTTTGGGAGGTCGAGGCAGGTGGACCACCTGACGTCAGGAATTCGAGACCAGCCTGGCCAACATGGTGAAACCCCTTCTCTACTAAAAATACAAAAATTAGCTGGGCATGGTGGTGGGTGCCTGTAATCCCAGCTACTGAGGAGGCTGAGGCAGGAGAATCGCTGGAACCCGGGAGGTGGAGTTTGCAGTGAGCCAAAATCATGCCACTGCACTCCAGCCTGGGTGACAGAGCAAGACTCCATCTTAAAAAAAAAAACAACCAAAAAAAAAAAAAAACTATTTTCTTTATAAATTACTCAACCTCAGGTATTTATAACAATGCACAAACAGCTTAATGTATGCAGACAGCCATTTTATAGGGTAATTAAGGGACCTTGCTTGTGTTGTGCTGTGTTAGCTGAGGTCAATTATCTGTGCCCATTTTAATGGGTTTATGGTGTTTTAGGATAAATGAGTGTATTTAGGGACTAAGGTGTGCATACAGATTTTTCCACCGGAATTAATGGCAATTATATTCTCCACTTAGGAGAATTCATCCTAGGAGGGGTTTTTAGGTACAAATTACCCCTTTAAAGCAGGAGAATGTAGGTGAAAAATACATCAGACCTCACAACACAAAGTTTTCTTAAATGTTTTTATGTTTTGCTTGTTTTTGAGACGGGGTTCTCACTCTGTTACCCAGGCTGGAGTGCAGTGGCGCAGTCTCTGCCTCCTGGGCTCAAGTGATCGTCCCACCTCAGCCTCTTGAGTAGCTGTGACTACAGGCATGTGCCACCACATCTGGTTAATTTTTATATATTTTGTAAAGACGGGGGAGTCTCACTATGTTGCTCAGGCTGGTCTTGAGCTCCTGGGCTCCAGCAATCCACCTGCCTTGGTCTCCCAAAGAGCCGGGATTACCGGTGTCAGCCACCATGCCATCATTAAATATTTAATAACTGGAGATATATCTAGAAATAATGTAAATGTATACAAATATACATACTGTCTTGGGTGTGACTGGCTGGGGCCGGTATCACAAGCAATAAAGGAATTCAAGATAGTTGCAGGAATAGAAAGGCAGATTTATTAGAGGGAGAGTATGGGCTGGGCACGGTGGCTCATAACTGTAATCCCAGCACTTCAGAAGGCTGAGGCAGGCAGATCACTTGAGCTCAGGAGTTCGAGACTAGCCTGGGCAACATGGCAAAAATCCTCCTCTACCAAAAATTAAAAAATTAGCCAGGAGTGGTGCCTCGTGCCTGCAGTCCCAGCTACTTGGGAAGCTAAGGTGGGGATCATTTGAACCTGGGAGGCAGAGGTTGCAGTGAGGCGAGGTCGTGCCACTGCACTCCAGCCTGGATGACAGAACCAGACCCTTTCTCAAAAGTAGGAAGATACGTTGCAAGAGTACAATGGGCAGCACAGCAGAGATGGGGCTGCTTGCAAAGAGGCAGGGGCTTGAGGGACGTCTTACAGGTTCATGCCGGAGGGGGCTGTGTGCGGAGCAAATGGGATGTTGTGTCCACAGGTTGTATGATTAGCCTTCTCTTGGAACAGTTGCTCTCCCTCACCTGGGACCCCTTCCCTGTTGCTGCTGGCACAGCTTATCAGGACTCCACATTCCCCCTCTAACTGAACAATGCCCAAGCTCTGGCACTGGGGTGGCAGTTTCATTTTGCAGCTATTTCCTGCTGGCCTGGGGCATAGAGTTGACCCTACCTATGCCTGTTGGTCTGTCAGGAGACCCTGTGGGTCACTGTCCCGGGTTGTGAGGCCTGGGATGTTGGCTCTTGGTGGACAAGGGACTTGTTGGAGGAGGGGAGCCTATCAAGGTGAAACTGATGTCCAGCTGCATTCAGGGGAGACTCGTAAAGGTAGCCAGCATCCTCGGGGATACCGATATTCCATCCTCAGCATCATTTGAAGGTGAAACTGTTGAATTCGTCCCAGTGCTGTTTGGGATCACCTGGCTTAAGATGTCCAGAGCAGGGTGGCTGGCTGTCTTCACAGGAGAATTTAGCGTGAGAAAGAGGGGGTCCAGGTTCCCCAAAGTGTGTGTAGGTTTGCCCTGGTTGAGCTTCTGCTGCCAATGGCACTACACGTAGGGTTTGGAACTTTTGGCCAGAAAGGATAGGAGGGGCCTTCCTCCCTTCCCAGCAAGGTAGCCAAACCTGTTTACTCCTTGGCCTCCAGGCTACACAAAGGAGTGGCCCTAGCCAGTGGCATGAATTGTCAGAGGGATACTAGAGTGTTTCCCCGGGAAGACAGAAAAGGAAAGCTGTAAACTGAAAAGGTGCTGTAAACTTTTACTGAATCAGGCAGCGGTGGTCGGTGGTCGGGTGGTCAGGCATCTCTCCACCGGGACCTTCTGGTCCACTAGGGAGTAGACCTGGCTGGGGACCTTCAGTTGTCTCCAGGCTTGGGCGCTGTCCACTGAGAGGCTGGAGTTGGAGAAGAAAGGGAGAGAGGAGGGGAGGACTCCCTAAGCAGTCCGCGAGCACTTCCCATATGGGCCATCAAAATGTCACGGGTACAACTGGCTACGGCTGGTGTGGCAGGCGGTAAAGGAATTTACTAAGACAGTCCATGGGGGATAAAAGGCAGACTTATTAGAGGGAAAGCACGAAGATATGTTGCAAAGGTACAATGTGCAGCACAGCAGAGGGGCTGTCTGCAAACAGACAGGGGCTAGAGGGAAGTCTTGGGTTGTGCAGGAACGACATGCTGCTGGGCTACGTGGGGAGTGAGGTATTGGGGAACATGCCAGCAGGTTATCTGTGATGAGCCATGTCTTGGAATAATTGTTCTCCCCCAAAGGAGACCCCTTCCTCGTTGCTTACTTTCCATATACATGTGTGGAGTCTTTATCTGAAAACTGGGCTAATACGGTACAATATTTTATACTGATTTATCTTCTAAATATTTATTAGAAAATATATCAATGTAGAAGCCACCATTATAGCTCTACTCTATTTAAAACCATACCAGCTTGGTAGTAAAGGTCCTTATCCCAGAGGTAAACGCTGTTACAGCTTGCTCTAAGTCCTTCTAAAGCTACCTTGCAAAAATTAAGAGTGAGAAAATCGTGACAATGAAAGGGATCTAACCTAACGAACTCCATCTTGCTCCTAACCTCCAAGCTGCCCTTGGTCATTCCTGGACATGGGCTGAACTAGCTTTGGGAGGAGTTTATTTATTTTTTATTTTTATTTATTTATTTTGAGATGGAGTCTTGCTCTGTCACCCAGGCTGGAGTGCAGTGACGTGATCTCAGCTCACTGCTAGCTCCGCCTCCTGGGTTCACGCCATTCTCCTGCCTCAGCCTCCCAAGTAGCTGGGACTACAGGTGCTCCCCACCACACCCGGCTAATTTTTTTGTATTTTTAGTAGAGATGGGGTTTCACCGTGTTAGCCAGGATGGTCTCAATCTCCTGACCTCATGATCTGCCCCCTTTGGCCTCCCAAAGTACTGGGATTACAGGTGTGAGCCACCGTACCCGGCCTGGAGTTTATAGTTTAACTTTGGAACAAAGACAACAGCCCTTTTGCAAAACAAACCCCCTTCTTGCCTGGGGACTAGACAGCCTTTGTAAGATTAACAAATTAGCCATGAGGTTAGAAATTGTGGTTTAGGAGTCTTGTAGCCAGAGGCCACAAGATTGCAAATCTCCCCATAACATCACTATTGTAAAATCTAAGATTGGTGCTCACATATCTTTCAGACCCTGCATTCTGATGTACCAGCTAGTGCCACCCAGAATGGTAATCTGGTCATGTCATTCAATAAGTTCTGTGATCCCACCAAGGAACAGAAGATGGCAAGAACCCACTTTGACCTCTTCTTTATTTATTTTTTGAGATGGAGTTTCACTTTTATTGCCCGGGCTGGAGTTTCACTCTTATTGCCCAGGCTGGAGTTCAGTGGCATGATCCTGGCTCACTGTTCCCTCCACCTCCTGGGTTCAGGCGATTCTCGTGCCTCAGCCTCCTGAGTAGCTGGGATTAAGGTGCAAGCCACCACACCCGGGTAATTTTTGTGTTTTTGTAGAGATAGGGTTTTACCATGTTGACCAGGCTGGTGTCAAACTCCTGACCTCAGGTGATCCACCCGCCTTGGCCTCCCAAAGTGCTGGGATTACAGGCGTGAGCCACCGCCCCCGGCTGACCCCTTATTTCATCTCTAGACCCAACCAATCAGCACACCCCACTCCCTGACCCCCTACCCACCAAATTATCCTTAAAAAACCCGAGTCTCCGAATTTTCAGGGAGACTGATTTGAGTAATAAAACTCCGGTCTTGGTCAGCCAGTTCTGCATGAATTAAACTCTTTCTCTATTACAATTGCCCTGTCTTGATAAATTGGCTCTATCTGGGCAGTGGGCAAGGAGAACATGTCAGGCAGTTATACTTCCTGGTTTTTGTCTAAGTTTATAACATACTTCCATATGTATATACATATTCTATAAAAAATGCTATACATAATATCTTGTAACATTCTTTCATTCAAAATTAGAAAATTAGAATTTTGTATAGAACAGACTGTATAATGAACACCCATACACTCTTCATCTAGATTAGCCAATTGTATGTTGTCACATCTTCCTTCCTCCATCTCATTTCTCCCCCTCCGTGTGTATGTGTATTTATGTGTATGTGTCCCTTGATAATCCATGAGGAACTGGTTCCAGGACCTCCTGCAGATACCAAAATCCAAAAGCTAAAGTCCCTGATATAAAATGGTATAGTATTTGTGATCTATGCACACCCTCTAGTATACCTTAAATCATCCCTACTGCTTACAATACCTAATACAATTTAAATGCTCTATAGTCATTATATTTAGGGAATAATGACAAAAGGTCTATGTGTGTTCAATACACATGCAACCATCCATTTTTTTCTTTGTTCCCTGAATATTCAACCCAAGGTTGGCTGAATCCTCAGATGCAGAATCCATGGATACAGAAAGCCAACTGTCTGTGTGTGTATACATACATTTTTGGCAACTTGCTTTTAAAACTCTATCAAACATTTTTCCAGGTCAACACAATTAGTCTGACTACTTTCACTCTTAGGAGCTCTATGGTATCTACCGTATGTAAGGAACCATATGGTATTCAAATATTCCTCATATGACCTCGTGGCAAGGATCAAGAAGGAGCCTCAAGTGCTCCAAGTCAGACCCACCTCCCCAGGCTTCCTCATTTCTATTAGCAGGAGTGAAGAAGGGCCCAGAACTCTGGGTGCTCTTGGCAAGATGCCTACCCTTTCCTCCTCCCAAGACTCCAGCTTCTCCACCATTTTCTGAGACTATCAGGTCTGATCTCATTAAAGCTTTTGTCCTTATTGGCTCAGTTATAAGAGGCTCAGGATTCCTGGGTCACCCCCTGCCTGATCCCACTCTAAACTTCCTCCACTTACATCCCTTTCTGAGTCCATCTCTTGCTTCTCCCCAACTTCTAGAGATCTTCCTCTGTGCCCTCTGGAACTCACCACAGAGGTTAGGGCAGAATTCCCTATGTCTTTTTTTCTTTGAGATGGAGTCTTGGGCTGGGCGTGGTGGCTCATGCCTGTAATCCCAGCACTTTGAGAGGCTGAGGCGGGTGGATCACGAGGTCAGGAGTTCAAGAACAGACTGAACAACATGGTGAAACCCCGTCTCTACTAAAAATACAAAAATTAGCCGGACGTGGTGGTGCATGCCTGTAGTTCCAGCTACTTGGGAGGCTGAGGCAGAAGAATCGCTTGAACCCGGGAGGCGGAGGTTGCAATGAGCCGAAATTGTACCACTGCACTCCAGCCTAGGGGACAGAGCAAGACTCTGTCTAAAAAAAAAAAAAAAAAAAAAAAAGAGAGAGAGAGATGGAGTCTTGCTCTGTCCCCTAGGCTGGAGTGCGGTGGTGCAATCTCGGCTCATTGCAGCCTCCGCCTCCCAGGTTCTAGTGATTCTCCTGCCTCAGCCTCCCCAGTAGCTGAGGCTATAAGCATGCACCACCACTCCTGACTAATTTTTGTATTTTTTTTTAGTAGAGACAGAGTTTCACTGTGTTGGCCAGGCTGGTATCGAACTCCTGACCTCAACTGATGGACCAGCCTCGGCCTTCCAAAGTGTTAGGATTATAGGCGTGAGCCACCGTGCCCGGCCAGAATTTCCTATGTATTAATGAACATTCCCTATACTTTTCTACTTCACCCTTTAACACTGGTCCTGGGGGTGGGAAGATGTCCTTCTCGCTGCTTCCAGACCATTCTCCTTTCATCTTCTCTGACACCCCATGGCATGGATGCTCAGGCCATCAGACCGTACCACGTGATACTTAAAGCAGTCATCTTCTGATCCCTGGATCTCTTAAATTTTAGTTCCCACTCTAACACTACCATCTGAATTGATAATTTTAATGCTTATGTAGATTTAATACTTGGCTTTTCAGTTTCTTCATCTCCACTTTTCCAATGAGCCTGTACTCCTCCCTCCTTCAGCCAGTTATTCTCGGACACATTAATCTTGCTACTAGTAATAGCAACCTGTTTGTAATGTTTCATGCATTCCTCACTCAACCAGATTTTCTCTAGTACCCTAACAATCCTACCCCATGGAAACATAGTCTTTTCAGTCTACCACTTTTCACACTCCTTTATCCCCTCAAGTTCTTTAGATTTGTTTTTCATTAACTTTTAAAAACTGACTTATAAAATTGTGTTTATTGGGGCCAGGTGTGGTGCCTCATTGCCTGTAATCCCAGCACTTTGGAAGGCCAATGTGGGTGGATCACCTGATTGGCCAACAAGGCAAAATTCCATCTTTACTAAAAATACAAAAATTAGCCAAGCATGGTGGAGCACGCTTGTAGTTCCAGCTACTTGGGAGGCCGAGGCAGGAGAATTGCTTGAACCTGGGAGGTGGAGGTTGCTGTGAGCCGAGATTGCACCACTGCACACCAGCCAGGGTGACAGGGCAAGACTGTCTTAAAAAAAAAAAAAAAAAAAAAAAAAAAGTATGTTTATTGTATCTAACATGATGTTTACAAATGTATACATTGCAGAATGACTAAATCAGACTAATTTACATATGTATTACATGTATTTTTGTGGTGTGAATATTTAAAATCTACTCATTGATTTTTCCGGAATATATTACAGTCAGGCACAGTGATACAGCCTGTAGTCCCAGCTACTTAGGATGCTGACGTGGGAGAATTGCTTGAGCCCAGGAGTTTGAGACCAGCCTGGGCAACATAGTGAGACCTCCTCTCTTAATAGATCTCTCTTTTTTTTTTTTTTTTGAGACAAAGTCTTGCTCTCTCGCCCAGGCTGGAGTGCAGCGGCACGATCATGGCTCAGTGCAAGCTCTGCCTCCTGGATTCACGCCATTCTCCTGCCTCAGCCTCCTGAGTAGCTGGGACTACAGGCGCCCACCACCACGCCCGGCTAATTTTTGTTTTTGCATTTTTAGTAGAGACGGGGTTTCACCGTGTTAGCCAGGATGGTCACAATCTCCTGACCTCGTGATCCGCCCGCCTCGGCCTCCCAAAGTGCTGGGATTACAGGCTTGAGCCACGGCGCCTGGCCAATAGATTAAATTTATTCCTCCTATTAAACTGAAATTGTGTATCTTTTCACCAACATTTCTCTTATCCCCTCCCACACCCCTAGCCCCTGGTAATCACTATTCTGTTCTCTGCTTCTATGAGTTCAACTTTTTTAGATTCCACATATAAGTGAGGTCATGTGGTATTTGTCTTTCCATGCCAGGCTTATTTCACTTAGCATAAAGTCCTCTAGGTTCACCCATGTTGTGGCAAATAAGTTCCTTTATTTTTTGAGACAGGGTCTTGCTCTGTCACTCAGGCTGGAGTATAATGGTGCAATATTGGCTTGCTGCAACCTTTGTATCCAAAGCTCTAATGATCTTGCTGCCTCAGCCTCCCAAGTAGCTAGGACTACAGGCATGTGCCACCATGCCTGGCTAATTTTTGTTTTGTATTTTTAGAGAAAGGGTTTTGTCATGTTGGCCAGGCTGGTCTTGAACTCCTGGACTCCAGCAATCTACCCGACTCAGCCTCCCAAAGTGCTGTGGTTACTGGCATGAGCCACTGCACCTGGCCAGAGCTTCCTTCTTTAAAGCTCAGTAGTATTCCATTGTGTATGTAGAACACATCTTCTTTATCCATTCATCCATTGATAGTTAGGTTGATTTCATATCTTGGCTGTTGTGAATAATGCTGCAATGAACATGAAAGTGCAGATATCTCTTTGACAGACTAATTTCGTTTCCTTTGGATATATACCCAGTAGTGGAATTGCTGGGTCACATGGTAGTTCTATTTAAGTTATTGAGGAGCTTCCATAGTATTTTCCATAATGGCTGTACTAATTTACATTCTCATCAACTTTGTGAGACTTCCTTTTTCTCCACATCCTCACACACACTTTTTTTTTTGGAGACGGAGTTTCGCTCTTGTTGTCCAAGCTGGAGTGCGATCCTGTGATCTTGGCTCATTGTAACCTCTGCCTCCCGGGTTCAAGCAATTCTCCTGCCTCAGCCTCCCAAGAGCTGGGATTACAGGAGGTGCAGGGCACCACGCCCGGCTAATGTTTTCTATTTTTAGTGGAAACGGGGTTTCACGATGTTAGCCAGGCTGGTCTCGAATTCCTGACCTCAGGTGATCCACCCGCCTCGGCCTCCCAAAGTACTGGGATTATAGGCATGAGCCACCGCACTTGGTCCATATTTATTCACTGTTTTGCTAATAGCCATTCTAACAAGGTGTGAGGTGATACCTCATTGTAGTTTTAATCTGCGTTTCCCTGATAATTAATGACACTGAGCATTTTTTCATATACCTGTCAGGCATATGTAAGTCTTCTTTTTGAGAAGTGTCTATTTAGGTCCTTTGCTCTTTAATTGGGTTATTTGTTTTCTTGCTATTGAGTTGTCTGAGTTCCTTATATTTTAGATATCCCTTATCAGACTATGATTTGCAAATAATTCTCCCCATTCTAAAGGTTGTCTTTTCACTCTTTTGATTGTTTCCTTTTCTGTGCAGGAGCTTTTTAGTTGGATGTAATCTCATTTGTCTGTTGTTGCTTTTGTTGCCTGTGCTTTTGAAGTCAGATTAAAAAAAAAAAATTGACCAGATCGATGTCATGGATCCCTGCTTTCTTCTAGTCGTTTTACAGTTTCAGGTCTTACATTTAAGTCTTTAGTTTATTTTTCTGTATTTCGTTATTTTATATGTGAACGTCCAGCATTTACTGAAGAGATTGTCCTTTGCCCATTATGTGTTCTTGGCACCTTTTGTCAAGAATCAGTTGACTGTAAATGCGTGGATTTATTTCTGGGAGCTCTGTTCTATTCCGTGGGTCTATGTGTCTGTTTTGATGCTAATATGCTGTTTGGTTACTATACCTTTGTAGTGTATTTTGAATTCAACTAGTGATATGGTTTGGATTTGTGTCCCCACCCAAATGTCATGTCGAATTGGAGGAGGGGCCTGGTGGGAGGTGATTGGATCATGGGGGTGGATTTCTCCCTTGCTGCTTTCCTGATAGTGAGTTCTCATGAGATCTAACGGTTTACAAGTGTGTGGCACTTCCCCCTTTGCTAGCATGCTCTCCGGTTACCATGTGAAGAAGCTGCTTGCTTCCCCTTTGCCTTCCACCATGAGTATAAGTTTCCTGAGGCCTCCCAGTCATGCTTCTTGTTAAGCTTGTGGAACTGTGAGTCAATTAAACTTTTTTTCATAAATTGCCCAGTGTCAGGTAGTTCTTTATAGCAGTGTGAGAATGCACTGATACAGTTAGTATGAAGCCTCAAGCTTTGTTCTTTTTGTTCAAGACTGCTTTGGGTATTTGGGGTCTTTTGTGGTTACATACAAGTTTTAGGATTGTTTTTTCTATCTCTGTGGAAAATATAATTGGAATTTTGATAGGCATTGCATTGAACCTGTAGATTGCTTTGGACAGTGTGAACATTTTAACAATATTCCTCCAATCCAGGAACACAGGATAGTTTTCCATTTAATTGTATCTTCAGTTTCTTTTATCTGCGTCTTACAGTTTTTGGTGTACCAGTCTTTCATCTCCTTGGTTAAATTTATTCCTAAGTATTTAACTTTGTGTAGCCATTGTAAATGGGATTGTCTTACTGACTTCTTGTATAGATAGGTCATTGTTTATATAAAACACTACTGATTTTTGTACGTTGATTTTTGTATCCTGCAACTTCATTCATTCATTAGTCCTGAAAGTTTTCTGGTGGACTCTTTAAGGTTTTCTATATGAGATCATAGCATCTGCAAACATGGACAATTTACCTTCTTTCTTTCCCGTCTGGAAGCCTCATTTTTTTCTCTTGCCTAACTGTTCTGGCTAGGACTTCCAATACTGTGTTGAATAGAAGTAGTGAGAGTGGACATTCTTGTCTTGTTCCTGATAGTAGATGAAAAGCTTTCTCTTTTTTTTTTTTTTTTTTTTTTTTTTTTGACACAGACTCACTCTGTTGCCCAGGCTGGAGTGCAGTGGCTCCATCTTGGCTCACTGCAACCTCTGCCTCCCAGGTTCAAGCAATTCTCCTGCCTCAGTCTCCCAAGTAGCTGGAATTACAGGGCTGCACCACCACACCTGGCTAATTTTTGTATTTTTAGTAGAGACAGGGTTCCGCCATGTTGGCCAGGCTGGTATTGAACTCCTAACCTCAAGTGATCCGCCTGCCTTGGACTCCCAAGGGACTGGGATTACAGGTGTTAGCCACTGTGCCCAGCCAGATAAAAAGCTTCCAACTGTTCACTATTAAGTATGTTAGCTGTGGGCTTGTCATATATGGCCTGCCTTGTGCTGAGGTACATTCTTTCTATATCTATTTTGAGAGTTTTTATTATGAAAAGATGTTGAGTTTTGTCAAATGCTTTTTCTGCATCTATTAAGGTGATCAGAATAGATTTTGTCCTTCATACTGTTAATGTGGTAGATCACATTTATAGACTTGTGTATGTTGAAACATCCTTACATCCCTGGGATAGATCCCACTTGATCATAGTGAATTGTCTTTCAATGTGCTGTTGAATTTGGTTTGCTGGTATTTTGTTGAGGGTTTTTGCATCTATGTTCATCAGGGATACTGGCCTGTAATTTTTTTTTTTCTTCCAGTGCCCTTGTCTGGCTTTGGTATCAGGGTAATGCTGGCTTCATAAAATAAGTTTGAAGGTGTTCCCCCTTGTTCAATTTTTTTGGATGAGTTTGAAAAGAATTGGTATTAGTTCTTTAAATGTTAAGTAGAACTCAGTACTGACACCATTAAGTCCTGCGCTTTTCTTTGATGGATTTGTAATTCAGCCTCTTACTGAGTTTGTTGTTGATGTTGTTTTTGAAATGGAGTCTCATTCTGTCACCCAGGCTAGAGTGCAATGGCACAATCTTGGCTCACTGCAACCTCTGCCTCCCGGGTTCAAATGATTCTCCCTGCCTCAGTCTCCCAAGTAGCTGGGATTACAGATGCCCGCCACCATGCCCGGCTAATTTTTGTATTTTTGGTAGAGACAGGGTTTCGTCATGTTGGCCAGGCTGGTCTTGAACTCCTGACCTCAGGTAATCCGCCTACCTCAGCCTCCCAAAGTGCTGGGATTACAGGCATGAGCCACTGTGCCTGGCCTTTTCCCCACCCACCCCCCCTACCCGAGTCTCACTCTATTGCCCAGACTGGAGTGCAGTGTGCGATCTCGGTTCACTGCAACCTCTGCCTCCTGGGTTCAAGCAATTCTCCTGCCTCAGCCTCCAAAGTAGGGGGGATTACAGTTGCCCGCCACCACGCCTGGCTAATTTTTGTATTTTTAGTAGTGATGGGGTTTCACCATCTTGCCCAGGCTGGTCTCAAACTCCTGACCTCAAGTAATCCACCCGCCTCGGCCTCCCAAAGTGCTGGGATTGCAGGCGTGAGTCACCACGCCCAGCCTATTGGTTTTTCTGTTTCTTCATGATTCAGTGTTGGTAGTTTGTATGTGTTTAGGAATTTATCCGTTTCTTCTAGGTTCTCTAATTTGTTGATGTATAATTGTTCATGGTATTCTAATCCTTCGTATTTCTGTGGTATCAGTTGTAACACTTCAGCTTTCATTTCTGATTTTGAGTTGTCTTTTTTCTTACTCTACCTAAAAGTTTTCCAATTTTATCTTAAAAAATTCTTAAGGTTTTTTTCCTGTTGTCTTTTTCTAAGAAATGAATGAATAAATCCATGAATAATTTATTTCTGTTCTGATATTTTCTTCTAACTTTGGGCTGCTTTTTCTAGTTCTTTGAGGTATAGCATTATTTGTTCTCTTTTGATATAGGCATTTATTGCTATAAACATCTCTTAGAACTGCTTTTAGTGAATCCTATAAATTTTTTTTTTTTTTTTTTTGAGATGCAGTCTCCCTCTGTTACCCAGGCCGGAGTGCAGTGGTGCGATCTCAGCTCACTGCATGAATCCCATAAATTTTGGTATGTTGTGTTTCTGTTTTCATTAGTCTCAAGACTTTTTTTTTTTTTTTTTTTTTTTTTTTTGGAGACCAAGTCTCACTCTGTCACCCAGGCTGGAGTGCAGTGGCGCGATGTTGGCTCACTACAACCTCTGCCTCCCATGTTCAAGCAATTCTCCTGTCTCAGCCTCCCAACTAGCTGGGATTACAGGCATGTGTCAGGCACGCCGGGCAATTTTTTGTACTTTTTTATTTTTTAGTAGAGATGAAGTTTCACCGTGTTAGCCAGGATGGTCTCTATCTCCTGACCTCGTGATCCACCCGCCTCAGCCTCCCAAAGTGCTGGGATAACAAGCGTGAGCCACCGCGCCCAGCCTGTCTCAAGATGTTTTTAAATTTCTTATCTGACCCACTGATTAGGAGCATGTTGTTTAATTTCCACATATTCGTGCATTTTTCAAAATTCTTCCTATTACTGATTTCTATTTTTATACCACTGTGGTAGGAAAAAAATACTTGATATAATCTTAAATTTAAGATTTGTTTTGTGGCCTAATATACATCCTATCCTAGAGAAGTTCCTTGTGTGCTTGAGAAGAATGTGTATGCTGCTGCTATTGGATGGAAATTCTGTGTATGTCTCTTAGGTCCATTTGGTCTAAGCTGTAGTTTACATCTCCTTACTGATTCTGTCTGGATGATCTGTCTGTTGCTGAAAGTAGGGTATTGAAGTCTTCTACTGATATTATGTTACAGTCTCTCTCTCTCCCTTCAGGTCTATTAATATTTGCTTTATATATTTAGGTGCTCAGATGTTGAATGTATATAAATTTAGAGGTATATCTTCTTGATAAATTGACACGTTTGTCATATAATGACCTTTGTGTCACAATTTTTGACTTAAAATCTAGTTTATCTGATTTAAGTATAGCTATCCCTACTCTTTCGGTTTCCATTTCCATGGAATACTTTTTCCATCCTTTCACTTTCAGTATATATATGACCTTAAAGGTGAAGTGAGTTTCTTATAGGCAGCATATAAATGGGTCTTCAAAAATTTTACTCAGCCACTCTTTTAACCAAGGAATTTAATCCATTTGTATTTAAGGTAATTACTGATAGCCAAGGGCCCACTATTGCCATTTTGTTAATTGCTTCTTTCCTAGATCCTTTGTTCCTTTCTTTCCCTTTTGCTTTCTTACTTGTAATGACGTGATTTTCTTTGGTGGTATGCTTTGATTTCTTTTTTAAAATCTTTTGTGTATCTACTATAGATTTTTTGCTTTGTGGTTAGCATAAGGCTTACAGAAAATATAGTTATCATAGGATATTTTAAGTAGATAACAACTTTGATTGTAAACCAAACTACATGTTCTCTACCCCTTTCCACATTTTATGTTTTTAATGTCACAATTTACATCTTTTTATAGTGTGTATCCCTCAACATTTTATAGCTATTATTTGTTGATTAGTTTTTTTGAGACAAAGTTTCTTTCTGTCACCCAGGCTGAAGTGCAGTAGCACAATCTTGGCTCACTGCAACCTCCACCTCCTGGGTTCAAGCAATTCTCCTGTCTCAGCCTCCCAAGTAACTGGGATTACAGGCATGCACCACCATGCACAGCTAATTTTTGTATTTTTAGTAGAGACAGCGTTTCACCATGTTGCCAAGCTGGTCTTGAACTCCTGACCTCAAGTTATCTGCCCGCCTTGGCCTCCCACAAGTGCTGGGATAACAGGCATGAGCCACCGTGCCCAGTTCCCTTTAGTATTTCTTGAAAGATAGGTCTGGTGGTAATGAACTTCCTCAGCTTTGGTTTGTCTAGCAAAGTTCTTATTGCTCCTTTATTTCAGGACAGATTTGCTGGATACAGTATTCTTGGTCAGCATTTTTTTTTCCTTCAGCAGTTTGAATATGTCATCCCACTCTCTTCATAGCCTGTAAGATTTGTTTGGAAATCCACTGCTAGCCTTATTGAAGCTCCCATAAGTCATTTGCTTTATTTCTCTTGCTGTTTTCAGGATCTTCTCTTTGACAGTTTAACATGTACTCCTGTAGTCTTGTTAGGTCTCCAGTCAGATTCAATCCTTTCACCTTCCTATACCTGGATATTCACATATTTTCCCAGATTTGTACAGTTTATATCTTCCTTTCTCCCTGCCTTCCTCCCCTGCTTCCACCCCCTATTCCCCTTCCTATTCCTCTTTTCCCTTCCCTCCCCACTTCCTCCCTCCTGCGTTGTGTTTTTGAGACAGGGTCTCACTCTGTCACCCAGGCTGGCATACAGTGGCATGATCATGGCTCACTGCATCCTCAACCTCCTGGTTCAAGGGATTCTCCCACTTCAGGCTCCCAAGTAGCTGAGACTACAGGCTCATAACACCACATCAGGCTAATTTTTTGTAGTTTTCTACAGATGGGGGTTTCACTATATTTCTCAGACTGGTCTTGAACTCTTAGGATCAAATGATCCTGCCTTGGCCTCCCAAAGTGTTGGGATTACAAGCATGAACCACCCCCACCCTGGCCCTATTATTTAACCTTTCTGCCCTTTTGTCTCTCTTTCCTTCTTGAACTTCTGAGTGTCAAACATTTGTTCTTTTGATGGCATTCCATAAATGCCACAGTCTTTTCATTCATTCTTTTTTCTCCTCTGACTGGATATTTTGAAATAAAATGTCTTTGAGCTCACATTCTTTCTTCTGCTTGATCACTTCTGTTGTTGCTGCTCTCTATTGCATTTTTCATGTCATTAATTATATTCTTCAGAATTTTTTATTTTTATAATTTAAGTTTCTAATGTTGGTCATTTTCTTTTTTTTTTTTTTTTTTTTTGAGACAAGAGTCTTGCTCTGTTGCCCAGGCTGGAATGCAGTGGCACGATCTTGGCTCACTGCAAGCTCCGCCTCTAGGGTTCACACCATTCTCCTGCCTCAGCCTCCCGAGTAGCTGGGACTACAGGCGCCCACACCATGCCTGGCTAATTATTTGTATTTTTAGTAGGGACAGGGTTTCACTGTGTTAGCCAGGATGGTCTCCATCTCCTGACCTTGTGATCCACCCGCCTCGGCCTCCCAAAGTGCTGGGATTACAGGTGTGAGCCACTGCGCCCGGCGGTCATTTTCTTGATTTAATCAAATTCTCTATTTTCTTAAGAAAATTTAATATGCTGAGCTTCCTTAAAATAATTATTTTGAAATGTCAGGCAGCTCATACATTATCCAAATCTTCTAAATTTCTTTAGGGTCCATTACTGGTGCTTTTTTTGTTGTTCCTTTTTCGGAGGGTCATATTTCCCTGATTGTTCTTGATCCTTCTAGTGTGTTAGTATCTGGGCATTTGAAGAAATAGTGAATAAGTATTCCAGTCTGCAGACTGCCATTGTCTGGGAAAGCTCTTCACCAGTCAACCTGTCCAGAGATTCTGGGGAGGCCATCTGGTGTGATCTGCAAGTGAGTTTGCTGCTGGAGTCCTCAGCCAGGATGGCCTGGTACCTGCATCAGCAGATGGGCAGACCTGGTGCTTGAGTCTACAGAACTGGGCCTGAAGCTTGGATCTACTGGAGTGGACCTGTTGATTGGGTGCATAGGGGTAACCCTGGAACTTGGGTCCTTGAAGGTAAGCCTGGAAACTGTATCCTCTTGGGTTGGCCTGAACCCTTGTTCCATGGGGGCTTACATGGTGCTGGGGTAGGCCCCGGGCTGTGTACAGTGTGCTAGGGTAGACCTGGGCAGGCCTTGGCACCATGTCAGTGCCTGTAGACTGAGGTGAGGCAAGGGCCAGCCTGGAGCCTCAGGCCAGGGGTGCTGACCTGGCTCGGGGCTGGTCTAGAACCCAGGACAGACCTGAAGCCTTGCATCTGCAGGCCTGGAACCCGACTGTGGGACCAGACCTGAAGCTTGGTGAGCCTGGACCACTGAGGTTGGTCTGGAGGTGAGGTGAGCAGACCAAGTCTGCTGTGCTGGCCTGGGGCTATGGGATTCAACCTCATGGTGGGGTCGGCCTGGAAGTTCTCTGTGGGTAGTGGCCTGGGGTCTAGGGCAGTGGGGCCTGCCTAGCTCTGAGTTTTACCCAGGTGAGAAGGTGTTTGGGATGGAGGCAAAGTCCAGTGTTCACTTTCTTCTCTTTCCCCTGTATGGAGGGTGTCTCTGTTGACACTATGGTGCCTGGGGTTGGGGAAGAGGTAATAAAAATAATGTAACACTGTCCTTCGTGCCCTCTTCAATGCATCCTTTTTTTTTTTTTTTTTTTGAGATGGAGTCTCGCTCTGTTGCCCAGGCTGAAGTGCAGTGGCACAATCTAAGCTCACTGCAACCTCAGCCTCCCAGGTTCAAGCGATCCTCCTACCTCAGCCCCCCTAGTAGGCGGGATTACAGGCACGCACCACCATGCCCGGCTAATTTTTGTATTTTTAGTAGAGACGGGGTTTTGCCATGTTGGCCAGGCTGGTCTCAAATTCCTGACCTCAGGTGACCCACCCACCTTGGCCTGCCAAAGTGCTGGGATTATAGGCGTGAGCCACTGCGCCCGGCCGCATCCTTTATTTCTACACTATACCCAGGTGCTGTGATCTCTTACTTGGTTTCTTTAGCTCTTGTGAAGGTAATTTTGTGCATGGAAAGCTATTCAAACTGATGTTTCTGCAGGGAGTCAAGTGCTAGAAAGTTCTATTCTGCCATCTTGCTGAAACCACTCCCGCTGATTTCCCTCTCTGAAGTTGTGACTCTTCACCTAATCAGCTTAAGTCCCATGGTTCATGTATTTCACACCAGTCAATCCAGGCTAAATCCAACTCTGCTGAATGTGGCTGGAACAAAACATACAACCCTGACAATTGATGTTATGTTAAACTCATGACCACTAACCTCAAGTGGGCCTTTAGTGTATCGTACATTTCCTTAATTTTTTCACTCTTCCCTATCCCCCAAACGTCTCACACCACCTCTACCATCCTCACTCTCAGCTAATAACTATGTTTTCAGTTTAACAGTGGAAATAAAAGCAATCAGACAAGAACACTCACAAGCTCTAGCATCTTCTCTGCCCACGCTCTGCCTTCCTCCTGGTTGGTGCTCCAGCGTCTGACCTCTTCACTAGTACCCTGGATCCCAGTGTCTTCACCTGCTCAGGCTCTGCTCTAGTCCATTCTCCTCCTCCTCTTCTCGTACAGCGTCAATTTTTCTACTTATCGTTCCCATGAGTATATAAATTTATCCTAGAATTTCTAATATTTTAAAACACCAAAATCCTCAAAAGCCCCCATCTCTTCAGTTACCCATCCGTTTCTCTGTGTTGGGAGACAATTCTCCATGGGTTTCTCACGTTTCTCACTATCTTACAAGTACATATGGTGATGGCTTTTGTTACAGGCTGTTTTCAGGATGAATAGCCTTAGATAGGTAATCCGTTCTCCAGAGCAACAGTTTGTTTAGCATCCAGTATAATATGTCTTCCTTCTAGACAAAGGTTTGATAGATTTACTTCTAGACCACTGTTTAAGATTCAGGCTCCCTAAACTTGGACCTCCCCTCCTGTAACTCCACCCAGCAAATGTGTATTCGAGGTCAGTACAGTATGTCTTCTGCCAGTATCCATGAAACTGGTAGCTTAACTTGTTACCTTGCAAGTAGGACAAAATCTCAGACTTTTCAGTCCTTAACACTTGGCCCCTTATTCACAGCTCCTGTTTCCAAGTTTATCTTGAATCCTCCTAGATTTACCCTGACCACTCCTTTATAACTGTTTTTTTCAAAATGACCTCACTGATGGTTAATCTCAGCATATATCCAACTTCATACAAATTATTAGTATTTGATATAGTGGCCACTCTTCTACTTCAAAATAAGTGTTTTCAGCTGGCTTCAGATACCACCCTCTACTGGTTTTCACCCTAACCCTGGTGGTTCCTTCTCAGTTTCATTTGCCAGTTCCTGCCCAGCAAACACTGGGGTGAGTGCTCGGGGCTCAGTCCTTGACATTCTTTATACTTTTTTTTCCTAGGTAATCTCACCTAGCTTTATGGCTTAAAATATTATCCCTGTGACAACTCCCAAATTTTTATTTCCTCTGAAATTGGGCTTCAGAGTCAGTCATCTTACCTCTAAACGCATAAGAGGCATGAGACAAACAGTTGCCACTTGGAATGACCATAGGGGAAGAAGGGTCCTTCTGGGAAAGCCTCATTACAGTCGGACCAGCAAGGCTGAAACTGAGATGGGAGATTTGCTGATTGTGCTGTTTCCCCTCCTGGTCCATCCTCCATCTTTCTACCCTGCTTTATCCCAGGAGGACGGCATCACCCGGGCTTCTGATTAGGTTCAGTTGATGGAGGCATCTTCAGGAGACAGCAATAAAGAGCTGAGGCTTTTCCCCCTCTGCTCCCTTTCCTGACAGTTCTGTGTTTCTCACAGTAGCTGCATCTTTGTAGAGCTTCAACATCCACTTAAGAGACACTCTTCCTTTTTATTTTTCTATCTCCTACAGGAAAGAGACCTTCCAACATTTTGGCTCTCACTGGGCTCTGAAACACCATTTCTTCCTTTGGTCCCTAGGGAGACAACAGCTTCTTGGCACTGCTGGTCTCTGGATTCCTTACCATCCGTTGTTTGTTCCCTTAATCCTTCTCTCATTCTCCAAGTCATCCTTTCATAAGGCGCTAATTCAGTTTACTGCTAAAGCCCTCACTGATAAAGCTGGTGAGGTCCACAGGTTAAAAATGGAAGGAATTCTATTCACCAGGCCCATAAAATCATATACAAAGACACACATATATAAGGGTTTATCTTTATTTTATAAAAACTGCTACACACACACATACACTCTCTCTCTCCCCTCTTGCTTTCCTCATTTGACCTAGAGAAGTTTGGAGTTTGTTCCCACACATTCTTTTCAAGGAAATACCATTCAGCCATGGTATGTTTTTACCACAATTTATTCATCCATTCCCTTACTGATGGTCTTTTTTTTGTTTGTTTTTTTGGTCCTTACCAAAAAATACAATATACATTAGTAAACATATAATCTTAAGTGCTGGCGCTTTTTATTCCTTAGGGATAGATTCCCAGGAGATTCCTAGGTTGTAAGAGTATATTAATGTTAAAACAGACTCACAATGTTGTCCAAGGAGGCTGTTACAATTTACATTTCTAAAAGCAGCTATGAAAATAACGTTTTCCCCTCCTTTGTGAGTAAGTAAGATGACAACTTAGACAAAAGCTTATTGGGCTATGGATGTTCTGGATAAATTTGTTCAGAAAGTCACTCAATATATAGTGTGACAGCACATCAATGATATCCAAAAATATTTTTTAAAAGCCAGTTTTTGGTTGCCATTTATAATTTCCAATACATGATTTGTGATTGATAGGGAAAGGCTGAACTTAAGAATTTGAAATCAAGTCTATAAAAGCAAATCTTTGAGTTACACAACAATTCTTGTTAATATCTGGAGAGACCACTGAAAAATCTGATTTTTATAAAAGTGTAAACATGTAAAGGAAAAGTAATAACTTATAACTCATGTTCCAAAGGGAAATGTTTTAGGTTGGCAACAGCAAAACTCAAGGAAGTAGAAATGCCTCCTTTAAACAACAAAATAGTGTAAAAATTTACTTCTAAAGGGGGTTATGCACGTGAAAAATTTAAAAAGCAATGAAACAGTTGACAGTTATTTAAAATAATTTTTCCTCTAAAGTCTCTGAAATGTAACATTTGTGAACTACAGAAGCATCCTACCATTTTTGCTAGACAATTCATGAAATATTAAGGGAAACAAGGAAAGACAAAAACAGGTGGTTTCTGTCTGTGTTACACAATATTTTGGTAACAGACATGCATTTGTATGCAAATATCCCACGGGAAAATAAGAGCATGACGAATGGGGATATTGTCTTTACACGGCAAACTCTTATTCTGTGGTGCATACTGAGTAGTACAGCTCATGTCTGCCTCCTTCACGTTATAGATCGGTTATTTCACATTTGCATATTTGTGTAAATAGTGCTTCTAGAAAATCTTCAGCAAACCAGAAGCAGGGAAAACTTCAACACTGTCTTCTGTTTCCTAAGAGGCAGCTCAAGAACAATGTTCATACCAACTGATATATGCCAGCAAGCAGTAGGGAAAGACGTAGGTTCCATGCTACTTTAAATGTTACACATTTCATTTGGAATGCATACTGGATTGCAGAGATACTGAAAAACACATGTGATGTTTAGTATGGAAAATCTTGTTATGTCCTAATTATCACAGAGGACAAGAATTTCAAATTCCCAGTGATTATGCTAAATTCACATGTGCAGATCTAAAGCATACCACTTGTGTTTTGTGGCATATCCACA
Organism: Homo sapiens; assembly: GCF_000001405.40. Lineage (NCBI taxonomy): Eukaryota > Metazoa > Chordata > Mammalia > Primates > Hominidae > Homo > Homo sapiens. Next base: position 75,170,664 of record NC_000016.10, on the reverse strand, counting down.
TAAAACCACTAAATTCATAGGATACTGTTTGTATATTTCTTATGCTGCTGTCTAGAATACTCAATTCATTCAAGATTTTAAAAAGCTCATTGTAGTACAACTGGGTATGGCTATTTACAACTGGATATATTCTGATATGTATTCTTTAGCTGGGTATCACATGTAACTTCCAGTATAATGTTCTCATGGGATCCTATTTTTAATACATTTTTGAGTTGAGAGATTGCATCTCAGTATGAATTCCCATGTTCCCTCAATACTGTCATGAGGTTTTTCACCCGCTTGAAGAGTTCTGGCAGGAGTTTTCCACAGTAAGACCTGGCTGGAGTTTCAGGGTTTCTCCCCGATGTGAACTCTCTGATGGACACTGAGTCGGGACTTCCTGCTAAAGGCCTTCCCACATTCGGAACACTCATATGGTTTCTCTCCTGTGTGGATTCGCAAGTGTAATCTAAGAGTTGACCTCTGGCTGAAAGTTTTGCCGCACTCAGTACATTCATAGGGTTTCTCTCCTGTATGAGTTCTCATGTGTATGATGAGCTGTGAGTTCTGGATAAAGGATTTTCCACATTCACTGCACTCATAGCGTTTCTCCCCCGTGTGAATCTTCTGATGTATGATAAGGTTTGACTTCTTAAAGAAGGTTTTTGCACATTCGTTACACTCATAGGGTCGCTCTCCTGTATGAATTCTCTGGTGTGTGGTGAGTTCAAACTTTTGGGCAAATGTCTTTCCACATTCACTGCACTCATAGGGCTTCTTCTCCATATGTGCTCTCTGGTGTACAATGAGGTTTGACTGGTGGGTGAAAGCTTTTCCACATTCCGGACACTCGAAAGGTTTCTCCCCAGTGTGAATTCTCTGATGTTTGATGAGGTTGGCCTTATGGGAGAAGGTTTTCTTACATACATTGCATTCATATGGCTTTTCTCCAGTATGTATTCTCTTATGACTAATGAGGAGTGACTTAAAGGAGAAAGCCTTGTCACAGTAAGTACAAATGAAAGGTTGAACCAAGTTTTTTATTTTCTGATGTTTAAAAATGGCTGCTTTATGGCTGAGGGCTTTTCCACTTTTATTGTATTCAGAATATTCTACTCCACTGTGGGTTTTCTCTTGCTTCAGGTAGAGAAGTGCTTTTCCAAATTCATTACACTCATCAGTCTGCTTTCCTGCATAGCTTCTATTACTATTAAGCAAGTCTGAATTATATTTCAAAGTTTTTTCATATAAGTCATATTTATAAGGTACTTGTCTTAAAGAAACAAAGTCTGTGTTCAGATTAAGTGCTTTTCCAAAGAGATCGCCTCTTTCCTCAATTGGGGTTTGGTTCTTAAGAATTAAAAATTGCCTCGCCTGCTCGTCTGGGTTTCTGTGGTCTCTCTCCATCTGGTCATCAGCCTTCCACACTTCTAGGAATAGAGAGCACAATGAAAAGAACCTTGTCAATGCCTCCGCTATAATGTTACCGAATGGGAAGTCTTCACACGTGTTCTATCACAGGGCTGACTCTTTAGTTTGGGACCCAGTCTCCCAATATTAAAAAATTCCCAGTGCAAATGTTTCCTTTCAAACTTTGAAAGAGAAAGGTAATAGCTTGTGGTTAAAAAAACAAAACAAAACCAAAATCAATACAAGTAGCATTGCCAGATCACAAAATGACCTTAAAGTGGGCAGAGAGGGTGAAAGGAGACAGAAAACAGAACACAATATGAGAAGGCTGGCAATGCCAGGGAGGGAGATTCACAGTGTTCTTAAGGACACTGCAGTTAGCACAGAGACCGAGAAAGTAAGCAGATGAGGGAATTAAGGGGAAACACCTAAGCAGATCTCGACTAATAGTATTATTTGCTAAACTCGGACTACTATGGTAGAACCAGCACCAGTCTGCATAGTTCTAAGCTTTTTCTCCTTTTTTTCTACTGTTCATCTTTACCAAAATGATTTCCAGAGAACAGCACTTCTCATAGGTTTGCAGTGACAACCAGATAGCAGAGCTCCAAATCTCTTAAGTGAGAATCTTGCAAATGGTAAAATCCAGAAACTCATTCGCTAAGAGATACACAACCCTTACCACAGGATCACTAACTGCTGCTGGTTTTAT